>NC_000017.11:78438030-78738440 GCF_000001405.40 Homo sapiens | reverse complement strand
CAAAGCTGCTGCAGGTGTTTGCATTTACAATGAAGACTAATAGGAGAGGGGTTTGGGAGTCCAGCAGAGAGCAGGGTGCGGAGGATGGGCTCTGCAGCCAGGTCTCGTGCTTTGGCAAGCCATGCAACGTCTCTGGGTGCTAGCATCCTCATCTGTGATCTGGGGATGGCGAGGACACTCACCCCATGGGATGTTTTCAGGATTAGATGAGTTAGGTCACATCAAGCTAGGCACAGAGTAAGCATGCAATAAATGTTATCTATTACGATGATGAGGTGGGAAGCTATGTCTGGATCCAGCAGTTCTACTTGTGAGAATTTTTTTCTATGGAGATAATTAAAGAGATGTGCCGAAACGTGTGCACACGTGTATTGAGATACGTAGAAGAATTGGAAATCACTTAGAAGTCTTACAATATGGGACTGGTTAAATATTATGTCTAGACTGAGAAGAATAATAAATGTGATAGATGTCCATTTACAGTCATGAAAAAATGTTATAAGTAAAAATAAGTAGCTATAAAACGACATATAAAATATCGTGTGTGTGTGTGTGTGTGTGTGTGTATCTATAGAAGAGAGAGAGAATATATATAATACTTATAACAAAAGTCTGGAAAATGTCTACCAAAATGTCACCAATGGCTATCTCTTGGTGATAGGATTAAGGTGTTTTTTTTCCTTGTTACTATTTTCTAATCTTCAACAATGAATATGTGTCATGAACATGATAGGACTGTGCAGGCAAGAATCTTTGGGTGCAGCATATTAGAAATCATAATGGAGATGAAACTGAACTTAGATTGGGAGTTTGGCCCTTGGATTTTTTTTTTTTTTTTGCCTCTAATATCTGCTTTCTGCTTTTAGCCTGTGACCTCATAACATGCTGTAATGATTACGATCTCTTAGTCATGCTCTTGGGAAATGGGCTATTATCTCATTGTGAGGGGACCAGGGATTTTAATGATTCCATTTTAAGAAAATGTAGTCGGCTTTCCATGGGCTCCCCATCCATGGATTTAACCTATTGTGGATGGAAAATATTTGGAAAATAAAAAAAGGTCACACCTGTACTGAATACATACAGACTTTTTTCTTTTCATTTTCTTTAAACAATATAGCATAACAGCTGTTTACATAGCAGTTACATTGTATTTGGTATTAGAAGTAATCTAGAGATGATTTAAAGTATATGAGTGGATTTGTGTAGCTTATGTGCAAATAATTAAGGACTCAAGCATCCGTGGGTTTTGGTGTCCATCGGAGTTCCTGGCACCAGTCCCCCTTGGATACCAAGGGACAACTGTACTTGAAAGTGAAGAGAAAAACAGCAGTGAGTCCTGGCTATGACTTTGGTTGAGTTTGAGAAAAGACTAGAAGTGTGGCTACTAAACTAGTTTGACTCCAGTGTAAGATTGCTTTCAGGGAAGCAGATGGTTAACACACTCGGAAGGTGCTTGAGCTCGACTTCAGGAACTGGGTGGTGGCACTGACTGGGAGTGCCGCTTCTTTGGAGGCTGGAGGTTGATTGGCCCAGGCGTGCAGCCAGCCATTGCCTGTCTGTTCAGGAAGCAGCTCTGAGCTGCCCTAGTGGCTGGACAGCTTCACAGGTATCCCCGGCCCCTCCCAGTCAGACCCCACAGGAAAACTTGGCTCCCAGTAAGTTACCGCTCTCCTGGAAGCACAGAACGGACTTTTCGTGTCCCGCTGTAAGGAAACAAGATGGTCCTTAAAACCGAAGAGGAGGACGGTGAGTCAAAGCCGCAGCCCCCGGCCGGGACTGATGCGGCTTGGGGTATATGGAGTGGAGTTTTAGGTATCTCTTTTCATTAGTATGTGAAATCCTGTGAGGATAGTTTACTGAGCCTTTTGGGGAGGAGTTAAGGACCAACCTAGACTCTGGTTTTTATCTTACTGTTTTCAGGAGAAAGACTGCATAGTCTCTTAGTGGTTAGGAAGCTGAGGCTCTCTCGGGTGTGTGTGTGTGTATGTGTGTGTGTGTCAGAGAGTGAGAGAGAGGAGAGAGAGAGAAAGAGCGAGAAGAGAGAGAGATATTAAGGTAACTCAGTGTTTTTAAACCAAAGAAGTTCTCCTCCAATCTTTGCTTTCGTTAGAGTTCCGCCTTGGGTGTTTCTTGGTAGATTCCACTTCATACTTGGTGATTGTGTCTACTTCCTGTATCAAAATAACAGTTGGTCAGAACTTCTGGGAATTCCACAAATATCCAGAAAGAATCTGATACTAAAAAGTAAAGACATTAGAGATCGGATTGAAAGAACCAGTGAGATTTGGGATAAATAGTACTTGTTTTGTTAAATAAAATGTGTCTAAGGGAAAAGACGATGTGGTCTTCTCCCTTTGGTTGTTAGGTGAGGACTGTTTGAAGCCTGGGAGGGCAGGGTCTGTAGAACTTCCTTTATCTGCTCCACACCTGTACTGTAAACAGTGGAGCTATGAGTAATGGGATGACAAGCTGTGCCTTCTAAATCCCAAGAGATTCTGCTGAAGAGCTGTGTCTTAAAGCCCTGGGTCAACACAGGAGTTGTGTTTGTGGATGTGTGTGTGTTTTATTGTATTTTATTGTGGCACCTTATCAGATGGTGGTGTTGTAATGCTGCAAGACAAAATAGTAAAATGCGTACTGGGTTGTAGCTGGTAATGTGTGATATTTTTAAGTTTGGAATAAATATCTGGCTATGTTTCAAGTGGATTTTGTGAAAGTTGTAATAAAACTTGGGTGTCCTCTTTAGGCTTTTCCCACTCTGGTTCACTATAAAGCACATTTGAAAGCCCCACCTCTAAGTGCAAATGATCCTGGACAGTGTCCACGGGCGACACTGAAAGCTGCAGCACGCGTGGGGGACGCTGGGAGGGAAGCATGCACAGGTGTCCATAACGATACTTCTGTATCTGAAGAGGGGTCAGTAGTGAGGGGACGTGCCAGGCCAGGGCTGAACTGCCTGCTTGGTGCTTTTCTAACTGAAAGGTGAGTCCACACTAGCCAAGATCTAGTTCCAAAGGGAACACTTTTGAGAGTGGAAGAGGACACTAGTGACTATGCTGGGACAGCAGGAGTGAGCCGGGCCTGGCCATGGTCCCTCACGCTTACTTGCTTCTGGTCCTTCCGGGTGAGCCTAGCTTCAGACCCACCGGAGGTGCTGTGTAATAGTCACTTTTTATCCTGGAGGCTTCAAAAGTCAACATGAACTACCCTAATCAACAGTGGGAGTGATGGGGGTGGGGCATGAGGTTAGGGGCCGGGAGCTTAGAGGTAGAATTACTGAACAGCTTTGCTTTGACCAAGTAACCTTAAAGAACTGGTGCTTCTTCGCTTCCCTTACCCCCTCCCATGGTATTTCCTTGTGTTGTCACCTGGGACTGAAGGCAGTGTTGCCCTTTAAACCACTGCTAAAATAGATGCCCTTAGACATTGCCGTGAGAGACAGAGTGGCATTTAGGTAGGTGTAAAAGGAGGGGGACAAATGGAGTTTCCTCTGGCAGGTCCCTGAGATCCCAGGGGAGGGCAGAAGTTAAGAGTCAGTTATGCTTTCCATAGAGCTGCTTTTAACTAGACTTACGCCCTAAAGAACACGCCTAAGAAAGGGTATGTGGGGGTTTTTGAAAATATTCTTTAAGGAAGTCAGACTCTTCTGCTGCATTAATCTCAAACCCACAATTTTTAGGTTAAAAATATTGCTTTCTGGCTGGGCGCGATGGCTCACACTGATAATCCCAGCACTTTGGGAGGCCCAGGCAGGCGGATCACCTGAGGTCAGGAGTTCCAGACCAACCTAGCCAACATGGTGAAACCCTGTCTCTACTAAAAATACAAAAATTAGCCGGGTGTGGTGGCAGGAGCCCGTAATCCCAGCTACTTGGAGGCTGAGGCAGGAGAATAGCTTGAACCCAGGAGGCTGAGGTTGCGTTGAGCCGAAATCGTACCACTGCACTCCAGCCTGGGTGACAGAGTGAGACTTTGTCTCTAAAAAAAAAAAAAAAAAAAAAAAAAGCTTTTTTTTACCTGGTACATTGGTACATTGGTACATACATTCGTCAGTTTTCATTCTGTATATGTGTGTTAGTGAGAATTAACCAGTTTAATTAATTGGGCACTATTTTCTTAACTGCCATAAGTTATTATTATTTTTAGCTATTTAATCTTGTTAATGTCAGTCCCCCTTGATTTGCCTTTTTTTTTTTGAGACAGAGTCTCGCTCTGTTGCCGAGGCTGGAGTGCAATCTTGGCTCACTGCAACCTCTGCCTCCTGGGTTCAAGCGATTCTCCTGCCTCAGCCTCCTGAGTAGCTGGGACTGCAGGTGCATGCCACCACACCCGGCTAATTTTTGTATTTTTTGCAGAGACGAGGTTTCACCATGTTGGCCAGGCTTGTGTTGAACTCCTGACCTCATGTGATCCACCCACCTTGGCCTCCCAAAGTGCTGGGATTACAGGCGTGAACCACTGTGCCCGGCCTTGATTTGCCTTTGAACTCTCTCTTTGGCATCTCTTTGGGATAGATTCCAAAATCTTTGGTGTGGGACCTGAGGCCCTTCACAGGCAGACACTAAGCCCCCTTCAGGGTGCCAGTTCAGCCCTGCTGTGTCCTGGGCCTTGCCCTGTGGTGTGCCCATTGTTGCTGGCCTCTGTCACTTCCATACACTTTATCTTGCTTGGTATACACCATTCTGTTCTTGTCCATCTGGGGAATCCGTTGGTCCTTCAAGTTCTGGCTCACAGGTTGGCCCCTCTGAAGCCTCTTGGCATCGCCTGGAATTCTGTGAGTACTTGCTGCACTTGGCCGCTGTGGCCGGGTGTGCTGCTGCTACGGGCTTACATGCCTGTCCCCACTGGCCTTCACTTTCTGTGCAGGCCAGGGACTGGAGCTGTTTAAATCCCAGCTCCAAGCACAGGCTGCGCCTATGGCAGATGCTCAGTAAACGCTGAGCTGAAGTGAATCTGTGTATTTCAGTAAGAGAAAAAAAAAAGAGCTGAGGATGCAGCC
Source organism: Homo sapiens (assembly GCF_000001405.40). NCBI lineage: Eukaryota > Metazoa > Chordata > Mammalia > Primates > Hominidae > Homo > Homo sapiens. The sequence goes on along the minus strand of NC_000017.11, from coordinate 78,733,438 downwards.
GGTGACCGGAATGTGAATTGGGCTCTATTGGTAGTGTACCCGAGGTAGATTATTTGTACTCATTGAGTCTTTATCTTACCTGTAAACTGATGAGAACAGTGTATAGTTCATTGTCAGGAAATATGCAGAGTTACAGTTGAGCTTTGTTGGAAAATTTAAAAAAGTGGAAATGAGAAAACATTTTAAGCTGTAAGATAGCATGTGTGTATAAACTAGTATTATTTGTAGGAAAATATGCCAAATAGAATGAAGTATAGGCTTCCTCAGTGGGACACTGGATTTTCAGATTGCTTCTAAAATGCTGTCCTTGACGTGAACTTTCCATGTTATCCTTTTTTTTTTTTTTTTTTTTTTTTTTTTTTGAGATGGAGTCTCACTCTGTTGCCAGGCTGGGCGTGATCTTGGCTCACTGCAACTTCTGCCTCCCGGGTTCAAGTGATTCTCCTGCCTCAGGCTCCCGAGTAGCTGGGACTACAGGAACGTACCACCACGCCCGGCTAATTTTTGTATTTTTAGTAGAGACAGGGTTTCACCATGTTGGCCAGGATGGCCTCTATCTCTTGACCTCGTGATCTACCTGTCTTGGCCTCCCACAGTGCTGGGATTACAGGCGGGAGCCACCGCGCCCGGTGGTTATCCCATGTTTTAATGCGTGCCATGTGATTGTGGTAGTCTCTAGTTGGACAAGTTGCTCAGGTTGTGGTGTTTGCAGGAAGACCTGAGGTGCTGTAACTATCAATTCATATCCCCCTAGATATTTCTCACTCCCTTCCTTATGGATTTTGTATTTTGCAGAATCAGAAATGGTTACATCTTTATTTTTAAGCAGGAGCATGTTTGGCATTGTACAAAGCACACATCATAGCAAGAAACCTGTATCACCATCTGCTGTGACAAGTTTTGAAGAGGATTCACTCTGGTTTGAATTTTATAGGCTTTCCTGTTGAGTACACCAGAGATGAATGCTCACGGTATTACACAGAGGATTAGAACTGCCCTTTCTTCTTAATGAAGGTGAATAGAAACAAGGGCTTGGATTCTGCCCCTCTGAAGAAAGCTGACCCTTATCCATTATCTGAGTCTTTGTGTAGCCTCCCAAGTTTTCTCTTCATTATGGAATATGAAAGCACAGGACTGGCTGTGGGGGATCAAGACCCAAAGTCTGATTAGACAGGAGGGATGTGGAAGGCAACAGGTGGAATTTTCTAAGATGTCAGTATCGGTGGAGAGAAAAGGCAGGTATCTTAGGTCTTGGTAGGCACAGGTCTGGGCATTAAGAGCCTTTATCAGCCTGCAGCGTGGTCAGCCGAAGGGAGGACAAAGTCAGGGACTGTAGATGCAGATAGGAGGTAGAGTTGGAGCAGGAGTGGCCCTAGGAAACAGCAGAGATTCCCGTTTTCATCCACCCCTCCCTGTGCTTCAGGAGGGTTCGCAGGAACCTGTGTGTGGCTGCAGGCTGACAGAACCTGCATGCAGTTTACTGCTGGTTAAATCAGAGATGCTGGGCTAGACCTCCTGGAAATTTTTAGTAGTATCCATCTCTCATTTTTCCCTTGGATTTTGATAATCCTGCAAAGGCAACTTTACTGGATTTATAGTGTTCTTGTCTCTGCCTTTCTTTCTGTTTTCAGCCTAGCTGAGATTTCCTTTTTATTTGTTTTTTTTTGTTTTTTTTTTTTTTTTGAGACGGAGTCTCGCTGTCGCCCAGGCTGGAGTGCAGTGGCACTATCTCAGCTCACTGCAAGCTTCGCCTCCCGGGTTCACGCCATTCTCCTGCCTCAGCCTCCCAAGTAGCTGGGACTACAGGCGCCCGCCACCACTCCCGGCTATTTTTTGTATTTTTAGTAGAGACGGGGTTTCACCGTGTTAGCTAGGATGGTCTCGATCTCCTGACCTCGTGATCTGCCCACCTCGGCCTCCCAAAGTGCTGGGATTACAGGCGTGAACCACCGCGCCCGACGAGATTTCCTTTTTAGAAAAGGACTCTTAAAACTGCCACCATCTTCTCCTGTTTACCTTCAGAAGAACTTTAACTTGTGGGGAATTCATATGGGTTTTGTGTTACGGCTGGAGCCATTAAGTAATTACCTGGGACAGAGTCACTAACAGTAGTGTAATCACAGACTCTTAAAGCCATGAGGTGCCTTAGAAGTTATCTAGTCTAGCCCTGGTCAGTTCTGCAAATGAAAGCCATTGCTGTGGCTCCTGGGAAGGACTCTGAAAACTGAGTCCAAATCAGCCAGGATTTTAAGTTTCAACAGCCACTGTTGAGTTATGCTGATCTCCTGCCTTCATATATTCCAAGTTACCTTTTTGTTTTTCTCCTGACTATGTGATGCGTTGATTCTGTAGCCCTAGGTAATACACTAGGGGAAAAATGGAGACAGAAAAGTCAAATTCTGCTTTCCTGTAGATCAGCTGGTGTGTGAGGACTTTCCCTAGCACATTCACTTCTTCCTTAAGAAGATAATTTCGTGCCGAGCGCGGTGGCTCACACCTGTAATCCCAGCACTTTGGGAGGCCGAGGCAGGCAGATCACAAGGTCAGGAGATCGAGACCTTCCTGGCTAACACGGTGAAACCCCATCTCTACTAAAAATACAAAAAATTAGCCGGGCGTGGTGGCGGGCGCCTGTAGTCCCAGCCACTCGGGTGGCTGAGGCAGGAGAACGGCGTGAACCCAGGAGGCGGAGCTTGCAGTGAGCTGAGATTGCACCACTGCACTCCAGCCTGGGCGACAGAGCGAGACTCCATCTCAAAAACAAAAAAATAATAATAATAATTTCGTAACTTGTATCATGTTCTTCCTTCCTCTACAGAGGAATCATGGAAGCTCAATTTCTGACCTAAAAAAAGATGCAGTGAATTTCTTTTTTTGAGTCAGTGACTGTTGTTTTTTTTTTGAGACGGAGTCTCGCTGTCGCCCAGGCTGGAGTGCAGTGGCGTGATCTCGGCTCACTGCAAGCTCTGCCTCCCGAGTTCACACCATTCTCCTGCCTCAGCTTCCAGAATAGCTGGGACTACAGGCACCCGCCACCATGCCCGGCTAATTTTTTTTTTTTTTTTTTTTGTATTTTTAGTAGAGATGGGGTTTCACCGTGTTAGCCAGGATGGTGTTGATCTCCTGACCTCGTGATCCGCCCATCTCAGCCTCCCAAAGTGCTGGGATTAAAGGCGTGAGACACCGCGCCCGGCCTAGTCAGTGACTATTGACGCCTTTCCTTCTGGTGTCTAAAGTCTCTTTCCCTTTGTGTTTTCTGTGAAGAATTGGGATTCTGAGTCACAGAATTCAGACGAGAGACCACATACGAAATCACAGCAGAATGGGTGTAGTTACAACAGGCACTTCATGGGCATTAAAACAGAATCCAAGGATGTTTCTTCTATAATAGAAATATTGGGCCAGTCTGAGCAAATATAAGTGGCTGGGGGCATTTCTGTATTTTCTTTGAATAAAAACTTCAACATCAAATTTTGTGTTAGTTGTGGATCCAGATATACAGATAGGCAGAAGAGGAAGAGTCCAGGCCTCCCCCACTCTCTTTCCACAGTCCTTGCTTTGAAAGGTGATTCCTGCTAGCAGTTTCAAGTGTGTCCTTCTCAGAAGCTCCCTGTGTGTTTAGCAAGCGTAGGTGTTACTTGTGAGAAGGTATTCTGTGCCATCCTGTTTCACCAGATGTGTCTTAGAGATCTTTTCATGTTAGCATTTACAAATCACCTCATTCTTTTAAATTACCAAGTAGTTTTTAGGTAGTTTAAAATTTTTGGAATTTGGGGAGCATATCCACTCTTAAGTGGAATTTAAGAATCAAATTCATAAGTTTGATTCAAATCAAATCAAAAGGTGTGTGCTCTTTATGTTTTGCTAGTGCCAAAAGGTTGTACCAGTTTACACTCTCCCAGCAGCACGGGAGACTGCCTGTGTAGCCCACTCCCCTGACAGTATTTCGTCTCATCTGGCATTCTGATTCCTGCCAGACTAATGGAAAATGGTATGTTATTCATGTTTTAATTTGCATTAAACACATAGTGACTGTGAGCATCTTCTTCTGTGTGACCATTTGTATTTCTCTTTTTGTAATCTGTCTTTTATATCCTTTGCTCATTGTATTCATCTTTGCTTTACTAATTTTTATGCTGCTTTCTTTGTGACTTAAATAAATTAACCCTAGCCAGGTGTGGCACATACTTATAGTCCCAGCTATTCTGGAGGCTGAGGTGGGAGTATCGCTTGAGGCCAGGAGTTTGAGGCTGCAGTGAGCTATGATCACACCACTGCACTCCAGCCTGGGTACAGAGTGAGACCCTCTCTCTAAAAATAATAAGTTAATTAATTTAAAAAAAGATATTAACCCTTTGTCATATGTTTTGTGAATTTATTGTCCTAGTTGTTTACCTTTTAGCTTATGGGATATTATTTTTCACTCAGAAGCTTTTCATTTTCATGTCGCAAATGAGCAGACTCACCAATATTATGACTATACTAATTCATGCTCTATTCTAGAATTATTCAGGTTTTATTTTACATTAACATCTTTGATTAAGCTAGAATTCATTTCAGCTTAGTTTTATCCCAAATGGCTAGCTGGCTATTTATTTGCTCAGCACCCTTGACTGAATAATCCTATTTTTCTTTACCGATTCAAAGTGCTACGTGTGTGTTTCAGTATTTCTTGAGTTTGTTTTCTGGTCTTTTTCTTCCGTTGCAGTTTCAATTACCAAAGCCTCACGTGCTTTAATCTCAGGTAGCTACACCCTCACGTTACCCTTTCTCCCTTTCATATTTTTCTGACTATTGTCATATATATTTTTTCCCATGTGAAGTTTAATATCCTTTTTATTATATTTCTGTAAACATCATGTTGGTAATGTAAATAATTTTTTTTTTTTTGAGATGGAGTTTCGCTCTCATTACCCAGGCTGGAGTGCAATGGCGTGGTCTTGGCTCACTGCAACCTCTGCCTCCCTGGTTCAAGTGATTCTCTTGTAATACCAGCCTCCCAAGTAGCAGGGATTACAGGCATGTGCCACCACACCTGGCTAATTTTGTATTTTTAGTAGAGATGGGGTTTCACCATGTTGGTCAGGCTGGTCTCAAACTCCTGACCTCAAGTGATCCACCCACCTCGGCCCCCAAAAGTGCTGGAATTACAGGAGTGAGCCACTGCACCCGGCGTAAATAATGTTTTTAAACATCGTGGTGTATGTACGAGAACTTTGATTACTGGGGTCTTTCTACCTTTGCTCAGGTCCCCTTTGTTTTCCATGTTTCTTTTTCCTGTCTAGATGAGAGGCTGGCCCTGCTGCAGGAACCAGCCTGGCTTGGGGAGGATTTACCAGTGTTTGGGGTAGAATAGAGTTTGTCCAGAGAAACTGACTATATCGTGCCACCTAGAGGTGGGCATCCATTTGTCGTGGAGGGAGGCCATAGGACACCTGCATGATATCAGGGACTCACTGCCCTCTCATGGGTCAGCACCTCTTCAGCTAGTTCTGGAGTGGGTGTGCTGCCCTGGATCTCAAAGGTGCAGAGCTTGGCCTGCCTTCTGCTCCTCCTCACTGCTCTCCTTGGCTGCCCCTGCCATAGGTCTCGTCTTTCTTCCTCCTACAGTTCTGCCCCCTGCATGGGCAGGAGATAGGGGACGGTCCAAGAGCAGCCTCATGAGAGCAGCCAAGACAGAGAAGAAGAAGCCTGCCCTCCTAACACACTGAGTTGGCACCAGAAGGATGCACTCGCCAGGAGGCTTGGGTCGGCCGTGCCTGCTCCAGCCTTGCCCTGCTGGTAGGTGGAGGCAGGGGGCCAGTATCCTGGACCTTCCCGCGACTTGGAAGGCTGGTGCCCTAGTCAGCTCCTTCTTACACCTCTCCCAAACTTTTGCAAACCCGGACTCGGGGCAACTCTGGTAAGGGTGATGTCTGGAACAGGGAGCCAGTTTGTTTCTATTTTGAGGTGCAGGTAGAAATGACCTTCCTTTCAAGAGATCTTCAAGGACTTCTCAGAGCAGGAACAGATGCCAGTTTTTGCTTCTTTGAAGAAGATTTTATGCTCCTAGCATTTACTAAAGAATAATGAGGCATTTTTAAGTGTAAGGAGTGGAATAGAATTTAAAGAAAAAAGTAAAAAAAACCCCAGGCCTCTGTTTTCATGGGACACAGAAGGAGGGGAGATTGAGAATGCTGACTCGCCTAAAAGCTTTATGCTTATCATGTCTGTGGTGCTTGGAGCCTGTGGCCCAGGTGATTTGGGGTTTGGGGACGCCTCATGGGCAGAGAGGACCTTTGAGCAGCATTGTGAATTCGTGGGTTTGGGATGCTGATGAAACTGCGAGATTTGAATGTATTCCTTGTGCCTCATTTTCCGCTTTAGAAATAAAATGATTGATGCACATTGCCCTTGCACGCTTGTCAGAGGGTCACTTTCTGGTTGCACCTGTCCTTGAGCCTGAGAGAGAGAACTGGAAAGAGGATGGGAAGTCAGTAGTGGTTTGGGGAATTAGTGCTGGATAAGGATGGTAGTTGAAGGTGTGAGTTGGAGTAGGGCAAAAAACCACTTATTTCTTTGCTACCGCTTCTGAACAGGAGTGCAGACCGCGGTGCAGTGAAGACTACGCAAAGCTTCCAGTCCCTTTTCTTTCTCATGGCGCCTGGCTGCCGCTTCTTGCTCTTCCAGAAGAGCTTCTTTATCTCTCGCCCAACTCAACAGCAGAATAGAATCCACCTGTCTCGGTGTCAAATTCAAAGGCACCACAGTCTGCCTGGAGCTTGCTCTTCCAGACTCTGTCCCTTGTGTTGCCCTTTCCACCTCTGCCTGGACTGCCCTCTCCCAGGCTCTCGCGTGGAACCGTCTTGGACTAACCTGGGCCCTGCTCTTCTCTGAGCCCCACTCCGCATAGCACCTTGCAGACAGCATTTATTTGGCATTTACGGGCTGCCTGTTTCTTTTTTCTTTAAAAGGAATAGTAACACATGAGCTCTTGGAGGGCCGAAACCATGTCTTTTCAGCATTGTGTCTTCCACAGTAACTGACAGGGGGCCTCTTCCACAGTAACTGACAGGGGGCCTCGTTTCCATGCAGTGAACTTTTTAAAAGATTGTTGAGGCCGGGCGCGGTGGCTCACGCCTGTAATCCTAGCACTTTGGGAGGCTGAGGCGGGCAGATCACAAGGTCAGGAGATCGAGACCATCCTGGCTAATGGTGAAAACCTGTCTCTACTAAAAATACAAAAAAATTAGCCAGGCGTGGTAGCGGGTGCCTGTAGTCCCAGCTGCTAGGGTGGCTGAGGCAGGAGAATGGCGTGAACCTGGGAGACAGAGCTTGCAGTGAGCCGAGATCGCGCCACTGCACTCCAGCCTGGGTGACAGAGCAAGACACCGTCTCAAAAAAAAAAAAAAAAAAAGACTGTTGAATTATGAGTCTGAGAAATTATTTTTTAAAACGTTCATGTTTTCTGTTGGTCCTGAGATTCCTATTCTGTGGCCAGTCGTTTCCTGTGATTCTCTCTGATGGATGTGGTTTCATAAGCTTGATTGTGTGGTATATATTGTGGCATCTGTTTTGTTCAGATATGAGGAGGGCCACACTGTAGACTTCTTGGTTGCAGCTTTTCTTGTAACTTCTTTGTCCACTGACATCCTTTTCTCATGTTGTCTGTGCCTAGAATTAACTGAAAGTGCAGGTTTTTGCCACCTGCAGTCTCTGGCCTGGGTCAAGCTAAAGCCTTTGCCTAGGTTCACACACCACAGGTAAACCCCGGCTGTGATCCACTCTGTCGGCGTAGTGGAAGCTGGCCATGTTAAAGAGAGAGTCATAGTGAGCCTTGCACATGATGACTGAGTCTTCTGTAGAGAGTCACGGGTCAGAACTCACCTGCTGGGCTCTTTCAATCCCTGAAGAGAGTGTGTATGTGTATATGTGTATTTGTGTAAAAACCAGTGATGTCACCTCAAAATAAGACAGCCCTTAGGACTATGAAAAGTGCTATGAGAATATTTACAGTACAAGATATTACTGAAAAGCAAGAGCTTAATCTCACATGAAATCCCTGGGAAACATGGTGGTAGATAACCAGCGTGGATAGTCCAGGCTGTCTTCACTGAGTTTGTTTGTATCACGTAATTTATCACCTGGTTATTTACCAAGTGATAAAGAAGGTCATCAGGTGATGGTTAATATGGGTAAACTGAGCAGGGAGCATGGCTGGAGGAATCTGAGTTCTCCCTGTAGGAGGTAAGACTCGACGGATGGCGGATGGTGAGGATGAGCTTCTGAACAAGAAGAAAGAAGCAAAGAGATGTAACTGAGTACTCTGGTGGATCCCGGGAAAGTGGAATCTTCCTTGGACTGGGAGGAGAGGTGGGATGGCTTACTAGACAGTGAGAAGGAGGAAGACAGGGGCCCAGGGACGTGTTGCACTGGGACTCTCAATATACATTTTGTAGAATGTAGAATTTTAGAATTTGTTTTTCATGGACTTAGTATGATTCTTTTAAATAAGTACTACTCTCTTGACACTAAAAGAAAATTGTTCACACTATGGCTGTTTCTTGAAAGACAAGATACAACGCAGAGCCAGGGTATTTGGGTCAGGCCTGGTGGCACTGCCTGGTGATGAGGACGTCTGTTTGCATTCCCCAGCCAGCCCAACCCCCATGGCATGGCAGTGGAGGCAGGGCTTGCAGAGGGGCGGGTGCCTTCCATGACTGATTTCCTAACGGCAGGAGACTGGAAAGGAGGGAGGGTATGGGAGTGTTTTTAGGATTTCCACCCCCTCTTCCATTGTTTATCTAGAGCAATGGTTCTTAACCAGGACAGTTTTGTCCCGCAGGGGACATTCAGCAATGCCTGGAGACATTTTTGGTTGTCAAACCTGGTTGTGGGGAATTGGGATGGGGATGCTGCTGGCACCTAGTGGGTAGAGGCCAGGGACGCAGCTAAGCACCCTGCAAGGCACAGGGAAGCCCCCACCACAAAGAGTGACCTGCTCCCTGTGCCAGTAATGCCCAGACTGAAGAACCCTGCTCTAGCACGGTGATTTCCCTTTTACTTTCTCTCCTTGGTTATTTTAGAATTGTTTAAAAAATATCTCCTCCCTTCTTAGTCAAAAGCTGTGTGTGGTCTGCAGTAACCCTGTATTCTGTGTCACTTAGGGGCCTGGGTCTCTGGAGTTCATGCTTTTGGGACTGGGGTCCCAAATCTGCGTGTTTAACAGGCGCCCTTGGTGATTCTCGTGCCCTCTGAGGTTTGAGAGCTGCTATCCTCAGGCTGTAGCCATATTTCTTGTCACCAGCCATCTTGTATTATCATCCCCAAGGTTCGCTTGCCTAACATTCCAACCTGATAATAGGCAGGTGTCCTCAAAGGCGATGCCACAGCCTCTGGTGAAGAAATAACCATTGGTGGCTGCGAGTGTACTGAGTAGGAGGCGAGTCCTTCTTGGTGAAAAGGCTGGAGTGTCCCTCGTGGAAGTGGAGGGCATGGGATCCCTGGAGGAAGGGAGCAAAGGATACTCCTCCTGAAGCCCCTCCAGGACGGTGTTGGAGCAGTCTGGTCAGTGCCACTTTGCCTGCTGACCTGATGCGGGGCAGTGGAAAGGACTAGGCTTGTGCCTTTGGGGTGACAGAACATCCACCCCCTAGATCCAGTCTCTTGTTTATCCATGCAGAAAGGAGAGGGCATCTGGAGTAAGGTTGGCATTCTTGCAGTGAAAGCAGGCATTAGGCTTTTGCTTCTGAGGGAGAGAGGAAAGCAAGTGCAGCCTGTGCGCAAATGCTGGTGGTGCCTCCCCTCCCCCCCGGGAGGCCGGGAATGGGGGATAGTAGGAGGGGCTGGCTGTGACTGCATTCATGGAAATGAGCCTGGAGGAGCGGAGCAGCACACACTCGGAGCGTCTGCTAGGGCTGCAGCTCTGCGCGTCCATCTCTGCGCTCTGCGCCAGCCTTCCCCACCGGGCCCAGCGAGTTTCCACCTGCAGGGCCGGTGCTCTCAGCTTTTGTTTTCTCTGGACACCTTCTTCTCTACCCCTGCTGTGCTGGCGCACACATGCTGTCCTTGCTCCGGCTCTCCCTGCACCTACAGCTGTGGGAGCTCCCGGCAGCCTGGTACTGTGGGGTCGCTGCACGGAGCCACCATGGCCTCTGACGTGGAGAGCTGTGACCTGCCGAGGCTTTGATGTTGCTGCCCAGGGCTGGCCAGGACACTGGGGCCGCAGGAGAGGGGACTCACCGTGGGTAAGAGGCTGGTGGATGGCGTGTGGAGCCCTGTCAGCAGATTTCCCATTATGCGTTGCTGCCTGCCTGCCTCTCCCACCCAGCAGCCAGCAGTAGGAGCTGATGTGTGCGTGGCTGTCTCTCTGCATGTCTGTCCTTTGGGTCTGCATTCTATGCTCTCCTCTGAAGGTTTTTCCACTACACTTTTGGATAGGTATCCAGGCATTCAGTGTCGTTTCTTCTAAGCCTGAGACTTAGGAACATGCCAGTAGTCAATTTCCTTGGTCCAGCTTCCGTGAGGTTTGAAATAGGGGGGCAGAAAACAGCGGGACAGATTCAGGGTGATCTCCCCTCTAGGCCTGCCACCCGTGGAGTTTCTGTTTTACTCGGTAAGGACTTGGGAACCTTTCCTGGGCACGAGTAGTCCTCTTTCCATCAATACACATAGAAAAGGAGTTGGAATTGTACGTCGCGTTTAATGCTAGGGGTCCTTTCCAGCTGTCAGACTGAGGGAGAATATTTCAATGTACAGAAAAATTCAGAGCATTACAAAGGGCTAGCAAACAAACAGATCTGAGCCACTGAGGGTAAAGTGAGAGAGAATTGACTTCCAAGCCACCAAGCCTCTCTTTTGGACACGGAAGGGGTGTCGTGGCCCAGCTGTGCAAGCTGACAGTGGTTGCAGCTGGCAGGCACGGGGAGTGGCAGCTTCACCCAGGGGACAGGAGCCTGCCCCCTTGGGAGGAGGGGCGAGCAAGCTGTTTTGGCTTGTTTGGAGGAAGAGGGAACTCCAGGCTTTCCCTGGGAGTGAAGGAGCAGGCCACTTGGCTCAAGGAGGCTAGGGCTAGAAAATGGTTCTTCCCTGTGGAGCTCTGCGCCCAGTCCCTGGGATCCTTTCGAAACAGCAGTGGAGTGCTAGAAAGAAGCTGCTGGGAAACCCCAGCTATGTCAGCTATATCAGGTGTTGTCACTGTGAGCTTTTAGAAAAAGTTAAGGTTCTTAAAATGGTTGTTTTCTAGTTTTTAGCTTTTATTGAAAGCGGATGTTAACTTTATTTTTCTAAACCAAATTCGCAGGATAAAATTTTGTCACTTAGGTTCTGTTACTACCTTGAAATGCAAGCTAAGTCTTTGAGTTCTAGGATTTATTAAATTAAATTTTTTGATACCTTACTTTTTTGTTTTGTGAGATGGAGTTTTGCTCTTGTTGCCCAGGCTGGAGTGCAATGGCGCGATCTCGGCTCGCTGCACCCTCCGCCTCCCAGGTTCAAGCGATTCTCCTGCCTCAGCCTCCCAAGTAGCTGGGATTACAGATACCTGCTATCATGCCTGGCTAATTTTGTATATTTTTGGTAGAGATGGGGTTTTTCACCGTGTTGGTCAGGCTGGTCTCGAACTCCTTACCTCAAGTGATCCACGAGCCTCGGCCTTCCAAAGTGCTGGGATTACAGGCGTGAGCCACTGCGCCCAGCCAATACCTTCCTTTTATAAGATAGTTGAGAAGGGCTGGGTGACATCCTCATTACATAAGTGAGGAAACTGAGGCTGGAAGAGGTGATTGTTTGCTCCAGGTCACAAAGTAGTGAGTGAAAGCCCAGGCAGCATCGCCTGTGAACGTGAGGAGCTGTCAGATGAGACGGCTCCAACACTGAGAAGAGGACCGAAGTCTTCCCTGAAAATGCAGAATGCAGTAATAAAAGCCTTTAATAGATTTACTGTTAGTGGGGAAACTGGGTAGTTTTTGCATGGAAGAAATTTAAATTAGAATAGTCTAAATATTCATATTGGCAATTTGCCGGAAGGCACCTCTGCCTCTATGTTGAATACCATTTCTGCTAGCTGCCTGCTAATTTAACTCTTTTTGGTCCTGGGTAGTGTGTGTAAATTTTTTTATTTTTATTTTTTGAGACGGAGTCTTGCTCTGTCGCCCGAGCTGGAGTGCAATGGCCCGATCTCGGCTCACTGCAACCTCTGTCTCCCAAATTCAAGCGATTTTCTTGCCCCAGCCTCCCAAGTAGCTGGGACTACAGCTGCATGCCACCACGCCTGGCTAATTTTTGTATTTTTAGTAGAGACAGGGTTTCACCACGTTGGCCAGGCTGGTCTTGAACACCTGACCTCAGGTGATCCACCTGCCTCGGCCCCCCAAAGTGCTGGGATTACAAGGCGTGAGCCACCACACCCAGTTGTAAATTCTTTTAACAAATCTCTTAGGCTGCAAATTGGTGGTGAGATACTTATTTTAAAATGCACTACGCAAAAGTCAAATCATAGTTTCTTGGGAAAGGAACTAAGGTAAGCAGACAGAGAAGTTAGAATATGCTGTGAAATTTTTGTTTATTTTATATTTTTATTTTTTTGAGAGAGGGTCTTTCTCTGTCGCCCAGGCTGGATGCAGTGGTGCAACCTGGGCTCACTGCAACCTCCACATTCCAGGGCTTACGCGGTCCTCGCACCTCAGCCTCCTAAGTAGCTGGGACTACAAGTGCGTGCCACCACATGTGGCTAACTTTTGTATTTTTTGTAGAGATGAGGTTTTGCCATGTCACCCAGGCTGGTCTCAAACTCCTGAGCTCAAGCCATCTCCCTCCCTCAGCCTCTCAAAGTGCTGGGGATGGCTGGGTGCGATGGCTCACGCCTGTAATTCCAGCACTTTGGGAGGCTGAAGCAGGCTGATCACCTGAGGTCAGGAGTTTGAGACCAGCCTGGCCAACATGGTGAAACCCCGTCTCTACTAAAAATACAAAAATTAGCTGGGCGTGGTGGCAGGCACCTGTAGTCCTATCTATTGGGGAGGCTGAGGCAGGAGAATTGCATGAACCCAGGAGGCAGAGGTTGCAGTGAGCTGAGGTTGCGGCAGTGCACTCCAGCCTGGGTGACAGAGCAAGACTCCATCTCAAAAACAAACAAATAAAAAAACAAATCAAAGTGCCGGGGGTATTATAGGCATGAGCCACCATGCCAGGCCTTTATTTTTAATGGTGGTAAAATACATATAACAAAAAATGTACCATCTTCAGCCTGTTAAGTTCAGTAGTACATTCATACGTTCATATTATTGTGCAATCCAGTCTCTAGAACTTTTTCATCTTGCAAAACTGAAACCCGCCATTAAACCTTCATTCTCCCACTCCCCCTCTCCCCAGCCCCTGGCAACATCCATCCCACTGTCTGTCTCTATGGTAGTTTGACTACTCCAGGGGCCTCTTATCAGTGGAATCCTTCAGTATTTGCCCTTTTGCAACTGGCTTAATGTCCTCCAGGTTCATCCGTGTTGTAGCATACATCAGAATTTCCTTCCTTTTTAAGGTACTAAGTTTGAAAAGTATTACTGTGTTTCTGACTCAGTGAGTGGGAAACTTAATTGGTTTCCCAAAGTAGATAGACTGTGTGAAGGTGTGAACTCTTCAGTGTATTATTGGCAGAAAGTGTCACCTGGGCCTCCTGCTCTAGTCACACCCCTTTGCTACATCCATCTTTCTTCATCCTCTGATCCTAACATTTATCCTGAGGACTGTCTCAAAATTTCAGGCTTCCAGTAAAATCCTGGTATCATTACAACTGTTTGCTTTACATCTCTCTTCCGTTACATTTTACCTGAAAGATACACTGGATTTTGGTTGCATTCTTATCCCTGCCTTAAAGATCTGACCCCACATATTTGTAATGTCAGCATGGAGTTTTGTGAAAGTTGAAAATTACTTTTCTCAGTGAGGGGAAAAAAGTTCCCCTAAACCAAGCCATTCTCCACTTGCAGTAATGATCTGTAAGAACTTTATCTTTGACTCCTCGACTGTTTTTTTTTCTTGTTTGCTGCCTTACCTGCAGTTGTTAGCCATGCCTCACAGCACTGCCTTCTTATCCTATAGTTTTTAACTTACCAGATTTTGTATTATTGTGGGTCATTTGTATGTTCCCCAAGTGATATAAAAGCTGTAGTCATTTTAAACAGTACTCTGCTCAGGAAGCAACCTCTTAGCTTACTGTTTGCTTTGAGGCACAGATAGCCGAAGTAACTTGCCCAGGGTCATCCAGCTGGTGAGTGTGGCCCCAAGCTAGGCTTAGGACCCAAGACCACTCCCTGTAGAGTGGCAGTCCCCGGATCCGTCCCAGAAGTTGGGTGAGGCACCCATGCTGTGGATTCATACAGCCTTGTGCATGATCCCTCGTTAACATGCACACCTGAAGTCATCACCTTCTCAGTGGATGCTTCCAGGGACTGCTGCTCCTGCCGGAAGGAACCAGATCTGTCTCTTCAGTGTTGTACCCCCGCTGCCTTCCACCTAGTAGGCAAGCAGTAAATGCAGGCTGAATGCGTCAATGATGACATTGTTAGAAAGAAGCAAAAGAGGAAGATGAATTGGGTATGCAGATAAAGGAAAGACATTTGGCATTTGTTGGGCACCTATTTGTGCTCACAGCTTTATCTTTTCCATCACGCATTCCTCACAACAGTGCTAATAACTGCAGTGCCATTTTACAGCTGGACAAAACTGAGGCCCAGAGAGATTAGCAGTTTGTTGAACATTGGTATGTCTCCAAAGCCTGAGTTGTTTCCAGTATTTTGAAGTTTTTCAAATTATAAGTCACTGGGATTTTCTGGGAGACAAAGTGACTTACACCCATAGGGTAGTGCAGAGGGAGGTGAACACGCTGGTTTGTTTAAGGTCTGACTAGTAGGATTGACACAGGTATGTGGCGAGTAAGTGCTGAATACTGGAACCAGTGCTCAGGATATTTGGAGTTTCTTAGCCCTCACGCCATGATCACTGTATCTTTGGAGGTTGGAGGAACAAGATGGTTTCCCAGATGCGCGCTTTTGAGCCCAAAGCCTGGTTTGTAAATAGCCAGTTGTTCTCCTCTGAGCAGGTGGTAGTTTCTGTAGAGGCTGTAGAAAAGCTGGGTGCTTTATTTCATTACTGCCACTGCTGTTTTAGGCAGAGCTTAAGGTTAAGAGAGAAGGAGCGTGTGTGTGTGTGTGTGTGTGTGTGTGTGTGTGTGTGTGTGTGTGTGTGTATTCAGTGTTTATGAAACTTCCAGGTCTGTAAAGGGGTGTGGCCGTGATTAGCAGGAGGGCACCCGTTGGCAGCAGGCCAGCTGGAGGGGATGAAAAGGAAATGGCAATGACCTCCTTGGCCTGGGAGCAACTCTGACTAAGGTAGTTACCTTTTGTATATTTACCTTCTCCGCAAATGAGGGCTCACTCCTTAATTACTTTATAAAATGTTTCCCCGCATTGTTGGTTTAAATATGGACCTTTTTATCCATTGAAAGGCAGAGGCTGTAAGAAGGATGCTGGTTAATCATTATAGTGGAAAAAAATAAGGCAAGTGATGTATTTGAAAGCTAGGCAGAGGGGTCTGGTGCCAGCTGGATGACCTCAAAGAGACATCCTGGTCCTAAAGCATGCCTTGGACACGTTCATTTGACGGTACCCACGGGGATTTAGGACAGTGTGGTCCTGGCAGCTGCTATGTGTCTGCCAAGCAGAACCTGCTGTCAGAGAGCTGCGTTTTCCGTGGAACTTTATGGCATATCCCCGGGCATCTGCCTGTGGCCGGTGGAGCGCGGGTTGCAGGATTTTAGACTAGAGCCCGCCGTGTGCTCATGTATCGTCCTCTGGCTTGGAAAGAGGGCTCTGTCCCTTTAAGACAGTCCTCCTTTGTATGCCACTGGCTGGAACCCATTTCAGCTCTGGGTTTCTGCCGACTGTTAAAATCTGCAAAGCAACATTTAAATAAATAAATAAATGAAAGCTTCCCTTGTGTGGCTTTCCTATTCACAGCCAAGCACAATAGCGCCTTGTTGTTTTTGTCACTTTAATCCTCTTCATTAAATTGGAACCCTGGAAAGGAATGGTGATGGGGCTGATGCTGGACCGTCCCCCTGACTGCCAGCCGGACACCTTGCAGATTAACCTTTGTGGGCATGGATTCCGGGTGCCCCTCTGGCAATGGGCGAGGAGGGCGAGCGACCGGGTGGTGTGTCAGGGCGGCTCCCCCTCTGGTTTGTCTCCATTGTGCTCAGGCTGCCGGCAGGGACAACCTGCTGCCCTCCCCAGTGGCCATTCTTTTAAAGAGCAAGGGGTTCAGCCGCCTCCCTGGCACACCGCCTCCCTGGCACATAAGCATGGCTGCAGCACGTGGCAGTGGGGGAGGGAGGAGCTGTTTGTTGTGCTGCCATCTGGCCCATCTGAGCCGTTCTTTTGCAGTTTAACCCTAATGGCTACACAGGAGAGAAGCGGCATGAATAGACGGGTTTCCCAGGGTGCGGACGGTGCTTTCCCAGAAACTCCCGGGCTGTGAGGTAGACATGGGTATTTCTGACCACCACCTTTCTTGTTCCAGCTGTGGCCTTCGCAGTGTCCTGAAGACACTAGCCAAGACTGTAGGAATCAATCACACCTCAGCTCTCCAGCAATAGTGTTGATTCTTCATGCTGCTAAATGAAATTAAGCATTTTGTTTTTGGATGTTTTTTCTGTCCGGGGCAGCATGAGAATGAAGGCTTGAATTAAAGATTTGATGTTGCATTGTTAAGTTTATGCAGAGGAAAATACTTATTAAAATATTAGATTTTGCCTCATCTCAGAATAAAATTCCACTAGAAAAATGAGGTGTAGTTCAGCTTTTTAAAATAAAGTTCTTGAATGATTGGTTGAGCCAGAAGGGGAGCAGCATTATGATTTAAAGTTAGTAAGTATGGAATGGAGAAGTAATTTAGCAGTCATGTGGCAAATGTCAGGAGATTGGATCAAAATAAATGTAGATAAATGTCTTATTTATTCTAGCTACAAATTGGCCAGAAGCGTTTTCTGTCTGACTCCAAGGACACAGAAGGGCTATCTTTTCTAGTGACCATAGTTGTACATTTTTAGTCTTTTGTTTTCAAATTGTCATAGTACATATATATATGTATTTTAAAGCAAGTATTCAGGGGCTTATATGTCCTGTCTCTCTATTCCCAGACCCACTCCCCAAAGCAGCCACTATTAATTCACTTTTTTCTGCTTTTAGGTCTTCTAGTGGGTGCTGCCAAGTTCTTAAATTGGTGATTATTTTGTCAAGATCAAAGGTTATCTCCTGCCTTCTGCCTATGATGGATGAGGATGCAGCTCACACCATTCTCTTCCTTCCTTCTCTCACTGTCCATTTTTGGTAGTTGATCACAATTTTCAGTTCCTGGATTTTTACCTTTGGCATATTTACAGCGTGGGTTTCTTGTTCATGATCCTTATCCATGCCTCTGGTCTCTAGTGTTGTAGGAGGAAGCTGTGGGGACCATTTGGGACCCTGCTGCCCTCTCCACTTTGCTTCCCTCAAACTTTGGTCAGCTCTTCCTTCACCTTGGTAACAGATAGCTTTGCTTCTCCAGCCTGGGTTGGTCTTTCATGCTTTGTCTACAGGGTGATTCTGTAAGTTAACTACCAGCGACCAGCACCATGACAGGAATGTAGATACCACTCACCGTAGAGCCAGGTGCCCACTCAAAGGGAGCTGTTCCTGGCGTCCCTGATGGCCCAGAGGACACCACTCGGGGGGCATGTTTCATTTCTTCTGTGATTTCCTGTAGTTGAGTTTTTCCTGTTGCCCAGTCCTTTTTATTCTCTTGAGAGGAAACCGAATGATGCCTGTTGGTATCACACAGTTTTCTCAGCTGCTTTCTCCTTCATTCTCTGGTTTCGAGTCTGATTTCATTCTTTCTGATGGCATTCCTCTGGCAGCCCTTTGGCTTCCTGCTCTGACCCGGTCTGGTGGCTGTTGGCCATCACAGTTGATGGCGCTTGCTGTCCTCAGGCTCCTGAGTCAGTCCCGTTCCTTGATCCACATCTTGCTCCTGAAGTAGCTTCTTCAGAAGGGGTGCACAGAAGACAAACTTTCTGATCCTTATGTATCTGAAATGAGTCTGTTTTACCCTCCTACTTGACTGAGAATTTGGGGTTCAGATAATTTTCATTTAGAATTTTGAAAGTTCCACTGCGCTATCTTTAGTGTGCGGGCTCTTATACTGACACCAGCGAGATCTTCCCTCGTGGGTGGTCTGATTAATCACTCTCCTTAACCTCTGTGGAGGTTTTAGGATCGTCTTTATTCCTGGAACTTCTGAATTTTTCCTATGAGAATTTCTCTGTGGGATTTAAAAATATTTTTATTCAACCGAGTTTATTTTTTTGCTTATATTTCCAGGTTTGCTTATATTTTCAAACCTCTTTGTTCTACAGGAATGCCCCAACTTTATCTTTTAATCCTTCGTTGACTTTTTTGATGTGGGGGACAAAAGTATGTTTAATTTGCAAGGCCGTATTCTTTTTCTGTAATTGTCCCTTTTCCAGAGTTTTCTGTTCTTTTAAAGGTTTTTTTTTTCTTTCTTTTTTCCCCCTAATTATCTCTGTTTGCTCTAGGGTGAGTTTTCTGTTCCCTGTCTTGTCCTTTCTCACTCCTGGCATAGGTGTGGTTATCTCTGTAAGTGTAAGAGTGAAGCAGTAGACATGTTAAGCGGAAGCTCTGTGCATGGCTGGGCCTTGTGGGCAGGGAGGCTTGGCTTCAGGGCGAGTGAGCCAGAGCCTGCTTGGGGTAGGGTTCTCTTAGGTGTCCGCTGTCTACATATGGAGGCTTTACCCTGGACACCAGCTCCACACTTGTCTGCTCATGAGAAAGTTGGCTTCGTTCATGTGTGTGTGTTTGTGTGTGTGTGTGAAATCCTTAGTGTGCTAGGCCCTGTGCTGAGTACCACAAACACAACAGTGTACAAGGCATACGGTGTCCCTGCCTTTGTGGAGTTTTTATTCTAGAAGATATTAGCACTTAGCACTGTTTCTTTCCTTTCTCTGTTCTGGAAATTTGTTGAAATCTCTTCTGATGGCCCTTCTCTGTGTACTCTTTGATATTGTAGGTTTATGGATGTTTTTGTTCCTTTACTATTTTTTTTAAATTTTTAAATTTTTTTGAGATGGAGGCCTGCTCTGTTGCCCAGGCTGGAGTGCAACGTTGCCATCTTGGCTCACTGCAACCTCCACCTCTGGGGTTCAAGCGATTCTCTTGTCTCAGCCTCCCAAGTAGCTGGGATTACAGGTGTGCACCGCTACGCCCAGCTAATTTTTGTATTTTTAGTAGAGACGGGGTTTCACCTTGTTGGTCAAACGGGTCTTGAACTCCTGGCCTCACGTGATCCACCCTTCTCAGCCTCCCAAAGTGCTAGGATTACAGGCGTGGACCACCGCGCCTGGCCTATTCCTTTACTATTTAAAAAATAATATCTTGGAAGATAGAGGACTAGAAGGGCATTTTGAATTTATAATACAGAAGCTAGATTGTGTCCATCCAGAAAAATTGTCATGTGTGAATATTAAACCCAGAATGGTTGAGTGCTCAGATTCTGAAAAGAAAGCAACGATTTAGAGTTTCCAGTTTAGAATGATACAAGTTGGCTTCTCAGGGTATATAGCAGTCTTGAGATAGGGATTTCTTTTATACGATTGCTCTGTTTTTCATCAGCTTCATTATATGGACCTTGGATTTAGTCTTGCTTCTGCTGGGTAGATTGTGTCCATCCAGAAAAATTGTCATGTGTGAATATTAAACCCAGAATGGTTGAGTGCTCAGATTCTGAAAAGAAAGCAACGATTTAGAGTTTCCAGTTTAGAATGATACAAGTTGGCTTCTCAGGGTATATAGCAGTCTTGAGATAGGAATTTCTTTTATACGATTGCTCTGTTTTTCATCAGCTTCATTATATGGACCTTGGATTTAGTCTTGCTTCTGCTGGGTAGAGATACATTGATGATCTGATTAAGCCAGTTCTGTAGCTTCAAAATCAAATCCCAATTATTGAGCCTCTTGCGGAGCAGCTGTTTTTAAAAAATGAATGTTGCCTTAATTTCAAAACCATGTTATATTGGAATGAATATGTATCTTCTAGAACCTGAAGAAATTAATTTCTTAAAGGGGTCTTCTACTTGGACTAGAAATTTTTCTGGGCTGTGAAGCACAGAAAAATCAGAGTGAACTGCTTTAAACATGCGTTTCTGTAGAACGGTGTACGCATCAGTAGAGTTGATGTTGTTTTTCAAAACGGCTTTTGCTTTAACCAGAGCTCACTTATTTGTCTGACTTTTTCCTGAAGCAGCCATTTTAATATATATATATATATTTTTTAATGTTGGGAGAACTGTTCAGCCTGGGAAGAAACATTTGGGGTGGTGGGTTTGGCGGGGGTGCAGGGTTAGAATCCACATAATGCTGATGGATTGCTGAGCTGGAGTCCTGGGTCTTGACACAGGAATGGGACTGGAGAGCAGGTGTGTAGGTGAACTTATTTAAGGCTCCGTCCTCCAATACACACACCTGAGTGATCACCCTTGAGTTCTCAGGGACGCAGTTTAAGGCCCACTCTTGTGAAGGTGACCTGGGTTGGATTTAGTTGGTCTGTTGGGATCTTTAGAGTGGCTGTCTCTTCCAGCCTCTAAAGGAAGAGTGTTTTTCAAACCACAGGACTCAGTATATTAGGTAATTATACGATTACCTAATTGATTATGAAATAATTATTTTTTATTTTTTATATTATTATTATTATTATTTTTGAGACAGAGTTGTGCTCTTGTTGCCTAGGCTGGAGTGCAGTGGCACGATCTCAGCCCACTGCAACCTTCACCTCCCAACTTCAAGCGATTCTTCTGCCTCAGCCTCCTGAGTAGCTGGGATTACAGGCACCTGCCACCATGCCTGGCTAATTTTTTTTGTATTTTTAGTAGAGACGGGGTTTCACCATGTTGGCCAGGCTGGTCTTGAACTCCTGACTTCAGGTGATCTACTCACCTCGGCCTCCCAAAGTGCTGAGATTACAGGTGTGAGCCACCGCATGCAGCCATAAAATCAGTTTACTGGACTAAACCACTGTTAAGAAAGCTCACAGTGAAATAACAGACATGGTGAGATATTATTTTTGATACTTTTATGTATGGTGGAGATTGGGTCATGATGTAAAATGCATTTCTTTTCTTTTTCTGTTTCTTTCTCTTTTTCTTTCTCTTTCTCTCTCTCTTTCTCTCTCTCCTACCTCCCTCCCTCCCTCCCTCCCTCCCTTCCTTCCTCCTTCCCTTCCTTCCTCCCTCCCTTCCTTCCTCCCTTCCTTCCTTCCTTCTTTCCTTCTTTCCTTCTTTCTTTCTTGTCTGGCTCTGTTGCCCAGGCTGGAGTGCAGTGGTGCGATCTTGGCTCACTGCAACCTCTGCACCCCAGGCTCAAGCAATCCTTCTACGTCAGCCCCCCGAGTAGCTGGAACTACAGGCATGTGCCACCATGCCCAGCTAATTTTTGTATTTTTTTTAGTAGAGACAGGGTTTCACCAT
The DNA here is from genome assembly GCF_000001405.40 of Homo sapiens. Lineage (NCBI taxonomy): Eukaryota > Metazoa > Chordata > Mammalia > Primates > Hominidae > Homo > Homo sapiens. Next base: position 78,711,891 of record NC_000017.11, on the reverse strand, counting down.
GTTGTCCATGCTGGTCCCAATGGGCTCAAGCAGTCTGCCTGGTTTGGCCTCCCAAAGTGCTGGGATTACAGGCGTGAGCTACAAGGCCTGGACTAAAATGCTTTTCTTATTTTGGATTTTGAGATGTTTAAAAAACACTTTTTTAGAGAAGGTTGGGGAAAACCTAGGTTAAAAAAAAAAAAAAAGGAAAAGTCGGCTTTTCTAATGTAGCTAATTAACCCACTGTACACTTCACTGTAGTCTATTGTTTCTACCCTCTTGTGATTTTTATGAAATATTTGGGGAAAGTAACTGCTCTGTGAATGTAGTAGATTAAGTTTTAATGCCATGGGCAGAAGGAAAGTATGTGTATCCTAACTGTGCTCTCAAGCAGAGATGTTAATTCCAACTCTATGCTGTCTAGAAATATAATATGAGCCATAGATGCACTTTTATTTCATACTAGTTCCTTTGAGATCAATTAAAATAATACATTTCATTAAGTTATATCAATGTGCAATCAATATAAAATATTATTAAAAAGTCATTTTCCTTTGTTTTTATAGAAAGTCTGGTGTGTGTGTGTGTGTGTGTGTGTATATATATATATTATTTATTTATTTATTTATTTATTTATTTATTTATTTATTTGAGATGGAGTCTTGTACTGTCTCCCAGGCTGGAGGGCAATGGCGGGATCTCGGCTCACTGCAACCTCCACCTCCCGGGTTTACGCCATTCTCCTGCCTCAGCCTCCCGAGTAGCTGGGACTACAGGCACCTGCCACCACGCCCAGCTAATTTTTTGTATTTTTAGTAGTGACGGGGTTTCACCATGTTAGCCAGGATGGTCTCGGTCTCCTGACCTCGTGATCTGCCCGCCCCGGCCTCTCAAAGTGCTGGGATTACAGGCATGAGCCACTGTGCCCGGCCTCGGTGTATATTTTTTACCTACAGCACATCTCAAACTGGGTGGTGACATTTCAAGTGGTTAATGTCACGTGGGGCTCCTGGCCGCCATATTGTACAGTGCAGCTCAGGCTCACATAGGCACCCACTGAAGGATAGAAGGACCCTCAAACCACCCCTACCCTTGAGAGTGTGGGTGCCCTTTGCTGTGCCATGGAGGGAACAAGAGCCAACACTTCTGAGCTTCTGCTCAGCACCAGGCAGGGTTTGAGGCACTTTAATTACTCTACATCATCTTCACAGCAGCCTTATCAAGTGGGTGATGGTGGGACCACTTCATTGATGATGAAATGTGACCCAAGTGGGTTACATAACTTGTCTGAAGTGACCTAATTTGATATTTGGTAGATTGGAGCTAGGATTTGAACCTGGTTTGTTTGATTCTAATGCTTGTTCTTCTCATTTGCCCACATGGCTTCCCATAGCATGCTTGAAGGGTCATTTTAGAGGGTGTCTGTCCAAATCTCCTGTTGGTATAGGTGGGGGAGATTGAGCCATTGGAGGATGGCAGAAGTATTTTGTGGTGAGAGCTGTGATCTGGGAATTAAGTAACTTTCTTCTGATGATAAGAGCACATTGTAAAACATCGAAACAATGAAGAAAGGTATGAAGCAGAAAGAGAAAGTCCCATAGTCCCAGTTCCCAGAGTTAAGCACTGATTTTAGGTGTATATTCTAGACTTTTTTTATTTCTCAGTGCATACATAGTCTCTTTCTCCAAACCCCTCCCAGAGATGGCACAAAATTGTTCGTACACGTTGCTTTGCCTCTTGCCTCCCCTCCCCACCTCAGGGGGTCATGGACATCTTTCCATCTCGGAGACTCTGTTTTTGACCATGAGGGAGCTGAGGCCTAGAGAGATTAATTAAATGTCAGCCTGAAGTCTCCCAGCTGGAAGGGATGAAAATGGCCAGGCGCTCAGCTAATATTCATCCTTTTTCATTCATAGCCAACCTAATTTAACCTTCAGTAATCTCTTCTCTCTCGTTTTTCCTTCCAAGAGTTTCTCAGAGCTTTTCTGTGTGATTTAAGGGCCTTCCTTTCTTAGAAATCTGATAAGAATTGGAGCCATAACTATTTCTATCACTCAGTCATTTCTGAAACTGACTTCTAGTTTCTTTCTTGATATCTTTCTCCTTTTGTGGCCTCTGGATCTTCCTTGATTTTTGGCGAGATAAAAGCTTTCTTGTAACATTGCCCTCCATTTTTGTAGTTCCCAGTGACCTGACAGCAGAGGAGCGTCAAGAACTGGAGAACATCCGACGGAGAAAACAGGAGCTGCTGGCTGACATTCAGGTAGGAGAGTGGCATGGTGGTTTCACCAACGTAAGAACCACAGTGACAGTTCCATTTGTATGAAAGGGTGTCCTTTGCAGAGTGTCTCCTCAAGACACTTTTGACCTGCCCTCACTACAGCTCTGCACAAAGCGTAGGTGTTGATAATCAGTCACCTTTCCTCTACAGCTGAGGAGATGCAGTGTCAGAGAGGTTGAGTGGCTTGTCCAGGTTCACCCAGTTGGTCGGTTGTCGGAGCTGGAGATAGCCTGCAAGACTCCTGTCTCCTGAGTAGTCCTCTCTGCTGTGTTTGCCCTTGCGGAGCAGAGTGGATGAGGAGAGGCAATGAGAATGTGGGCTTCAGGCGAAGCTCGGCCCACGCCCTGGCTCTGGCTCTGCCGCTTACTGGCTGAATGATTTGAGACAAGAGAGTTCCGGTTCCTTGAACTTCAGTTTCTTCATCTGTCAGATCATGAAAACACCTGCTACACAGTTGGAAGGACTTAGCATGAAAGACAGCATAATTTCTGGTCCCTATAGATGTACTTAGTGATAGCAATTTTACAATTACAATTTTTCCAAGTTCCTTTTTGTAACTATCAAGCTTGTAGGAAATAAGTCTAGAAGCCAATAGTTGGATTATTTTCGCCCTAAGACAGCAAATGTTATTCTTTCAGAATTCTTCACAAGACATTAGGAGTGGGGTTAAGGAGGGAATCCTGTTGCCCAAAGTAGCAAAATGAGGAAAGACTTGACTTTCTCTGGAGTTGATTTAAGTATATTTTGATAGTTCTCCCTGATCCTTTGATTTCTGCTTCACTGGTAGATCGTGAGAAAGCTAAGCAGCTCTCCACTTAAGCCCCACTTCCCCGTGAGAGCCCATCCATTCTGACCAACAGTGTGCTGGAATGAGGAGGGTGGGTGCGGATGCACAGCCGATTTGATCAGACATTCCCTTTGCCAGCCGCTTGGTGGCATTGTTGCCCTGGCACAGCTACTGCAGGCTCTGCAGCCTGGGCTTTGGGTAGGAGACTTTGTCCTCTGAATTTTCTGGCATGCTTGTGTTTAGTAAGCTGCAGACTTGTTCTGAAAGATTGTGATGAGGCAGCCAGGTTTTGTTTTTCACACAGCATATATGCTTATAAACTTTCCTAGACCGTAAACTCCTTGAGGTCAGAGGCTGTATTCTTTTCTACCTTGGTGTTTTCTGGAATGCTTACTGTTTGGTAGGCACTCAATAAATATTTCTGAAACATGAATTTTCCTAATTTACTTTTTGCATTTTTGTCATATTTTGTTTCATTTTGCTTTATTTTGTTTTTGGTTGGAGGGAGTTATGTGAGATTTTAGAAGTTTTAATTTGATCTGCATCTGCCTTTCCTGCTGACTCTGGACTGTCTGTTTTATAGAGGCTGAAGGATGAGATAGCAGAAGTAGCTAATGAAATTGAAAACCTGGGATCCACAGAGGAAAGGTGAGTCTGCCCTGCTGCCAGGTGGCTTCTGTGGTTGTAATTCCTTAAAGCACCCAGGCCTTAATTATGCTTACGTGGCACATTGAAGGAAAAAGTCAGCTTTGTGTCTTTCTAATTCTAGCAAGCACATACACACCCATAATGTCTGCCTTCCATCCTTCACCGCAAGGCCTCCTGAACATAGGAGCTTCTTCCAGTGTTTAAAAAATTGAACTGGAGGCCGGGCGCGGTGGCTCACGGCTGTAATCCCAGCACTTTGGGAGGCCGAGGCAGGTGGATCACGAGGTCAAGAGATCGAGACCATCCTGGCCAACATGGTGAAACCCTGTCTCTACTCAAAATACAAAAATTAGACGGGTGTGGTGGTGCACACCTGTAGTCCCAGCTACTCGGGAGGCTGAGGCAGGAGAATTGCTTGAACCCGGGAGGTGGAGGTTGCAGTGAGCTGAGATCGCGCCACTGCACTCCAGCCTGGTGACAGAGCGAGACTCCGTCTCAAAAAAAAAAAAAAAAATTGAACTGGAGAACTTCAAAGGTCCCAGAAAGCCTTAAACTGCTCCTAAATTTTTATGTGAATTACTCCCCTCTGTTGTCCACTGTCGGTGTGCATTTTAAAGTTTCTGTTTTTCCTTTGTGTAAAGGAAAAGCTTAATGAATGCTGCTGATACGATTTCAAAGGGCTGGAGTGTCCAGTCATGTCTGAGGATAATCGTGAGCTTATTTGCACCTTCCTAATGCTTAAGGGAAGAAAATGTAGAAATGCGATGATAGTATAAAAGGACAAGGACTCTGCTTTTTTTTTTCCTTTTATTTTCATGAAATGTTAGTGACTTTGAGAGTTTAGTTTTGAATGGGGTTCCCAGACCGTTTTCTGACTGCTTAATGCAATAAATGAGCTGTTTCCAATTCACTACATGTCTGTATTTTTCTAAGCCTAAGTCTTCCTGTCTGGCTTCGTAGGACTGTTTGATTTGTTGTTTTAGACTCCTGTGGGCAGTGCCTTCAGGGTATAGTGAGGCTGAGTCCTCCACAGAAGGCAGCCAGCTCACCACGGCCAGTCTCTGTATTGTCCATTTGGTATTTTGGATTAGTTTCCCCTCTTTCCATTTTAAACACTCGTAGCTTAAATGAAACGGATACGTTGGACTTCATAAAAATTTAAAACTTCCGCTTTTGTAAAAGATAAAACTATTAAAAACTATTAAAAGAAATGAACAGGCAACAGATTAGAAGTAAATATTTGTAACAAATATATCTGAAAAAGGACTTGTATCTAGAATATATGATAGAAAGGCAGCCCAAATAAGAAAATGGGCAAAAAACTTGGACACTTTACAAAAGAAGCCATATGTGTAGTAGACACATGAAAAATGCTTAACATCATTAGTTGTAGGGGATGTAATTTAAAACCACCATGAAACGGTACTTCACATCCCCTATGATGGCTAGAATTAAAAAGACTGATGGTACCTCATGTTGGCAAGTGCTAGTGAGAATAAAATAATATAACCATTTGGGAAAGAAGTTTGGCAGTTTCATCAGCAATTCAACTCCTAGTTACTTAAGAGAAATGAAAACATGTCCATACAAAGACTTGTACAAGAATATCTATAGCATTCTTATATAAAATAACCAAAAGCTGGAAATACCCTGAATGGCTGCCAGCAGGTGACTGGATAAACAGGTCGAGGTAATAGACTATTACTCAGCAGTGTGAAGGAATGAACTGCTAGCGTGCAGCAGCACGGATGAATCTCACGAACATTGTGATGAGTGAAAGAAACTGTGGGCACCGTGTGCTTCCATGCGTGAGCATCTAGAACATGCAAACTAAGCTGTGCTAGTGTGCTAGCCGAAATCATGACAGTGCTGCCTCCGAGGTGGTTGCTGGGGCGGGGTGGGGTGGGGTTGACTAGGAAGGGCCATAGGGAACTTACAGGGATGGCAGGAATATTCTGTATTAATCTGAGTGGTGCTTCAAGGGTATATGCACTCATCAAAACAAATTGAACTGTGCACTTAAGGTGTGTGCATTTTGTTAAATGTAAATTTTACCTCGATCTTAAAAATGTAAAAAAAAATGGCTTTTTTCTGACTATAAAGGTAATACACCTTTACTGCAGAAAATTGGTAAAATACAGAAAAGTATAAAAAACAAATTTCTCATAAACACTTATCCCAGAGATAATCAGGATTCATATTTTGGTACGTTTCCTTTCTGTATATTCCGGTGTCTGCACACACATATTCAGAATTCAGTGTGCCCTTTGTTTTTCTCTTGATTAATTCTCTGTCAGTTACCATAGAACAGCAAGGAAACGCAGACACCAGGAACGTGAGTGCATCCAAAGTACTCAGCCAGTGAATTTGGGAAGACTTGTAACTCATGAACTGCATCTGAAGTTGTGAGTCAGGAAGTAGTCTTTAGGTTATTATTATTTTTTAATCTGGAACTTAAAATGGTTTTCCGGTATCGAAAGCGCCAAGACGGAAGTGATTCTGCACATCCCTGAGGATCCATCCATACGGGTACTCAGGCTCACCCTGCATTTGTTTCTCAAGCAGGCATTACATTTGCTCGGACTTTCTTATAGGAGAGAATTCATGTTTCTCATCGACGATCTGATGCATTTTGTAGGAATGATCCTAAATACTATTTAATCAAGCAGAAATAATATACTCATGTAGTACAGGATTTCACTTTCTGAAATGTATACGCGTCAGTTAACTAAGGCGATCCAGTAGCAGTAAGCTGTTTTCCTTTGGACACCTTAACTGGGGTGTCAGACCTGTGTAGGCTGGGGAAAGCCACTTAGAGAAGTAGCTGCCTAAGGCCTAGAGCTATAGGGGCTCCAAGTGGGGCAGATAGAGAAGTGAGCTGGCTAGCTAATGAAATTAGGGAGCCATCTCTGGTGTGTGTCCCAGGCAGTCATGTGGCACAGACTGTGACTGGCGGATATCTGGGAGTGTGCGTTCTGGTGGCTGCAGGAAAGCCTTTGGTGAGGACTGGACTGAGGCCCAGGAAGCTGAGCATTCCCAGGAGTTTCACCCCTTGCTTCTGTGGGCACCTCTGACGCTGCCTCACCACTTACACTGGAAACCATGAAACAGGCCTTCCTTGTGGTATTTGTTTGGAAATACTGATCAAAGTAATCTTCCTGGATTTAGAAAAAAATGATTAGACAATCATTTTAGTTAAATAGGAATTTCTAGATACCTGGTCATAACCCTTCATTCTGGCTGAAATTAAATGGTGTTTCCCCCATGACTTTGTTTCCTAAGGCAGCTGTTGACAGGGGAGCCCAGATTATCTTACACCTGGAAGTTCTGATACTACTCACAGTTTTCAGGTGTTCCTTTCAAAAGGTCAAAACAGCCTGGATGCGATGACTCATGCCTATAATACCAGCATTTTGGGAGGCCAAGGTAGGAGGATTGCTTGAGGCCAGGAGTTTAAGACCAGCCTGGGTTACATAGCAAGACTCTGTCTCTACAAAATATTTTAAAAAGTAGCCAGTTGTGGTAGTATCTGCTTGTAGTCCTAGTTACTCAGGAGGCTGAGGCCGGAGGATCACTTGAGCTCAGGAGTTAAAGGTTGCGGTGAGCCACAGTCACACCACTGTACTCCAGCCTGGGTGACAGAGCAAGACCCTGCCTGTAACAAAAACAAAAACACAAAAAACACCAACCCTCAAAACACTTAGGAATATTTTCTTCCCTCCATGGATTTAGCTAGAGAACACATGTGTTCTTTAAGGCAATAACATTTTATGATTTTATTTCCGAGCAACTTTTTTGCTCTCGGAGATTATAAAATTACTATTGATATTGATGGCAGTGGTTCTTAAATTTGGGTGCATACCAGAATTACTGCAGGAGGTTTTAAAAATTCAAATTCCTAGGTTCTGCCCCTTGTACTTCTGAGTTACTCAGCCGGTCCAGGGCCTTGCTACTCAGACTCCACACATGGGATCATGTTAAACATACAGCAGAAGCACAGGCCCCTTCTCAGACATAGAGTCAGAATCTGTTTTGTTGAGGCCCCAGGTGACGTGTATGTATAAACGAGCGGAGCGTCTTCACGTCTGATATGCTCCCAAGGCTGCTGGTTGGTGGACCAGACTTTGAGAAGCTTGGTCTGTGAATCTGCATTTTTCATTCTGATACAGTCAAGAAAACTGCCTATTATTTAGCAACTTCTTAAAAAGTTAAATACAGATGTACCGTATGACCCAGCAGTGTCCACCCCTGGGTATCTACCCAAGGAAAATGAAAACGTGTCCACACAAAGACATATATGCAAATGCTGATAGCAGCCTTCTGCATAATTGTCCCAAACTGTAAACAGCCTAAGTGTCCATCATCTGGTGAATGGATAAACAGATGTGGTTTATCCATACCATGGAAGATGACCCAGCAGCAAGAAGGCATGTAGTACTGGCCCACGCTCCAGCACCATGACCTTGACAACATTATGCTAATGAAAGAAGCCAGATCTGAAAATCCACATCTTTTATGATTCTGTTTGTATGATATGTCCAGAATAGGCAAATCTGTGGAGACAGACAATAGATTAATAGTTGCCTGGGGATGGAGGTAGAAGTAAGGATTAACTGTAAAAAGGTGTGAGGAATTCTGTAGGGGAGATGAAAATGTTCTAAAACTGGATTATGGTGATGTTGCACAACTTAGTAAGTATACTAAAAATTCAAATATGTACCTACAGTAGGAGTATTATAAGTAAATTATACCCTGATAAAGTTTTTTTTTTTTTTTTTTTTTTTTGGAGACGGAGTCTCACTCTGTCACCCGGGCTAGAGTGCAGTGGTGGATCTCCACTCACTCCAACCTCCAACTCCCAAATTCAAGTGATTCTCCTGCTTCAGCCTCCCGAGTAGCTGGGATTACAGGTGCCCACCACCATGCCTGGCTAATTTTTGTATTTTTAGTAGAGACAGGGTTTCACCATGTTGGCTGGGCTGGTCTTGAACTCCTGACCTTGTGATCCACCCACCTCGGCCTCCCAAAGTGCTGGGATTACAGGCATGAGCCACTGTGCCCGGCCTACCCTGATAAAGTTTTTTTAAAAATCATGTTAAAAAAAGAAAACTGGCTGGGTACAGTGGCTTATGCCTGTAATCCCAGCACTTTGGGAGGCTGACGCAGGCAGATCATTTGAGCCCAAGAGTTTGAGACTAGCCTGGGCAACACAGTGAGCATGGTGGCATGCGCCTGTGGTCCCAGCTACTTGGGAGGCTGAGGTGGGAGGATCACTTGAGCCCAGGAGGCAGAGGTTGCAATGAGCCGAGATAGCACCACTGCACTTCAGCCTTCAGACAGAGAGAGACCCTGTCTCAAAAAAAAATAAAGAAAACCTCTGTTCCAGGGTAGAAGGAGCAAATGAGCTTGGAGCTTGGAGCCAGGTTCAGGCTTCAGGTTTCAGTTGGCCTTTCATAGTTCCACCAGATTATGCCTGTTGCTTTCCTGGATAAATCTTTCAAAAACCTGTGTAAATCAGTGGAAATCATATTAGTCTTTCAAGCCTTTCCGATGGCCTGAAGTACTAAAATGGCTGTGATGGTTGTTTTACAGGAAAAACATGCAGAGGAACAAACAGGTAGCCATGGGCAGGAAAAAATTTAATATGGACCCTAAAAAGGTAAGTGAGAAAGAAGCGGGAAGTGGTCCATATTAGATGGGGTTTTTTTATAGTGCTCAGATAGACCCTAAAAACGTTTTTTTCCAAGCGTTACAGTTCATGTTGCCGTTTTGTAGAGCAAATGTTATGCACTAAGCCCTTGTTCCTAAACTGTGACTCCCCGGCTTTATAGGTCACTTAGCAAGTATTTATTAAATATTCCAGTGCACCCACACCCATTTCTTCCTGTGCCCTTTCCCCTTCTTTTCAACTGTTTCCCAGCAAAGCATCATTGGCGTCTTTGTTGTCTTTTTCTAGGGGATCCAGTTCTTAATAGAGAACGACCTCCTGAAGAACACTTGTGAAGACATTGCCCAGTTCTTATATAAAGGCGAAGGGCTCAACAAGACAGCCATCGGCGACTACCTAGGGGAGAGGTAAGGCCTTGGGGATTATGCGCATGCTAGGGAAGGCTGTTCAGGAACGACACAAAGAAACAAACTCCCAAATACTCTGAAGTTCTTGGAGGGGTTTTTGCCTTAAAGCATCTGTAGCCCCACTGGAGTTGAGGGGAGGCTTTTCTGGGGAATAGTGATGGGTCTTTTCTGGGGGTCATGGAGACATCTTGCTTGTTCAGCCAGTCAGCAGAGCTAGCCAGTCTTCTTGCGGACAGTGTGCACAAGTGGCTGTCTGGGCAGGAGCCACAGGACCACAGGACGCAGTGTAGGAGACATGGCCTGGCTGGAGATTCTCAGTGTTGGTGCCTGACTCCTGCTTTCTCTCCCATTTTTTGTCTTTTCTCGATAGAGATGAGTTTAATATCCAGGTTCTTCATGCATTTGTGGAGCTGCATGAGTTCACTGATCTTAATCTCGTCCAGGCACTACGGTGAGTATTCTTGAGGTGAGCCCCTTTGGAAGGAGTGGGAGGCTAGCCTTTGATCATGAGTCTGTCCTGGGGGGCATTTTATTGAAATTATATCTTTGGGTATGATTTGAATATTTTGAAGTATTTTGGAGGGAAGAAATCTATTGGTCTCTGACTGGGAATGACTGGATGGTCAAGGGGAATTCAATTCTGTTACGTTCTGGAGGCCGATTCTGTAACACTCTTCCTTGAGTCTTATATTTGAGGTTTTAGAAATTGATGAATACTTAAATTTTGAAATTTTTCAGTTTAGAAAATCCTTTAATTTCTTGCCCTGGAATAAGTAGTTATACATTTCATTTTGGAAAGAAAAAAGTAAACCTTAATTTTTTATTAAATCTGTTACCTCATGCCTTTTAAGAAACTGTCATTCTGTATTTTCACTGCTGTAGGTGTAAATAATGACTTCATCTTTTGTGCTATCATTTAGCTGGATGGAAACAATCCACAATTAAACCTGTCAGCTGTGGGTCTTTCTTTCTTTGACTTAAAGGGATCGATTGTTAATGCTTTGACAAGACAATCTTCTCTTTTTCTGCCACCCATATTGTTTCCGGAAATAGCGTTTGTTTAAAATGAGCATTATCTATGTTTCAGTCTTGTATATTATTCTGAGGAGGGAAACCACTCCTCAGTAGGGATTGTTTCCCTCCTAATTTTTCACTTTTTCCTAAGAAAAATTTTACTTTTGATTAAGGTAACAGTGGTGTGGATGGCAACTTTGCATCTGTTCAGAGTTACAGTAACAGAAGGCTGCAGCCCAGCAGGGTTCCCTTTGCACTTTGATGTTAAAAAATCATTGGCAGTGGTCAGGCACCGTGGCTCACACCTGTACTCCCAGCACTTTGGGAGGCTGAGGCGGGTGGATCACTTGAGGCCAGGAGTTTGAGACCAGCCTGGCCAGCATGGTGAAACCCCGTCTCTACTAAAAATACAAAAAATTAGCCGGGCATGGTGGCGTGTGCCTGTAGTCCCGGCTACTCGGGAGGCTGAGGCAGAAGATTGCCTGAACCCGGCAGGCAGAGGTTGCAGTGAGCCAAGATCACGCCACTGCACTCCAGCCTGGGTGACAGAGTGAGACTCCATCTCAAAAAAAAAAAGAAAAAAAAAATCATTGGCAGTTTAACAATTCATAGAGAAATAAATTGCCTCCCCAAGTTCTGGAACACTCTGTCTTTACCCACTCAGGCAGTTCCTGTGGAGCTTCCGGCTACCCGGAGAGGCCCAGAAGATCGACCGGATGATGGAGGCGTTTGCCCAGCGATATTGTCAGTGCAATAATGGCGTGTTCCAGTCCACGGGTAAATACGATCATTCATCCTAGTTTATGATGGGCGTTTTACACTGGATTATTTTCTTGGCACCAGATAATTTCTAAAACAAAAGGGCTGAGATTCATGCCTAGGAACGTTTACTCAATGATAGTTATAATAGTAAAATGTTGGAAATAACCTGAAAGTCTGACATTAAGGCACTATGAATTTAAATTGTGGTACCTCTGAACTACGAAATACACAGCTATTAAAAACCATGTTTTAGCTGCATGCAGTGGCTCACACTGGTAATGTCAGCACCTTGGGTGGGAGGCCGAGGTGAGAGGATTGCTTGAGGCTAGGAGTTTGAGACCAGCCTGGGCAACATTATGAGACCCTTTCTCCAAAAAAATTTTTAAAAATTAGCCAGGTGTGGTGGCTTATGCCTGTAGTCCCGGCTATTTGTGAGGCTGAGGCAGGAGGATCTCTTGAGCCCAAGAGTTTACGACTACACGCAGTGAGCTATGATTGCACCACAGCACTCCAAGCCTGGGTGACAGAGTGAGACCCTGTCTCAAAACAAAAACTAAAGAAACCCATATTGTTACAAAGAATTTTTATTGACATAGGAGAATGATATTAAGATTAGCAAAAAAGCATGTGTATGTATTTGTTTGTTTCCAGTTTTGTTACAGTATATATCTGTGAGATAAATATGTGGTGAGTTATACATAGTCATATTTACGTAGAGGAAATAAAGCAAAATAAATTATTGCTAGATAGTGGGATTATGGGTCATTACAGGTCATTTTGTTTTAAACACATTGTGTTTTTCAGAGTTTCTACAGTGTGTGTATTCTCCTTTCCAATCTGAAAAAATAAACAGCTTTAAGTCTTGAATACTTTATATACTTTTTCGTGCCTTGCTCCTTTCAGACAGCAGTGTGCCCTGGAGTGTACCCGTACATGTGGATTCATCTCATTCTTTTGAGAACATGTTTTTTTTTTTTTTTCTGAGATGGAGTCTCACTCTGTCGCCCAGGCTGGAGTGCAGTGGCGCTATCTCGGCTCACTGCAAGCTCTGCCTCCCAGGTTCAAGCAATTCTCCTGCCTCGGCCTCCCAAGTTGCTGGGATTACAGGCGCGTGCAGCCACGCCTGGCTAATTTTTGTATTTTAGTAGAGACGGGTTTTCACCATGTGGGTCAGGCTAGGCTTGAACTCCTGACCTCATGATCTGCCTGCCTTGGCCTCCCAAAGTGCAGGGATTACAGGTGTAAGCCACTGCATCTGGCCGAGAACATGGTTTTTTATTCCTGATTTCATCTGATACCACTCTTGCTCTTGCGGGTGGGATGTTTCTGAACATCTGAGCATGCAACGGCTCCCCTTTGCTTTTCTCTCATCTTTAGATACTTGTTACGTCCTCTCCTTTGCCATCATCATGTTGAACACCAGTCTGCACAACCCCAATGTCAAAGATAAGCCCACTGTGGAGAGGTTCATTGCCATGAACCGAGGCATCAATGATGGGGGAGACCTGCCGGAGGAGCTCCTCCGGGTAAGCAAGGAAGAATGGTCTTCATTCAAGTCAAGAAAGAGTTCACTGGGAACAGGATCGTCTTTTGTAGGAAGGAAGAAAAAACATACAATTTATCAAGGGTCTCCTCTTTTAATTTGTTTAACCATGTGAATTTCATTAAGAAAGTGGTAGTAAGGCCCAGCTAGGGAATCAGGGAGGGGACAGTGGTTTGTAAACATGAAACTAAAAGCTTGAATAGAAGTCAGGCTGCTTCTTTATTTTCCTAATTGGGAAGGCTTATTTATTTTGTCACTGTGAGCTGCCTGAAAGCAGAAATGGTCATAATCTTCTAGTCTCAGCATCTAGCAGGCTTGGCTTACTATAGGCACATGAATGCTTGTGGAATGAATGAAGAGAAAGGGGAGGAGGAAAAAATATTTCTAGAATCAGAGACATAAATTGTCATCTTTTATCCCAGAATCTCTATGAGAGCATAAAAAATGAACCCTTTAAAATCCCAGAAGACGACGGGAATGACCTCACTCACACTTTCTTCAATCCAGACCGAGAAGGCTGGCTATTGAAACTCGGTAAGCGCACCTCTGAGTCAGGGCTCCTAAAGCTGAGACTTAGGAAGAAAGGCGGTGTGTGTGCGTGTGTGCGTGCGTGCGTGTGTGCGCGTGTGCGTGTTTGTGCGTGTGCATGTGTGCGCGTGCGTGTGTGTGCACGCGCATGCATGTTCACACACATTCATGGACACACACGCACCATGTAGGAAAGGGGGTGGCTTATAGAGGACTCCAGAGAGACTTTGGTATGAGTTCTGTTCTAACAAAGGTCGGCTTCCAAAAGGGAAGTGACTTCATAGTCATTGCCCCCATGGGACACAGAGACTACTGGGGACAGACTTACTCCACCATAAATATTGCCCACATGTGTCTGTGCTCCACATTTTTACCCTTGAATTGGTTGACCAGGTTTTGTTTCAAGGCAGTTCCCTGAGCACCTGGTCCGTTTGCCTTCCCTGTCCCCATAACCACTGGGAGGGTGGCCGACCTTGTCCATCTTTCTACTTCCCATCCCACAGATTTGTACCTGGCGCTCCTGCCCCCACCCCAGTGCATCGTCACTTCCTTCTGCATCTGGCTCCCCCACAGGCAGTGTGCATGGCAAGCCTAGAGCCCTTGGCTGCAGCTCAATCCACAGCACTCTTACTCATTCTTGGGCAGTGGTTTTTTTTTTTTCTTTTTTTTTTCCCCTCCTTTTCAATCTGAATCAGCCACATTAATTATTTTGTTCATTTAGAAAAGCTGAAAATGCATTTCTCTTCCCTTTGCCAGAAGTGATGAGCTTGTATTGCTGAGATTTGTGGTCATGCCTTGCCGTGAAGGTGACAGGGTAATCAATAGGAAAGACTTTAGTAGGGTTTTCATACACATTCATGTCCACATGTGTTTACTTTATTAATGGTTTCAGAACATAGAGCTCTAGACTCTCTGGACATAATGATGTCCTTTTTTTTTTTTTTTTTTTGGACACTAGCAGGGTACTTTCCTCTGTTGCCTTCTGCTTTAGCCTTTGATGAGTTGGGTTCTCACATTAGCAGGGGCTGTTCCGTCCTATACCAGCCCAACTGCTTGCCCCAGTGATTAGAAGTCAGTACTCTCTTGGTCATTACTGACACATCTGGGAAGGCTAAAATGGAATCCTTTATTTCTGACTAGGTCAGATAGCAGTAGACTTTATATTTCCTTTTAAAGTCATATCCCAAGTCCTTGTGCTTATACATAATGACTTAATTCATAAATTCCCCTTACAGCACCACTTCACCGATCAGTTTTAAATATCTCTTGAATTGGCCATCATTTTATATATCTTTAAGCCCCCAGAATCTTTGAAGTTAAGGCTCTAAAATTACTAACCCCATAGGCAGCCTTCCCTTCCACATTCCTATTGCCAAGTGGATGGAGTTGAAAGGAAACCTACTGGAAACGTTTAAAGTGTGTTCAAGTTTGGATTTACTTCCCCCTACAGCGAGATTTGTTTAAATGCTAATACTAAGTGTTAGCTTTGACAGCCCAGATACTAAAATTAGAACAGTACAAAGATTATCTTGGTTCTTAGACCAGGATGACATGCAAATTCATGAGGCATCTCGTATTTTAAAAAAGAGAAAATTTAACCAAGTGTGGGACTCAGTTTTAGCTCATTGCATTACTTTTTCTAAACCTCCATCAAATCCTTCTAGACTCTGAATATTGTGTTTTCATTGTAGCACACTTAGTATCACTCTTTGTGTTTATGTGCTGCAGAAGGCAGGGCTTCCAGCCGTCTGTAGCTGTGTGTATATGTCTGTGTATGCATATAGCCATAAGAATGTGTATTCTTGTGTATACACATCAGTACATGTGTACTCATGGGTATATGTGTGTGCATTCTTACACACACTTTAAAAAGTGACAGCCATCTCAAGAAAGACATTTAATTTTCCCTGAAATAACCTTAGCTTTCTTTGCTCTGATTCTGGATATACTAGTAAACATTGGCTTTGTAAAAGCCGATTTGTGGCATCTTTGGGGCCAGGTTTCCAGTAGTGCCTCAAATCTTGCCTTGATGAGGTGGAACGTGGCATGTAAGAGCCCCTCGTTCACGTGCCAGACAGTAGTGGGATCATTTGCCCGTTGAGTGTTTTTAGTTCAGCTCTCTCCCCAGGCAGGCATGAATGTGACTGATACATTGCACTTTAAGATTAAGGAATCGGGTTTAATTTCTTTGTTTTAATTTTCTTTTCTCCCTCATTTGTATGTTTCCATGATTTTGGCTCTCCTTTTCCTTGCCCCAAACTCCAGGAGGTATGTAACCCTCAGCCTGCTCGCTCGCTCTGCTAGGCCACTGTCATTACTGCAGCATTTTCTGATTTCGTTATTTTTGGTTATTTTGTTTTTTAATTGCCGGTGGTAGTGTTAATGCTGCTTCTAACTTATTGTACAGTCCCTAGGGAACTGGTCAGGATCAGGGGTTTGGAGCAATTTTCGTTTTTCTTTTTTGGAGGAGTATATGTTATATTCATTACTGAATGCAGTAATGCAAGAAAACATACTAAGAGTGGGTTTGTAAAAGCAGAGGAAGTTTCCATGACATTTTCACTTGGAATTATTGGCTAAGACATGCGCTATGTTTGATATTCAATTTGACGTCCATTAATCAGCCTGATTGAAAGTTAATCTCTGACGTGGGGAAGAGGAGAAAGAAGAGAAGGAAGTCTTTCTTTTTTCTTCTTTTTTCAAGCTGAGACTTACTCCAGAGAGAACAAAGTCTTGACTTCCCAAAGCTATGGAAAGCTTCTGATTTACCATGATGGAAAAGCAAACTAGGGAAAGAACTAAATTAGATGATACTTAAGACATTTGCCTTTGCACGAAAAGGGGAAATGGTATTTCCTAAACTCAAAATGATACCGAGTGAAGGTGAAAAAAACAAGTCCAAACCAAAAAACCCTCCCTGAAGTCCTCGTGTTTAGTTTCCTGGGGATCAGAGAAGGGTATTAACAGCCTCGGCTCTGTTGTTATGTTTTGTTTTGCTCCCTCGCTTTTTCAGCGAGTCCTCGTTAAAGCCCCGAATCGGTCTCCTGGTTATGGTTTTGGTGTCTCCTCTCCATTTGCTGGTTTTTTTGGGGAAACATATTTTCTTAGCCCAAGACCCCTCAGGTTTGTGCCTAAGCATTCCCTGAGCAGTAGCTACACTTAAAAAGAACAACCCCAAACACGCACAGTTACTGAGATGCTTCAGGGACTTGTCAGGTTGTTCTCAACTGTAGGGGAAGATGGCATCCGGCCTTGATGTCTCGGGGAGGTCACAGGAGGCCTGAGGAGCCGTGCAGTGGGAGGTGGTCCTGTGAGTTCCACAGGGACTGTCCTAGGCGCACATTGATCTGTCTGCTTGTTTCATGTCTGCTTTTCTTTCCACGTGGAAATGTTCCCCGTGGGCCCACAGTGATGCTTTATGGTAGAGGTCTCTGTAATGCAACAAATTGTCCAGGCATAATAACCAAGCTTTTGTAATCAGGCAGAGAATTTCTTCTGGCTTTGCTTTTTCTCCTTGATTTCTTTCCATCTTGTTTCTTTTAGCATCTGACTCGCTTTTTCCATGATCTCCTATGTCCGAAGGGTTCCCCGGGTAGTGTCCTGTGATGGAGCGCATGGGAGGTCAGCATGGGTTGATGTTCCCTTTGTGCCGAGCCTCCGTGGGCAACCAATGGCCCGCCAGGCTGGAAGACCAAAGTTCTCAGACTCTGAATTGGTGGAGGGGGTTCCTTTTTAAGAACAAATTGGCTTCAATCCTGAATATAGTCCTTGCCTTCTTTATCCTCCTTATTTAATTCTGCCCGGGCTTTCCTGTTTTCCACATGCATGTCATAGTATCCATTTATGGTTTTCTCTTAATTCATGCCATCTAACCTTTAGGGACCAGTGGCAAGGGCTCACATGAAACTTAGAAGTTACTGGAGGGAGAGTCTCAATTTGCTTGATATAGCACAGGATGGGCAGGTGGAGGGCACGTGCTTGCTTACAGCAAATTCCCTCGCATAACCTAGATCTGTGTCATTTGGAATCTTGGCAATTAATGATCAGTCACGTAAGCCCGCCTAGGGTTCAGCATCCAAGCAGGGTGCTAAAAACTGGCCTGAAAGTCCAGTGGTCCTTTTACTTGTCTGCCAGGACCTACGCTGGACATTTTCTTTTCATAACATTATTTGCATACTCCCCTTAGGTTTCTCTGGTGTGAGCATGCAGGCAGGTCCTGGCAGTTAGAATAATCCCTGTAAAACCATTCTCCTCTTTGCTCAGCTATTTGTGATGAGGGCAAGAGAGAAAGCATGATCGGAGGTATGAGATTTATGCCCCATGATCCTTGCTATTTAGGAAGATTGGAGAAGCGGTATTGTCTGTAGGTTAAGTCTTAGCAAAAGAGCAGGCACAAGAAGTGTTTCTAGAATGCCATGCATAGCTTCACAGGTCAAGGCCTTAGGGATAAGTTTTGAGTGGTTCATGTTCAGAAAATGTTCCCTTGATGGGAGAGAGGTGGAGGAAGAGAAAGCCTGTGGTCCCGATTTGACAGCAGGTGTAGCTTCATTCAGATAGGCTTGGGGAAATTTTTCCTTCCTTCATGTCTGTCTCAGCATAACTTCACGGCCCCAACCCCAACTTTTTTTTTTTTCTTTTTTTTTTCTTTTTTTTTGAGAGGGAGTCTCCCTGTGTCACCCAGGCGGGAGTGCAGTGGTGCAATCTTGGCTCACTGCAACCTCCACCTCCCAGTTCAAGTGACTCTCATGCTTCAGCCTCCTGAGTAGCTGGAACTATAGGCATGTGCCACCACCCCTGGCTAATTTTTATACTTTTAGTAGAGATGGGGATTCACCATGTTGGCCGGCTGGTCTTGAACTCCTGACCTCAAGCGACCCACCCACCTTGACCTCCCAGAGTGCTGGGATTATAGACGTGAGCCCCTGTGCCTAGCCATGACCCCAGTGTTTTGTGCTGAGAAATACTAAAAAGAACCAAGGGAGGCCCTTGCCAGCCTCCCAGCCACCACCGCCAGAGCTTGTTTTGCCATGGCTGTATTTGCCAGCTGTTTCTGTTATAAGCTCCAGGTGAGAAGCCCAGAACGGAAAAGGCTCCTGAGGCCACCTCTCAGTACGAGTTGATTCTTCCTTGATAGAGGAATTCTGCTTTGATTCTCACCCAGGACCCGGGAGATTTTGTTTTCAGGACACTAGCACATAAGGTTAAGAGCCAGTGTAGAAGCTCACTGTAATCATGAAGGTGAAGAAGAGAGTAGAACCATGGGGATTTACTTCGTGTTCCAGGGAAAGTGTGGATTTGAAGGCTCCCAGCATCTCCCCTCCTGCTTCCTCCTTCCTTCACTTCCAGTGAAACACTCCTTATGTGCCGGGCTGCTTGTCAGTAGCAGAGTAGCCTGCACTAGGTGCTGACCCTTCCCTCTTTTTCTGTTCTTTGGCAATTTCTACCACATAGGCTTTTTGCTGACTCTGGCAAATTTGCATTGTATGTCATTATTGCCCCGGGTTTTCTCGCCACAAACCCATGCTCATCCTGCCGTCCCGATTCCATCTCCGGGTGTCACCTAGATGCGCTTGCTCTGCTTGTACCCACAGGCTTTCACTTTGTGAAAGACGCTTCTGTTTCAGCTCTGTGTCTTGTTACTGATGTCAATGTTGTGGGCTCCACGTTCTCCTGATGCCTCTCCCCCAACCCTCTCTGAGAAGAGAGGGTGTCGTGTGTGTCGTGGAGCCTGCACTTGTCTGGTTGTCTCTTGTCGAACGTGCATCTCTTTTTGCTCTGCAGGTGGCAGGGTAAAGACTTGGAAGAGACGCTGGTTCATTCTGACTGACAACTGCCTTTACTACTTTGAGTATACCACGGTGAGCACCTGCTAGTCGGCCTCCAGACTAGGGATGGGCAAGGCCTCCGGTTCCAAGTGTCTCTAATCAGACATGGTTGAGGAGACCGTTGGATTTGCCCTTCAGTATCTGTGGGGGATGGGGGAGAGTTTAAGCAAAGTGCAAGAACTGAAGTAAATCTCAGAATGGGGAACCCCTGAGAAGAGGTGCGTGCCTTAAAGGGCACGGGCTCAGAGCAGGCACCCGGTTCTGGTGGGACAGGAGATACCTGGCCTGGAGGAGGGGGAGCACTAGAAATGGGTTTTGGAACTGGGCTAGAAAGAATGAATTTGCATTGGTTGCCGAGAAAGAGTATGTGGCCCTAATTGAAAGGGAGATGAAAAGAAAAAGGAAATAATCGTGATTTAGAAAATTCACCTATTCTGGGTTAGCAGAAATGTGATTTCAGAAGAAACAGCCCAAGGGGTAAAATATATAGTGGGGGAAAAGGAAGTGAAGTGAAATGGGAAAAGTCAATTTGAGATTATCTGGAGTTTTAAGAAGTTTTGTTGGTTTTTATTCAGTGGGAGAGACTTATAGCTGCAAATTTGTGTTTTATATACGTATATCTCTTTTGTAATAATAGCCAAAGAAAGTAAAAATCATAAATTAGCTCTTTTCAGAGCTCCCTCTAAGCAAGGTACCCAGAACCCTGGCAAGTTAGCACTTGGTGTGGAGACCGTGGCTCACCGGACTGGTGATGGGGTGCTTTTTCATTTCTGCCACCTTTCTTGGTCATTGTAAGGGCAAAGCGGGCATACTCCCATGGCATCGAACTTTTGTCTTAAAGTAAATCAAGGCCGTTGAGTTGAGAATGCTTTGCTTTTGTTCTCCAAGTGTATCTTCATGGAGCAAAAGTCATTGATCCCACTGAGAAAATTAAGACTCAGAAGTATCTTTTAAAATCAGTTTAGAGCAAAATGGGGCTTAAGTAAAACATTGAAATCCTGACCATATTCACCAGTCACTTATTTAGGACCAAGAAACAGGTACACGCCTTGGCATTTTCTGCTGTGAGGTGTGAAGATGGGTTTCTGTCGTGTCTAACACTTAGCGTTGTTCTCCATCCCCATGGACATCATGCACATGCAGCTTCTCACCCAGGGAATGCACTTCGTAGCCCATCAGGCTGCAGGCAAGAGCCGCTGCTTCTGATGGTTTGGTGACTGAGGATAGTAAATCACTGTGAAGGGAATTCTGGCCGGGATTTCATATGTTGTAGGGGCTCAGCTCATGCCCTGCAAGTTCTGCACTGGCTTTGCTTTTCTGTTGTTATAGTCTTTTCATATGAGAGTAATACACTTCAAATATCTGCAAAATAATAAAAAGAAAGCTGCTTTCTGCTTCACCCCCAAAGTACCACTGTGAACATCTTGGTACAATTTTTTCTGTTTTGTTCACCCTTCTGCCCTATATTTTGCCTTTTTTCTGAAGACACCTACACTAACGATGTCTTTAACATCGTGTCTGAATTTGTCTCGCTATTTTCTGGGTCAAAATGATACATAAGCATCTAAGTGGTGTACTTCTAAGTCCTGGACAATCCTATAGCAATGCTACGAGATTCTAGAATCTTGTGGTTTTTCGTGATGCCCACCGTAGTGGTGTCACCTTAATCCTTAATTCAGCAATATTTATTCAGCAAAGTGTAGCATTTTATCAAGCAATGGAAATACAGAGAAAAATACTTTTTTTTTTTTGAGACGGAGTCTCGCTCTGTCTCCCAGGCTGGAGTGTAGTGGTGGTGTGATCTTAGCTCACTGCAACCTCTGCCTCCTGGGTTCAAGTGATTCTCCCATCTCAGCCTCCTGAGTAGCTGGGACTAGAGGCGTGCGCCACCACATCCGTTTTTTTTTGTTTTGTTTTCTGTTTTTTAAGTAGAGATGGGATGGGGTTTCACCATGTTGGCCAGGCTGGTCTTGAACTCCTGACCTCAGGTGATCTGCACCCAGCAGTAAATACATTTCTTTTTTTTTTTTTTTTTTTTTTTTTTTTTTTTTTTTTTGAGATGGAGTCTCGCTCTGTTGCCCAGGCTGGAGTGCAGTGGCACGATCTCGGCTCACTGCAAGCTCCGCCTCCCGGGCTCACGCCATTCTCCTGCCTCGGCCTCCGGAGTAGCTGGGACTACAGGCGCTGCTGCCACGCCCAGCTAATTTTTTGTATTTTTAGTAGAGACGGGGTTTCACTGTGTTAGTCAGGATGGTCTCGATCTCCTGATCTTGTGATCCGCCCATCTCAGCCTTCCAAAGTGCTGAATACATTTCTTAAGACACAGAGAGGATGCTGTCAGAATTAAGATGGTAGATTGAAACTTCCACACAGAATTACCTAACAGAGCAAAAGACTAGTAAAAAAATAAGTAGGGAAAAATAGCAACCAAGCAGGGGAAGGGGCAGAACGAATTCAGTGCACTGCAGCCCTGGGCAGCAGCGGAAGCAGCGGTGGCAGGGGCAGCAGTCAGGAGCAGTGTGCAGGGTTTCTACCTCACGGCCCAGGATTTGAGGAGACCCGGCAGTCTCGCTGGTTTCTCAGGTCTGGGAGGAGGCAAACTGAACAGGACTTGTTATTTTTTCCTCCCTGATCAAGGAGTAGTAAAATCCCCTGCTGGGTGGACATTGGTGAAATGGGAAAAGTGAAAAAAGCAGCCGTTATAGACATAAGTAAAGGCTCAAGACTGTATATTCACTGGGGAAGACTGTCCATGGAGGGTCTCCCATGAGCATGATATCCATCCCCAAATACAGGGGTCCTCAACCTCAGGCCATAGGACGGTACCAGTCTGTGGCCTGTTACGAGCCAGGCCACACAGCGGGAGGTGAGTGGCAGGCGAGCGGTGGAAGCTTCATCTGTATTTACAGCCAGCTGCTCCCCATCACTCACATCACCTCCTGAGCTCCACATCCTGTCAGATCAGTGGCGGCGTTAGATTCTCATAGGAGCACGAACCCTATTGTAAATTGTATGGGCCAGAGATCTAGGTTGTGCACTCCTCCTGAGAATCTAATGCCTGATGATCTGAGGTGGAGCTGAGGCAGTGATGCTAGTGCTGGGGAGCAGCTGCAAGTACAGATGAATGTTAGCAGAGAGGTTTGACTCCACAGAGACCATAATAATACATCAGTTGCTTGCAGACTCATCAGAACTCTATCAGTGAGTGGCAAGTGACAATTAGCCTGCCTCTGGTGGCAGGCTTTATAGTGGCAAGTGAGCTGATGTACTTCAATTGTACAGCTGTATCTGGTGGCAGGCTTTAAGTCAGAATCCAACACTTATTTCAGTCCGTGCATGGCCTGCCCGTTATTTTATTTACCACTGCCATCCACATCTCTTTCCCACACTGTGTACTTGTCTCAGCCATGGTTTTGGTAAGCCCATCCACCAACCCTAGCCAAAATGAGTAAAAACCAAACGTCACTGGAGAGCTTCTTTGAAAAGGGGGAGAGACCCATTGATGAGACAGCAGAACACGCCAAGACTGCCAACAAAAATAAAGCTGCATTGTAAAGAAAACGCCAAGAGTTCTACTCAAATTCTAGGTTCATTTCAACAGGTGATCACATTCGCCAAGCCCACTTTGTAGAATATGTGGTGACCAACTACCCAACAAAGCCATGAAAGCTTCAAAACTGCCTCACCGCATGGAGACCAAGCACCCTGCATCAAAAGACAAGCCTTTGGAGTTTTCAAAAGAAAAAAATGTAAACATCAAGAACAGAAGCAATTATTGAAGGCCACCACTTCATCAAATATGTCTGCGCTGAAAGCATCATTCTTCGTGTCTAACCGCATTGCCAAAGCCAGGACTGGCTGTTGGTGAAGAGTTGATCCTGCCTGCTGCTAAGGACATTTGTCATGCGCTTTTAGGAGAGGCTGTGGTTCAAAAGGTGGCACATGTTGCTCTTTCGGCCAGCACCGTAACTAGGCAGATTGATGAAACAGCAGCAGATATTGAGGCACAATTGTTAGAGAGGATTAACGAGTCACTCTGGTACTCAATCCAGGTTGACGAGTCTACCGATGTTGACAACAAGACAACAATGCTTGTTCTTCTGTGACATATTTTTCAGGGGGATGTTCATGAGGATATGTTATGTGTGCTTTAGTTGCCAACCAACACCACGGCTGCTATTCAAGTCTTTGAATTATTACATATCAGGGAAACTGAACTGTTTTGTTTTGTGGTGTTATATGCATGGATGGAGCGGCTGCCGTGACTGGACAGCTTTCTGGTTTCACTACTCAGGTCAAAGAGGTCACTTCTAAATGTGAGTCTATGCAGTATGTCATCCATAGAGAAGTGCTGGCTAGCCAAAAAGTGTCACCTGAACTTAACAACATTTATGCAGGATGCGATTGAAATTACCAACCACATTAAAGTACATGGCCTAACTCAGGTCTGTTCATGCAGCCCTCGGAGGAGATGGACGCAGAGCACACACGGCTTCTGTGATACACAGAGTGAGACGCTCTCTAAAGGCACATCACTGGCCAGAGTTTCTGAGTTGCAACAGCCACTTCAGAGATTTCTTCTAGAAAAAGTCACCACTAGCAGCACATTTCAGTGACACAGAATATAGGTCAGGAAACTTGTGTACTTGTGTGACAGATTAAACCTACTCACAAACTCAATCTGTCACTTCAGGGGAGAGTGACAAGTGTGTCCCAGTCGGCAGATCAAGTGGCTGCTTTCAAAGCCAAACTGGAATTACAGGGGTGATGAGTGAACACTGGGATTTCTGACATGTTTCAAACATTAGAGAGATTGTGAGAGACGGAGCCAGGGCCTTCTTTGCCCCAGCGCCTCAGCTTTCAGAAGAGCTTGAGCGATACTTCCCAACCACAAAAGAACCTGAACTGGAAAGGAATGGATCTGTGACCCATTTGAGAATAAGCCAGGTGAATCACCTTGGCCAATGCTAGAAGAAGATCAACTGCTTGAGATCGCAAATGACAGTGGCCTTAAAAGTACGTTTGAGACAACTTCAAATCTCCATATGTTCTGGATTAAAGTTGAGGCAGAATATCCTGAGATTGCCCCAAAAGCACTGAAAGCCTGCTTCCACGCCCAACATCCTGTCTTTGTGAAGCAGTGTTTTCTGCAGTGACAGCAGCCAAAGAGTGATTACAGAGTAGACTGGACACAAGCAACACATGTTGGGTGTCACTGTCTCCCATCAGCCCCAGATGGGACTATCTAGTTGCAGGAAAACAAGCTCAGGGCTCCCATTGATTCTACATCATGGTGAGTTGTATAATTATTTCATTATATATTACAGTATAATAACAATAGAAATAAAGTGTACAATAAATGTAATGTAGGCTGGGCGCGGTGGCTCACTCCTGTAATCCCAGCACTTTGGGAGGCCAAGGTGGGCAGATCACCTGAGGTTGGGAGTTCGAGACCAGCCTGACCAACATGGAGAAACCCCGTCTCTACTAAAAATAAAAAATCAGCCAAGTGTGGTGGCACATGCCTGTAATCCCAGCTACCAGGGAGGCTGTGGCAGGAGAATCGCTTGAACCCAGGAGGCGGAGGTTGCGGTGAGCCAAGATCTCGCCATTGCACTCCAGCCTGGGCAACAAAAGCAAAACTGTGCCCCCCAAAATAAAAATAAATAAATTAATTAACTTAAAAAAATGTAATGTGCTCGAATCATCCCGAACCATCTTCCCTCCCCTGCCTTTGTCCGTGGAAAAATTGTCTTCCATGAAACCAGTTCCTGGTACCAAAAAGGCTGGGGACTGCTGCCCAGATAGATGGAGCAAACCCTGACGTTGGATACTTACAATCCGAGAGGAAAGACCAGAACTCGGGGAGTATCTTCGATGAGCTCTCCCACCACTCACCATTCTCTACGAGACTGCATAATATGCTAGAATGCAGAACACCTGGCCGCCCACCACAGGTCAGGGTAAGTGGTTAGGGGGACACAAGCAGATCAGAGATTCACAGGAGGAGAACCAGGGGTCACTCACAGATTTACCAGAGCCAGCTGGAAGGCCAGAAAAGCAAGGTTTCCGTCTTCAAACAAGTGAGAACCCAAGCAATAGCATATACTTACAGTGCAACCATTAATATATAATCATAGAATTATAACTTATTTATTCTTAAAGGTAAGTTAAAACTTTAAGGAGTGGAACAAATTAGCTGAAAATATAATCATGTCCTATAAATATAATGTCTTAAACGCTTGAGCCAATCACAGAGATTATATCTGAAAAAGACAAGTATTAAAACAATGAGAGAAAAGCTAGCAGATGCAGAGAACAGAAGACGATCCCAATAATACCAGAGTAATTGGTGTCTGCAGAATCAAAGATACAGTGTGGCATGAGGTGATTTCCCTGAGAAAGAGGAAAAAGCCCTGAATCTGCAAATCAAAGAAGACACCGTATTTCAGGAAACTGTTACAGAAAGGGTCGCTCCAAAGCCTGGCCCCTTAGACCATTGAACTTGGAGCCAAGTGTCTGGTCGTTCTGTTGGAAAAAGCAGATCATCTCCAGCAGCTTTTAGTCCCAGAAATTAAAGTATCAAGGTCTGCACAGTTTTGAAGAGAAGAATGACCCAAGACCCTTTATCCAGCCACGTTATTGTTTAAGTAAAGCACAGCTGGCCGCACTCTCCTGAAGAAAACATGTGAAATGCGGCACTTTGGAACCTTCTTGAAAAAAAAATTGCTTGACAGTAACATCCAGCACGTAAGAGAATGAATCACAAGAAAGGCCCTGGGAAGTAAAAGACTGGTAGTGAGCATTGAACTATTCATTTAAATACAGAACTAATACTTAAATATACAACTAATACTAAAATATGCTTAAGTTCAGAATACGAAAATATACTTAAGTATGGAACTAATACCAAAATATACTTAAGTATAGAACTAATAGCTAAATATACTCATATAGAAGTAATAGCTAAATAAACTTAAATATAGAGCTAATACTAAAATATGCTTAAATATAAAACAAATACTAATTAACCAGAAATTGTGGCTGCAGGACGTACCATGAATGTTATAAACCTGGACAATGTAAAAGTGAAATAATAAAAATCAGGAGGTGGGAGGAGGAACAATGTGAAGAATTAGAAGATTTTGTACTTTTTAAAATGCAGAGTCAAGAAATATTGTTAAAATGGAAGCATGTTGTATTTTTTAAAAGAATAAGTAAAACCTTTTTTTTTTTTTTTTTTTTTGAGACAGAGTCTTGCTCTGTCACCCAGGCTGGAGTCCAGTGGCACGATCTTGCAGTGGCTCACTGCAACCTCCGCCTCCCGGATTCAAGAAATTCTCCTGCCTCATCCTCCTGAGTAGCTGGGATTACAGGCACGTGCCACCACATGCGGCTAATTTTTGTATTTTTAGTAGAGATGGGGTTTCACCATGTTGGTCAGGCTGGTCTCAAACTCCTGACCTCGTGATCTGCCCGCCTCAGCCTCCCAAAGTGCTGGGATTACAGGCGTGAGCCACCATGCCTGGTCAGACCTCTTAATGTTTTCATAAACTTCTTTGTCTTAACTTGAATAAGGTTATTTCAGGAACTCTTGTGGTAAAGAAACATTTACTTTGAAGTTCAACAATTCTTCAGTTTCTGCTTCCTTTTTTCCCCCTGTTAAATTCTAAACAATTAAAATAGAATGTGTTTTATGAAAATAATACCACTCGAAATATCCCATTTTCATAAAACCTGTTTTTCTCCATCTCTCTGCACACACACAAAATATCTTCACCTAATGTCAGCAATGATAATTTAGGAGTGATTGGATTTGGAGTATTTTTAAACCTTTCACCTGTATTCTTTTCTACAATATTTAGTTCTTTATAATAAGCAATTCGTATTTTTACAGCAACAGTGATTGTTCTTAAAGACAAATTTAAAAAGCCAAAGACGTTGGCCTCGGTTATTTCCCTCTTCACAGGGGAAGGGAGTGGTTATTGGGCACACACAAGTCATCACTGAGGGGTGCAGCCTGCCTGTTATTAGGCCTGCCAGAGTCCAGTGAAAGTTCTAGGCAGGGGCCTTTTTAATATTTGGGATTTTACATTGCTGCCCAGCAGCTTAACGTTTAGTTGTTTCCATCAGTGGTTCTCATTCTTCTTTCACTCCAGCACTGAGGGATAGCGTGAGCACCTGTCTGCGATGCTGGCTCACTCAAGCCAATTCTCAAGTGGCAGGATGAGTGTGCTGAGAAGAGCGAGGAGGGCCACGCTCTGCAGGATGGAGCAGGAAAGAGGGGGGGCCAGGAAGGATACCAGAATCCCCAGTGGGTTCTCCCGGTGACCAGGAGGGTCTTCTTATAACCTGGTCCCCACTCCCAGGCTGAAGAGCATGGGTGTAAATCATCTTGGTTTAAAATCATATTCCATCAAGAATGTGCATCATGCATATGTAACCTGGATGCCGCAGGCCTCACCAGTCAAAGAGTATACATTATGTCACATACTTATTGAGGTCCAAAGTGTGATTACTCTTAGACCACCCACCTGCTCGCCTGGTGATGCCTCAACCCAGTTAACCCAGCGGAATCCTCAAAAGGTGCAGGCACCAATTAAACCCTAGAAGTGAGAATGGGGAGGGTAAAAACCAGAAGCAGAATTGGCTGAGAACTGTTTAGGAAACAGACCAGCTGTTGCCCTCACCTCATGCCCCTGAGGGCCTGTCCCCACCACCCAGGCAGAAGTCTGAGTGCTCGCTCACAGGAGAGACTGACCAAGCATTTCTGGATGAGGGACTCTAGGCCCAGTTGAAGGTGGGGGCATTTTCCCCAGACAGGAGTGTGGGGTAAATGCAGCCTTCTCGAATGCTGAGGACTTCTCCCACCCCCAGCTTCTCCTCACTCAGCTCTCAGAACCACAGGTAGCCAGGTCTGTAGCTTGCAGACAGAGTGGGAAACTTCTCTGCCCAAGAAGAGATGCGTGAGGTTATTTAGTCAGATTCCCCAGCAGACAGCCTAGTGAGAGGGCCCTTGTAGATGGTCACAGTGCACAGGCTTCAGGTCCCAGTCAGCTCTTAGTCTTCCACTCTTCAAATGGGACAACCAAGGAGTCCCAGATACCTGAGGAATTCCTGCCGGCTGAGAGCAGGTAGAGACCAAAGCAGCCGAACAGCCAAAGAGCAACTTGGATGAGAGAGAGGGAGGGGTCCAGGAAGAAGAAGGGTCCACCACCAGCTGTGAAGAGACTCAGCCGTCTCAGGTGACATCACAGCTGCGAAACAAGAACAGGATCCTGTATGAAGCCACGGAACAAAAATAATAAAAAAAAATCCTCCTGGAAATTCAAAGCATGGTAGAAGTGAAAACTCAATGGAAAAGTTGGAAGAAAAGCATTAAGAAAATCTCCCAGAAAGAATAAAAAGGCAGAGGGAAAATAATAAAGGAAAGACTTTTATTTTCCAAAGAAGAACTAGTCCAGGAGGTCTAGCATGTTCCAGAGAAGCTGAGAAAACAAAGAGGGGGTAACCCTTGACAAAATAATTTTTTTAAACCTCCCCCAAACGATGGATGTGTTTCCAGGTTGGAAGGCTTACTGAATACCCTGCATGATGACTGAAAATGAATGCACGCCAAGGCTGCCTCCTTAGGGGGCCTCAGAACACTGAGGACACAGAGGACGGCAGTCGTGTGCAAAGCACCAGCAACCAGAACAGCTTTGTGTAGGGTGATATTGAATGCTGAAGGCAGGAATGCTGGGCTTCCCAGTCTTGGAGGAGGGTCACGTCCAGCCTAGACTGTTAGGCACAGCCAGATAGCAGCCAGGTGTGAGGGTCCAATAGAAACATTCTTAGCCAAGTGAGATTTCAGAAATGTTACCACCCACACACCCTTTCTCAGGATGCTGGTGGAGGACAAAGGCCTTGGCTGTAGGAAACCAGAGATCTTGAAACCTCTTGTTTCAAGAGAGGAGGGAAGAGTGCTCTGGAATGGAGAGTGCTGAGGTTAAGGATGAAGCAGTTTACCGAGTATCAAGGCAACCAGTCCAGACTGGAACAGGTTTCAGAGGCTCCAGGAAGGATTACTTCAAGAAATGAAAATTAATAGGATGCCTGATACAAATTAGCATTAGCAAGGAGATTTTGATAAGAGGTTAACCATTTGCAATTGGTTTTGGTGGTAAGGTCACAGAAATATAAATCAAAGGAACAACCCACTTCTCCACCCTCCATAATTTTGGTTCCAGTGGGGAAGGAAGCTTTTCAGGAAGGAAAAAATTAGGAAGTTCACTATATGGCACAGGTCGGAAGAGAAACGTGGTGTTAATGAAGACACTGTGTATAGCCCTACCTCAGATGACCAGATAGTTATTTTAGGAGGACGGGGAATATGAATATGCCCGGGTAAGAGGAGCTCAGTCCTCTTCTGTAGATAACATCTAAAATCAAGCAGTCAAAAGGCAGTTCTAATATGGTATTTTGGAGATGTGTGAGATACAGAGGTAAAGACCAAGCAGGTTGGCTTGAAGAAGTTGGAAATAGTTGCTAGCCAGGATGGGGAAATGGCTGAAAGACTCTTTTTCGCTTTTAGAGAACTCATAGAACTGGTTGGTTTTTTTTTTTTTTTTTTGAGACAGAGTCTTGCTCTGTCACCCAGGCTGGAGTGCAGTGGCGCTATCTGGGCCCACTGCAGGCTCCGTCTCCTGGGTTCACACCATTCTCCTGGCCAAATATAAAGACTTTAACAGTGCTAGGACTTGGCCATGGGTTGGCTGGATATCAGGGGACTGTGAAACTGCCGTCAGGCGTGTGCTGGAAGTGTCTGCGGTGCCGTGCCCTCTGTAGATGAGATGGGACTAGTTGGCGGGTGCAGCTCTGTTCTGGACAGGAGTCAAGGTGCCTTTGGAAATCCAGGTGGAGTTGTCAGGATGGCAGTGTCTCTGAGGATTGTACTGTCTGGCGGTGGGGCGATGGACAGAGGCAGTGAGTGGTTAATGGTCAGACCCACAGCTGCAGTCCCAGGCATCGGGGCGCTAGGGTGAAACTAGGAAAGGCTTCCTGGAGTTGTTGCCCCAGAACTGAGGCTTCAGAGGTGAGTGGGAGAGCCAGGCAAAGGGAAGAGGGAAAGGGGCCCGCACACTCCCTGCTTGAGGACCGTGCCCGGGTCACTGCCGGCCACACTCTCACGGTGTCTGTTGAATCTTCTGGTCTTTCTACTCGCGGAGGACTTAGCAGTTATATTGACAATCCTCAGACATTTTTGGTGTTATTCTTGTTTAGAATGTAAGGAGTTCCCTCAGGCTGATTTATGAACTTCATGTCCTGGGAGAAAGCAGGAAAGTTCGGCTGAGTCACCGGCGAGGAATCTGACAGTGTGTGTCCTTAAACTGTGATCTTAAACTTCCTCTCTTCAACTGTTCTGTAGGATAAGGAGCCCCGTGGAATCATCCCTTTAGAGAATCTGAGTATCCGGGAAGTGGAGGACTCCAAAAAACCAGTGAGTATTTTTGCTGAGATATTTTGAGGGGAGAAAGGGGATGGGCATTTCAAAGATTTTTTTTAAAAAACTCAAAACCAAAAAACTGAAAAGCGTGATCAGGCTTTTATTTAGTCTAATTTTTTATTATATTGTTCAAGCCAAAGATGAGACTCGAAATCACTTCTTCCTGTGCCGTCTGTCTGCTTTATCGTTTCACTTAGTGAATGTCACATGGGGTGTAGAAGTTGCCCCTCCTGCAATGGCAGCGGCAAGCACGCAGGAGTGGGCTATGTAGTTTATACCCTTGGGACACCTCCCGTTTAGTTTTCCTTTGTTTTGGGCTGTCAGGATGTTACTGGCTTGAAGTTAAAGTCGTGAGTCACCTGCAGTTCTCTCCGCATTTTACGTACATTGCAAGTGGGGCCAGCTTATATCAGGCCGGTGTGTTTGCAAACGAGACTGACTTCTATACAATTTACAGTCTCTAGAATTCCGCTTCTAGGCTTCACTTTTCCACAGGAAAATATGTATTCCTTGTATTTTGTGAAGGTCAGAAGAAAGGGGTTTTGGGGAAAGAAATCAGCATGTTTCTCAGTTAACAGCTTCCTTTGCTCCACTCTCTCCCTCTCTGTTTTGATTCTCAGAACTGCTTTGAGCTTTATATCCCCGACAATAAAGACCAAGTTATCAAGGCCTGCAAGACCGAGGCTGACGGGCGGGTGGTGGAGGGGAACCACACTGTTTACCGGATCTCAGCTCCGACGCCCGAGGAGAAGGAGGAGTGGATTAAGTGCATTAAGTAAGTGACTGCTGAGAAAGGGCAGTGCGCGCCTGGTGCAGCCCTCACCTCACCAGGTGTTGATCATCTTAGTGGTTAAACATGCCGCCCGCATCTCTTCTGTGCTCCAAGTTCTTAGGGAAGCTTCGTCCTGGTTCCCAGCTGACGGCTTCCCAGGAGGCCTTTGGATTCTTGGCTATTATAGCATATGTAAGAGAGCACGTCCCATCTGGGTTCCCCACGTGTCCTCATAGACCCAAAATAGGAAGAGGCGAGTGAGCTACCCACACAGATGCCATCTGCTCAACTGGTCTTTCTGTGTCTGACGAAGCCGCTCTCATTCTCATAGTGACAGCTCAGAGGAGATAGTAGTCATGTTCTGTAATTTGTGAATCCTGTGAGACACCATTTTCCTAGCTACAGATGAGGAAACTGAGGCCCATAGAGGTTAAGAAATTTGCTGGAAGTCACATACCGTGATCCAAGGTCCGGGAGGAGGGAGAAGCTTCCTCAGGGTTCCACAGCTAAGAAGTGGAGCTCCCAAGTCCAGGCCTCTGACTCCTACCTCTCGGCTCTGTTGGCTCCACTGGGCCACGCCATGTAAGGTCTATCACGGGGCTGGAAATTTCCTCATGTGACAAGTATCTGGAAACATGGCTTTCTAAAGTCAGTTGGCTTCTCTTGCTTAATGTTCTTCCCTGGGACTTGGTCTGCCTGGCTCTCCCTCCAGTCCCTGTGCGAGGGTCAGCAGTGAGCATTCTGACTTTGCCTTCTCTCAGTGATGCTTTCTCCTCCCTCCAGTCCCTGTGCGAGGGTCAGCAGTGAGCATTCTGACTTTGCCTTCTCTCAGTGATCCTTTCTCCTAAGAGCACAGCCTTGCCCTCTCCCTCCTGGTGCTTCATCCATGAGAGTTCACCTAGCTGTTTTCCTGAGAAAGACTCCTCAGCTGCCTGTGTGACTTCACCTGGAAGACAGGGAGAATGTGCCCACAGGTGACTGCGAAGGTCCCTGTAAGTCCTCTGTGTACTGTGTGACGGGCTTTCTCCCACCCAGGCTACAGCCCCGTTCCCGAGGGTGTGCAATATCCTCTAGCCTTTGTTTTATCTTTTGGTATTTCTACTCAGACCAGTGTAGGTTTTGGCCCAAGCTAAATACCTTAAAACTGACTGAAGATGGAGATGATGTGATGATGGAGGGAAAGGAATAGATGATTTATCCTCTCAAAAGTAATCTGAAAATTCATGCAATGAAAACAGACAGGAACCAGCTGGAGAGAGGATGGATTTGGCGCCAGGTCACGCTGCGCTGAGACTCCTCGCTCTGTCTCTCTGAGCGCAGTGCCTGGTAGGTGGGTAACCTACCTCTTCTGTGTGATAGAGGTCATTTCTGCCTCATGGGGCTCTTTTGAGGATTAAATGAGATTGTGTAGTGGGCATGGGGTTTGGCAGCTTCCCTGGCATGACAGCCATCATGGGAAGTGTGGCCCTGAGCGGGGGCCAGCCCACCCTCCATTGAGCAGACGCGGTGCCACGGTGTTTTCAGAGTCCCCTACCAGTAATGGCACCAGCCCTGTGTTCTGGGGAAGAAAACAGCAGTGTTGTGGGGGACCGGTATCCTTTTTTTTAACATACTGAAAAAAAAATTTATTGAATCATTATGAAATGTATTTTTTATATAAGATTTGAAGTAAGGGTTTAAGTTTGTTCTCATGAATGAATAGCTGATGGTCCGGACACCATTTATGGATTCATTGGCATCGCCCCCACTGACTTCATATGCTCTCCTTAGAGTGTACCCAGCTCCCCCACCACGCTTCATGCACCTGTTGCTCCACCGCGCCTCCCAGCGTGAGCGCCGCCCGCCCCTCCCCCTGTGGCATCGTGGTGTCCTTTGACTGTGCTGGCTGGCGAGTTCCCTGTCCTCCCTCACTGGTCTTTCAAAACAGTTTTGGCTGGTTTTGTACATGTGTCTTTCATATGGTTTTTACTTCTATAGTCAGAAAAACTAAGCATTTTTCAAAGTCACATTTAGAATCATTCAATCCTTTCATGAGCGTGAGTGCCAAGTTCTCCTGTGGGCTTGCTGGACTCCTCTGCTCTGTCCCGGAGCGGGCTGGCCTCAGCCTCGGGATCTGCAGACACCCCCTTTGGCACTCTGCAGGCACACTGTCCTCAAACCTTCTTGCACCCAGTGCGAGGTGGGACCATTAGGATTATCCCCATTTCACAGATGAGGGACACTGAGGCACAGCAAAGTTGAGTAAGTTGTCCAAAACCCCACAGAGGTGGAGCTGGTCCTCAAACCTGAGCAGTGTGACTCATGCAGCTGCACTGGTAACCACCGTGCAGCCTCAGCTGTCCTTGGCCCTAGATACTCCTCCCAGTGGAAACATTGGTGACAACAGGAGCAGGAAGATGATCTGGCTG
Source organism: Homo sapiens (assembly GCF_000001405.40). Taxonomy (NCBI): domain Eukaryota; kingdom Metazoa; phylum Chordata; class Mammalia; order Primates; family Hominidae; genus Homo; species Homo sapiens. The sequence goes on along the minus strand of NC_000017.11, from coordinate 78,677,784 downwards.
GTGGATGCCTCCTCCCCAGTATTGCCAGAAAGGCTTTCGAGGTCAAGTTCAGGACGTGTTTTCCTCTCACGAAGTGCTTTTCCTGGAGTTCCCAGCACCCTCAGTTCTAGTGCCCCTGCGTGTGGGTGGTCCCAGCATTCGGTTCTGTAGAATCAGGTGTGTTCTCTAATGCTGGGACTTTCTTCACGCTGTACCCAGAGGTACAGCAGTAGAACTGCGTGTCAGCGGTAACAGCGGCTGCCATCGAGTGTGTCGGCTAGGCGCTGAGATGTGCTCTTTGAATATGGGATCTCTTTTTGACTCTCCGGAACCCAGGGAGGTGGAGGTGGGGCATCTCCAGCTTGCATGTGAGGAAGCGGGAGTTGAGAAGCAGCAGGCAGGGCCAGGCAGGGCCGGGCCTGGGGCCTGGTGTCCGACCGCAGCCCAGCCCCCCTCATCGCCTGACACTCTGCCTCTGCACACAGGGCAGTGCCACACGCACCTCTCTGCAGAACCCCCCAGCTTACCCGAAAGGGTTGGCCTACCCAGGAAGCCAAGGGAGATTCACCCCAACACCTCCAAACATGAAAGCAGGTGTCCCGGCCGCCAGATTCCCTCGTGAAAGCACTTCAGGTGGTCAGACCGCTTCCCAGTGAGATCCCATCGGGACATGTTTCTAGTGCTCTTCAGTTCCTAGCATTCCCCGGGGAGCTGCGGAAGCATTTTCTCATGGACACACTGTCTCTTGTGAATAGGTTCCAGGTCAGCCCAGGAGAGCCATAGCAGCTGCTGGTGCCACCGTTCAGCAGGGGTGAGTGCCCTGCCTGCAGTCAGGAGGCTTGTGCCCGAGCTCTGGAACAAATCATCACTTAGGATACAGCTTCCCTGGAAAGAAATTAAGTGTCAGGACTTTTAGACCATAAGTTGCTTGAAAGTCGAGAATGGCAGACATAGGGTTGTGGTGTTGCCAGTCCACTGCAGGTGCTCCAGCCCGCGGCGCGGCCTGCGCTGCTGTCTTTGAGGCTGTAGCACAAGCATGAGCTCGGGCCCCCTCCCTGTGCACCGGAGACCCAGCCAGGTCCAGCCGGTCTGTCCATGGTGCCCCACCAGCAGCATCGTGCTGGGCAGTGCCGCCTGCAGAGTCATGGAGCCTTAGTTACTGAGCAGGTGCACGTGGGGGGCTTGGAAGGCCCCACTGCATTACCATGCCAGCTATCACACACCCCGTGCCAGAGGACTGCATGTGACACGGCTTGATTACGTGGCACTCGCTGCTGCAAAGCAAAGTCAGATGTCATCATGGAAACTCAAGCACCAGTCTTTTTCTCTGAATTGGAATATAGCTGTAAGAATGTGGTATGATTCTGTTCCTAAATGTGAATTGATTATTATGTTGAAACAGGTAAAAACCCCAAAATTTTCTTGTCACGTGTTCCTGTGTCTCTTTCGAAGTGTGTCACCTTAGGTCACTGTGTGGACACAGCAAGGGTGGAGGACGCTAACTTGGCCTTTGCAGTGATGGTGGGGTGGGACAGGTGTTCTGGGGCACGAGGGGCCCCTGAGAATCCCCTGCCTGGGTGTGTTTCTTCTGATTCTGTCCCTCACGTCTCTGTTTTCTCCCTTTTCTGTGCTCCAGAGCAGCCATCAGCAGGGACCCTTTCTACGAAATGCTCGCAGCACGGAAAAAGAAGGTCTCCTCCACGAAGCGACACTGAGCGTGCAGCCAAGGGCGTTGGTCTGCGGGGGCCTTGGAGCTCCTGCTCTTCTCCCGCACCTCCATGGATGCACTGCTGCCGAGCAGAGCGTCCTCTGCCAGGCCCCGCCCTGGATTCCTAGAGACTAGCTTCAGCTTTTGCTATTTTTTTTAAGTGGGAGAAGGGTGGGCAGTTATCACTGGGGAAGAGAGGACCGGCCACCTGTCCAGCATGGGCTCCAGAGCCTTCCTCTCTCACAGGGCAGAGCTCTTGTCGGCAGGGCAGCCTCCTGGCCAGTTTCTCTGCTCAGTGTTCTGGTAGCAGAGCTCAGAGCCAACTGTTTACCTCTTGGTTGTCCCCGTGAAGAAGCCTTCAAACCCTGCACCATAAATACATGTGTCCATATATTATTATATGTTAAGAGAAAAAGGTGGAAAGGAAGAGAAGCCACATACTATAAAGATCTATTTTTTTTTTTTTAAGAGAGAACGTAGGGCTGTTCAGGTGCATTCTGCCCTGGCTGCGCTGGGGAGCTTCTCCCTGGAGAAGAGCACCTGGGGCTGCGGCCAAGGGGCATCAGCCTGGGCCCGCGGCAGGGCCTGGCCTGCCTCTCCTGTGCTGTGGGAGCTCGCTGCCTGGTGCTTGTCTGGGCGAGATGGACAGGTGAGGTCGAGGACGCAGAGGGCAGAGGCCCAGTGGAGCCTCAGACGGCACAGTCAGAGTCGGGGGCCTGCCCTGGCCGGGGTCGCAGTCGGCAGCAGCGTGCAGTCCGGCATCTCCCGCGGATGCTTTTCCATCCCAAGTGCCTGCGGAGCGCCGAGGAGAGGAGAGAGCTGACTGGACGCTTACGTTATTTTCCTCCTTCAGAATCCAAGTTCTTGTTGGGCTTTAAAGTAGAAAGTCAGCATTTTCCTTGAGCTAAATACCTAATAACCAAAACTGTGAGGAAGGTTATCGGGACAGAGGTTCCGGATAACCTGTTTCATTTTGGGTTTTCTTCCTCTTCCCCAGACTCCAGTCCTCGTTCTAGAGGAAGGAGTAGGACTTCCCCGATCCCCGTAGGGCTTCAGCTTTTTCTGCCTCAAAACCAGCCCTAACTGGACTACTCTGGATGCATTTTGTGGTGGGCCCCCTAGAGGGGAAGATGGGCCTTTATCTGCTCCGTGGGGTGCACTGGAGTGAGGGGGGTGGCCGGGCTGCCTCTCGCATCTCTGTCTTCCCCTGCAGGCGCTGTGTGAGCTGGCCCTGCCCCTCCTCATTACAGTATGAAGGGAGCCGTGACACGCAGCATTTTCCTGCCGTTCTCTCAGGGACTCTCAGGGCAGCTCCTGCCACTCCGCCAGGGCCAGCATGCCAGTCCAGGCAGAGCAGGTGGCTGGCTGTCTGGCCGTCTCGCCCCGCCCCTCCACAGGACCCTGGACCAGGGCGGTGCAGGGCGCAGCCCTGAGGAGGCAGGTGGAGGAGCTGCGGGTTTTCACAGGGCCGCGTCGCCACGGCTCCTCTGATCCTTTAGGGTTGGCGAGCATCTCTGGAAATAGCTTTTGCAGAGGAGTGGTGGGAGGAATAGAGGGGGACAGTCTGTCACCTCCCTCCCCGCCACTTTGTGTAGATCCTACCTGGAGGGAATGGCTTTAGGCACTTTTGTGCCAGAGCTTGTGAGGGTGACAGAAGAGGGTCCAGGCTGGAAACCTGAACTTTCTGGGTGGGAGAACCAGGTGGTGCCTGCCGAGGTCTGGGCGTGTTTGGGCCGGTGCTGGAGCCTGTCCAGCTGGCCCGGGCCCTGGCCTGGTTCTCAAGTGTTTCCTAGACAGAGAGGCACCTGGGTCAGTATTAGTCTATTTATCAGAGGTGTAAATAATCTATGTATAGTTTTTCTCCTTTTAGATTATTTTGTATTTGTTTAAAAGAAGTTTTGTCAAAATACAAAAATATAAAGAAATGACTGAAAGTTGTTGACAGGGTTTTTAAGAAATAATTATTCTAATTGTTTTTGTTTGTTTGTTTTTGCCTTGTAAACTAGCGCCAAGGAACTGCAGCAAATAAACTCCAACTCTGCCCAAGCCATCTTTGTTGTTCGCGGTGTCTCTGGGCTCAGGCGGGGCCCTCGAGGTGGGAAAGGGGTGCTGACCGGACACTTGTGCAGGAGGGTGTTACTCCAGCTGCACCTTGAGTTCAGTTGTAACACCTTGAAAGTGGGAGGAGGGTTCTGTCTTCTGTTAAGAAGAGCAGAGTCAGAAAAGATAAGTAACTTAGTCTTTGCACCGCCCCCACTTTTTTAGAAGAAACGTGAAACATCAGTTTTAAATTAAGATCAAGAAATATGCCTTCAGTCAATATAATACATTTTTAGTATGATTTCAGTTTCCAGAGATGACTTCATAATGCCAGGGAATAAACAGGGAAAAGTCTCAGGTGGGCTAGAACCCAGAAGCAGGGGAAGGCGCTTGGTGAACCAGCACCGAACAGAGAGACAGCAAAGCACCAGGCTGGCCCCTTCTGTGGGTCCATCTCCACGGGCTGGTCCGCGTTCTTCCACACAGCAGCAGTCATGCCTGATGTTTCCTCCTTGCTTCAAGCCCCCAGTCTACCCTGACCATTCCCCAGGTGACTGCCCCACTTTACTGAGAAGAGACGACCATTAGGTGTGAAGGGCAGCATTCCTACCTTTCCACATCAGTCAGAGTTGTTTTTGTTCCCTCCCATCGCCAGAAGAAGTGGCCTGCTTTTTTCCTGTCTCCCCTGGATCCATCTCTGTCAATTATCCTTTGTCTTATACATATCCCCAGTTTCTTTCCCCATTAATTTCTTTCCCTCAAACCACAGAAACGCCCATCTCATTTGAAAACTCCCTAAGCTCAGGAACAAGACAGAGATGTCCACTCTTACCACTTCTATTCAGCATTGTACTGGAGGTTCTAGTCAGGGCAATTAGGCAAGAAATGAAAGGCATCCAGATAGGAAAGAAGAGAGATTACATTTATTGGCTGGTAACATGACTTCATAATGCCTAGCTGAGCCATGGGAACGGGGCCACTCCCAAGGCTCCAGAACTGTGGGACCACCAGCTTGCCGCCCCAGCCGGGAGAGCTGTATGTAGGCACTAGATGCCATCCTGTGACAGCTGCGGCATGGGCAGAACCCAGCACAGGGTGGGGCTGCTCCTGGCCTTGGGGGATCACATTAAGATGAGTCAGAGATCATTCTGGAGTCTTAAGATTTAATGTCTGCCCTATTGGGTTTCAGACTTACTTGGGATTGGTTATTCTTTCCTTCTTGCCCTTTTTTCCCTTTTGGAATGGGAATGTCTATCTCATGCCTGTCCCCCAGTGTATTTTGGAAGTGCATAACTTGTTAAATTTCGAGGCTCTCAGCTGGAGGGGATTTGCCTCAGGATGAATTGTTCCTTGAGTCTCACTCATATCTGATCTAGAGGAGACTCTGGACTTTGGACTTTTGAATTGGTGCTGGAGCAAGTTAGGACTTTTGGGGCAGTCGGGATGGAATGAATGCGTTTTGTACTGAGACTGGCGAGTGTGGGGGAACCAGTGGCAGAAAGCTACAGTGTGAATATCTGTTCCCTCCAAAACTCATGTTGAAATGTAACTGCCATTGTTACAGTATGAAAAGGTAGGACCTTTAAGAGGTGTTTAGCTGAACTAAGGAAAAATCCTGCAATAGTAATACATCCACGAAGTTATTAAAACGCCAATAAAATCCATTTGAGAACAGTTCATCACCCCAAAGCACACCCTGTCTACTCATCAGCAGCCTCTCCTCCTCTTCCCCTGGTCCCGGGCAGTCCTAATGGTTCTGTCTATGCACTTGCCTCTTCTGGGCATTTCATACAAATGGAATCATACACTACATGGGCCTTCGCGTTTGGCTTCTTTCACTTAGCGTTACGTTTACACGACTCATCCCTGTAGCGTGTGTCAGAGCCTCATTCCCCTTTATGCCCAGATAACATTCATCGTATGGAGACCACGTTGTTATTCATTCATCTATGGGCGTTTGGGTTGCTTCCGCCTCTTGGCTGTTAGGAGGCCTGCTGCTGCTGCCTTTCTCTGCAGTTGTTTGTGTGGTTGCAGGACTGTAGAAAGTAAAAAGTTTCCTCTTCAAAGTTTCCCTTCTTATTAAAGAATAAATCATAAGTGTTAGAAATAATAGTTTCTTTTAAAGACTAACTTCCTTCAAGCCTCCTTGCTTTGTGCTAATAACTCTTTGTTAAGCCCTATCCTAGGTAGCTGTTAGACATGCTCAAGGCACGTAGTACATTCCATGTCCTTGTACCTTAACCAAGATATCTGTGCTCACGTGCTCATAGGCATGTTCCAGCTCACAGCCTATGCTCCTTCCTTATTTGAGAATAAATTATTAGCCAATCGGGTTTTAATTTAGATTGTGAGGTCCGGCTCCAGCCAATGGAGACAGGACACAGCAATAGAGGCCTCATGCATATAGAATGGATATTCTGGCGTCTCTTTATTCTGTGTGTGCCCTCCCCATTGTTCCATCTGCAAGGGACACCCTTTCTGCAGAAAGTAAAAATTGCCTCGCTGAGAGAACTTTTTGTCTGAATGCTAATTTTTCCTTGTGACACCAGGGAACAAACATTTTGCATTGCTAACAGGGACTCCGACAGTTCCTCGTTGCATCTATGTCCTCACTTTCGTTCACTCCTCAGCCAGGGGTCCCCCTCCTCTCTCCTCTTGGCTCTGGTGGATTAGTCTACCTGGGCTCTCCTACCTCTCTGACAGCTCCCTGTGCGTTCTTTCCCTGGCCTCTCCTCTCTGCCCACCCGCCAGCTGCTGGACATCCCCCAGGATTCTAGCCCCCAGTGTTCCTAAGCCCTCTTCCTTGACAGATAATCAGTCCCGCGACTGACCCTGCTGCTACCCGCTGTGGGCCCCTATGTGTGCCTGTGCAATTCCGGCCCGTTCCAGGCTCCCCTTTCCACCTCTGACTGCTTGTGGGACGTCTCCACCAGAGTGGCTGCCGGGCCTCCCCAGCTCAGCCTGTCCACAGCTGATAGCCCCAAGACTGCCCCTTGTCCTGGGGACTCTGCTGCCACCCTCAGAGAGCCTGTGTAGGCTTGGAGCCCTTTCTCATGTGTCTCCCCCTCTCTCCCTACACCCAGGCATTCCCAAGCCCTCCCTGTGGACCTCTGGAGTGGCTCCTCCAGCCACTGTCGCCGCCCCAAGACCTTCATCACAGGCCTGGCCCGCGGGGGTGGCTTCCCCACTGGTCTGCGGACCTCTAGGCTTTGCCATCTTCTACTCCGTGATTGATGCGGCTGTGGAATTTTCATCTACTGATCATGTCATTCCTCCATTTAGTAAAACAAGCAAACAGAACCTGTCCCTTTGCTTGCAGAAGAGAACGTGAATCTGCATGATGCTCAAGGCCTTCTCCACCAGGCTCTGTTCGCCTTATCTCTAGCTGTTTCTATCCTTAACTGCGCCCTCCCTGCCCTGTGTCCCAAGCTCTTGCTCCACAGCCACCGTTTAATAGCTAATAGCTTTGCTCATGAGACTTCCTTTTGCCATCTCCTCTGCCAGCCTGTTTGTGCAAAACCTTCTCATTCTTCGAAGCCTTGCGCCGTCCAGATTGGCCCAGCTTTTTCCCCAGGCTGAAGGGCCTCCTCGTGCTCCTGAGCAGTGAGTCCACTCGGTTCTGGGATGGCTTATGCGGACGTGCCTGTCTCCATGGTTGTGTTGGGAGCAGGAGCCGTGAGGCGTTTGTTCCCTGCTTCTAACCTGATGGAGCAGGTCCCATGCGCCCAGCGCTGGGCTTCATGCCTGTCAGTGCGCGTGAGGCTGCACGTCACAGAGAGCTCACCTAGTGGGGACATGACTCATGAGGACACAAATAAGAACAGGAAGTCCCAAATGTGCGCTCCAGGTTGTTCGGCTGCCCTGGGATGTAACCCGGAGCTTTCCTCCTCCTCCGCTCTCCTGGAACACTCATATTGACCCGGTCGTGGCACAGTTAGAAGGAGGGGATACCATATCCTCACACAGTGGCACTCAGAAGGAGGAGCAGGGAGCGAGGGGCAGCCAGGGCCCCCCATGCTTGCCTCCCTTCATCAAGGAGGAAGTGTCTTTCCCCGGATTCCCTGCAGACGTGTCCTTACGTTTCAGCATCACCCTGGGTCTCGTCTCCACCTCTCAGCCAATCCTCCGCTTAGGCCCATTTGATGCCTCACTGGGGCTGGGCACACATCCTGCAGACACAGTTGGGGTACCGTGGGCCGGACGCCGGCAAGCAGAGGGTGGAGAATGGATGCTAGGTCGGCAGAAAGGCTGTGGCCGCCAAAGGTGGAGACTGGGAGCAGTGAGAACCCGTGTCTGGCGCTCAGAGTCTGGGTAGAGCAGACATGAGAAAATTGAGTGAAGTGATCCCGGGGTGTGGGGGGCTAACCCCAGGAGCAAACAGGTGGGCGGCTATTGGAAAGAGCAAGCGGAGGAGGTAACTTGAACGGGCTGATGAGGGAAGGCCCCACTGAGAAGAGGTTGCTGAGCTGAAGAGGAGGCCACCAGGCAAGGGCCCGGGGCGCCGCTTAGAGTAGGGTAGCTAGTGGTGGGGTGGAGGGATCCTGAAGGAATTGCTGGGATGGGCTGGCTAAGGCCTGGGGTGGCAGGGGATGCAGAGGAGAGGTCAGCAGGGGCCAGATGGAGCGGGACCAGGGCCATGGTAGGGGACGTCTGAGGTGGCGTGGAGCTTGGGGGCTGGAGAGGGACTCTGGCTGCTGGAGGGAGAATTGTTGGGGGAGGACAGTGCCAGCACGAGGCTGTGACATGACTCAGTTGGGGGTGATGGGGATTGTACTGGGACAACCGTGAGAGAGGTGTAGGGGACAATTAAAAATTCATGATGTGCCTTCGAGGGAGGGGCAGCAGAACTTGGAGGTAGAAATGGAGGGAGAAGGAGAAATCAGGATGAGTCCTAAGTGTTGGGCCTGGGCAGCCGACAAGGACAGACTTGGGCTGGAAATCCAGGTTCTCTTCTGGAGGTGTCAAGAAGAGGATGACTCTTATAATGGCCGGCAGGTGGGGAGCTGGCTGGTCACATTGGGAGCTCTGCAGAAAGATGAGTGACCACCTACTGGTCACATGTGGCTTCCCAATGGTCCACCTGGGGAAGGGCTTGTGGTTCATGGCCTCAGTAAAACTTGTTTAGTCCTAAACGGGTCATGTTAAGAATTCCTTTGTTATTTTTCATGCTTTAAGGCCCAGGAAAGGCCTGGGCAAAACTCTTGGCAGGCTTTTGTTACATCCCAGCCTTTGTATAAGGGGGCCAGCTCTCTCAGCTTTTATTTTTGTTTTAATTTTTTTTGAGATGGAGTCTCACTCTGTCGCCAGGCTGGAGCGCAGTGGCATGATCTTGGCTCACTGCAACCTCCACCTCCCGGGTTCAAGTGATTCTCCTGCCTCAGCCTCCCAAGTAGCTGGGAATACAGGTACGTGGCACCATGCCCAGCTAATTTTTGTATTTTTAGTACAGACGGGGTTTCAGCATGTTGGCCAGGGTGGTCTCGATCTCTTGACCTCGTGAACCGCCCGCCTCGGCCTTCTAAGTGCTAGGATTACAGGCGTGAGCCACCGTGCCCGGCCGGCTTTTAATATTTAACTTCACCACGTGGTCAGTGCTGAAACAGTTGTTATGGAGGCCTGCGTTAGTGAGCCTGGCCTGCCACAAACCCACAAACATCTACCAGTGTGATCTACACCGTTAACAGAATGAAGGAGAAAACGGGGTGATCATCTCCATCGATGCAGGAAAAGCATTGGACGAAATGAAACTCCACCAGGAAATACACCCAACGGGGCAGGCGCAGAAGGAACCCTTTCAACACAAGCAAGGCCTACTGCGGGACACACTTGAGACAGTATCGTCCCCTCCTTCCCAGGCCCCAAAGAAGGACTGGGGCAAGTCCAGCCTGGTGAGTAGCAGAGTTGATGGGGACCCGCACACAGGGCACTGCCGGACAGCAGCAGGACAGCTCGAGAGATCCACGCCGCCCCCATCTCTAGGCTGCTTTTACGCTGATTTTCTGGCTCTTTGCCTACTGTGTGTGTGTGCCATGGGACTTTTCCTTGGCGGGTTCTCAGATCCTCTCTGGGCTGTGTGGGTTCTCAGGGACACCTACTCCTTGGCTGGGCACCGTGGCGTGGACTCACCATGTGGCCTTCAGGGTTCAGGCAGCAGACATATGCCCTTAAGTAACCTGGTGGAGGACCTGTCACAGTACAAGGCCATCTATGAAAACACCACAGCCAACCTCATACTCAACGGAGAGAGATTGGAAGCTTTTCCTCTAAGATCAGGATCAAGACAAGGATGCCTGCTTTTGCCACTTCTCCTCAACATGGTCCTGGATGTTCTAGCCAGGGCAATTAGGCAAGAAAAAGAAGGTCTCCAAGTTGGAAAGGAAAAAGTAAAATGATCTCTGTTTGCCATGCCATGATTTTACATATACACACACACACACACACACACACACACACACACATATATACACACACACACCCCCACACACACACCCCCCACACACACATATATATATGTAAAACCCTAAAGATTCTACACACACACAAAAAAACGGGGAGGTAATAAGTGGATTTGGCAAAGCTGCAGGATACAAACTCCACGCATGAAGCGGTGGCCTGGGGGGAGGAGCTTTGGCCACCCCTCCCAAGCCCACCCTCTGAGGTTCTTGGGAAGTGTTTCTCTGCCTCCATGTCAAAAGGTCCTGCTCACGTCCTGCCCTGGGTGGGGCAGGGAGCCCCAGTGCTCGGGGCCTCCCCAGGATGTTTGGGTTCTCAGGGACACCTGCTCTTGGCTGTGCTCTGTGTCCACACCCAAACGCATCTTGTAGCTCCCATAATTCCCACGTGTTGTGGAAGGGACCCGGTGGGAAATGACTGAAGTGTGGGGACGGGTCTTCCCCGTGCTATTCTCATGATAATGAATGGGTCTCACCAGATCTGATGGTTTTAAAAAATGGGAGTTTCCCTGCGCAAGCTCTCTCTTTGCCTGCCGCCATCCACGTAAGGTGTGACTTGCTCCTCCTTGCCTTCTGCCATGAAGGTGAGGCCTCTCCAGCCACGTGGAACTGTGAGTCCAATTAAACCTCTTTCTTTTGTAAATGCCCAGCCTCAGGTATGTTTTTACCAGCAGAGTGAAAAGGAATGAATACAGCTGGGCAACATGGCCTGGGCTAACCACCTGGCCTTCAGGGTTCAGGCAGCAGACATACACCCCTAAGTAACCTGGCCCTGGGGCCCGGCTGCCCTGGGGCCACACATACTCTCTGCGTTGCTCAACCAACAATGAGTCCTTGAGGGCTGTCTCTGGCAGCTCCGGCCTGAGTGCAGCAGCGAGCTGCTGGCGCTAATCAAGGCACCAGCCTGTCTCTCCACCCTCACTCCCAGACCAGCGGCCAGTGTCACATCTAGAGGATCAAGCTCAACCTCCCCTCCATGGTGACACTTGACACCACCCCAAATGTGCTCCCAGCTATCCCACCGCAGCCTCCTGCTGACCGAAATCAAGACTGTTGAGGCAGAAATAATATTCTTCCTTTTTTTTTTCCCAATGTTTTTTCTTTTTTGACTGCTCTGGCAGAGCAGGGTTACCCCATAGGCAGAGAGTAGCTGAGGCAGAAATACTGTGATCTGGTTTACTGGAAACCGGAAGTGAGGATGAACCCCGGCAGACATGCCAACAAAGGTGGGCGTGTCCTGGGGCCTGCTCCAAGCTGGAAGCCTTTTAGAGGAGAGTGTAGAGGGGGACTCCTCACATTGGAGCTGTCCTTTTCACTGGACGGTACAATACAGAGGTTACAGTCACTGACTGCAGATGACAACATACAGGCTAAAATGTCTGTGAGCAAGACAGTCAGTAAAACTTCCTGGTTTCAGAATCCATCCTTGTCCTTTTTGATGTCTGTGGACTGCACACTAATCAGAATGTCAACAGCCTGAGGAAGTCGTGATAAGATTCTCTACTGAGGGACAGGATGCCGCCAGGAACCACAAGAGCTTCCCCGCCCGGGCAGGTTCATTTGGAAACCCCTTTGCCTTTAAAGTAAACTGCCACATGTGACCCGATAGGTTATCAGCACGCCACAGGGACGGCTTTGAGGAATAATTATTCAGAATGATGCCTTTTTTCTTTTCTCCTTTTAAATCTCCTTGCGAGGTCTGGTCGAGATTTAGCTTCCATGGCTGTTGATACTTGAAGGGAATCAAGCCTTCCCACCAGGCTGGTGCAGGATGAGATGCTGGGCCCCGGCAGGTGCCAGCCCTCTTCTAACACCCATTCTCTAACTCAGTCCTCATAGCAGCCCCGAGATGAAAGCAGTGCTGCTAGGGCTCATTGCTACCACGATCACAGCCGCCCGCAGCTCTCCCCAGCCCCTTCCCTGCCCAGTGGCACCTCATGACTTATTCCTCTGTCTCCCTGTCCCAGGATGTAAAATCAGTGAGGGCAGGAGCTTTTTTTCACACCTATATTCCCTGTACTTGGAACGGTGCCTGATAGATAGTAGGTGCTCAGTACGTATTTGTTGAATAAATGACAATGTCATGAATGAATGCACGAATGATAAAGACAGGAAAACCGAGGTTCAGAGACATTTAGAAACGTACGTATCCAGGGGCTCGCAGAAACAGGGAAGTCAGAATTGGGCCCCAGGTCAGCCGGATCCCCAAACCCACCCTGTTTCCAGTGTCCAGGTTTCTCCACCACAGATTCAGAGATGGGAACTAAGTTGACATCATTGTTGGACCTGTTCCAAATGTCTTGAACTTCTGAGCTAACAAATAATTATTGGAGCAATTGAAGCTGAGGGTGGATTTCATGTTTCCCGGTTCATGCCCTGTGTGATTTAACACGTCTGACGGCTGCAGCGTCGGAACTATCCGCCATGAGCTAGAGGTGCCCCTTGCGTAGCCTTGTCCCTGGTGCCTTGGACACCACGGACAGCCACGAACACCCAGAGAGGATCTGGTCTCCCGCCCCGGGACCACAGTAGGCTCCACACTGGTTTCCCTCCAGCCAGTTTCCCATGGTGTTGCCTGGTCTTTTCAGGGCTCAGATAATGTGATTGTGTCCCACCAGCCACCTCCTGGAAACCCCTCAAAACACCTTCCTGACAATGGGGTAGCCCCAAACTCCTTAGAGGGGGAGACTGCACCTCCCAGGCTGGAGTCCCTTTTGGCCTCCCCATTCCATCTCCTGCAGCCTCCCCCGACAGCCCTGCTCCAGCCATGGGACTGAGGGGACCTGGAATGCTGCTGCCTTAGCCCTGCTCATTCCCAGCCATGGGTCTCGCCCACCCCTCTCCCAGCCAGGTGAGCGCCTGCTCATTCTTCAAAGCGCCTTCTCATTTATTGGTGGAACACTGCTCTAGTGCACACCAGCCCCGTGGGTACAGAGATAAGGACGGCCCGTGGGAGGGTTCGAGGGGCTTTACACCGTCCACAGGCAGACAAGCGTGCATGTATGTGGATGATGGCCGCCTCAGGGAATCACCCGGGGCCTTAGGAACCCAGCCTAGGGCCCTCCATCCTAAGCTGGGGCTGGGTGGCAAAGAGAGACGCCAGGAGGGCTCCTGGAGGAGGAATTCCCCTAAAACCGGGACCCCAGCTTCCTTCACCCGAGAGCCCCCCGATGTCATCAGCTTTGTTCAGGTGCTTGTGTGACGCAATGCTATTAACTCACACCGAACCGAATCCACTCACACCTGTCAGGTATTCGCCCATTCATGCTGATGATGTCTTAGAGCAGCGCCCCCGCCCCATGCTTGTGCTACTGGTTTCTGAACTCTGCACGCTGCCTTGTTCAAGGGTAACTTGTGTGTGTCTGCTCCATAGCATCTGGTGCACCCTTTCGGTCACAGGAAAAGGGGTGGAGACCACTAAGTTCTCACATTGTGCTGGGCACCGTCGGTGACAGCAGACATCACACATCACAGCCCGAGCCCATTGGCCTCACTCAAGGTGCAGACAAATTAGCCCCCTGTTCAGGGCCCAAGGGATACCATGGAGACTTGAGGGGGCACCTTCCTGAAATACCAGTGCACTGCAACCTCTGCCTCCCGGGTTCAAGCGATTCTCCTGCCTCAGCCTCCCGAGTAGCTGGGATTACAGGCATCTGCCACCACGCCTGGCTAATTTTTGTATTTTTAGTAGAGACGGGGTTTCGCCATGTTGACCAGGCTGGTCTCGAACTCCTGACTTCAGGTGATCCGCCTGCCTTGGCCTCCCAAAGTGCTGGGATTACAGGCGTGGGCCACCGCACCCAGCCTCCTTCTAATTTTAAAAAATAAATAGAATATGTGTTCTGGCTTCCACTTAGGATACAGAAAGCTAGAAGGAGCAAAGTTCTCACCATATCTAGAAGAAAGACCCAGAAAATCTGCAAATTTTCTTTATCCATTCATCTGTTGATGGACACTTAGATTGCTTCCAAATTTTGGCTATTGTGGACAGAGCTGCAACCAACATGTAAGGGCAGGTATCTCTTTGATCTACTGATTTCCTTTCTTTGGGGTACAGACTCAGCAGTGGGATTGCTGGATCATATGGTAGCTGTATTTTTAGTTTTTTGAGGAACCTCCATGCCTTTCTCCATACTGGCTGTATGGACCCTCTGCTCTGTTTCATCCATCTCTGTCTATACTTATGCCAATACCATATTGCCTTGATTGTTGTAGCTTTATAGCAAGTTTGGCAGTCAGAGATAGTAAAAAGTCCTCCAATTTTTCAAAATCATTTTGCCCATTTTAAGTCTTTTTCATTTTCATATAAATTTAAAGTCAACTTATCAATTTCCATAAAATGCTTGATGGAATTTTGATTGGGAATACATTAAATCTCTAGATCAATCATGGGAGAACTGACATCTAACAATATTGCAGCTTCTGATGCATACATAAACAGGGCTTATTTCTTCGTTTATTTAGGTCTTCTTTAATTTCCCTCAGTAATGTTTTACAGTTTTTACCTTATAGGTCTTGCACATATTTTGTTAAATTTGTCCCTAAGTTTCTCATCCATTTCGATGCTATTATAAATTATAAATACTTTTACTTTTTTTTTTTTTTTTTTTTTTTTCGAGACAGAATCTTGCTCTGCCACCCAGGCTAGAGTGCAGTGGTGCAATCTCGGCTCATTGCAACCTCCACCTCCCGGGTTCAAGCGATTCTCCTGCCTCAGATGGGATTACAGATACCTGCCACCATGCCTGGCTAATTTTTGTATTTTTAGTAGAGACGGGGTTTCACCATGTTGGCCAGGCTTGTCTCAAACTCCTGACCTCAAGTGATCCGCCTGCCTCGGCCTCCCAAAGTGCTGGGATTACAGGCATAAGCCACTGCGCCCAGCCTATAAATACCATTACTTTAAAAGTTTAATAGCTATTTGTTTGTTACTAGTATATACATATATGATTGATTTTTTGATTGATTTTTAATTGATTTTATATCTTGCAACCTTGTTAAATTCATTTATTAGTTCTAATCGCTTTTTTGCATATTTCTTGCGATTTTCTACATAGACGATCATATTGTCTGCAAGTAAAGCCAGTTTTATTTCTTCCTTTCCTTTTACTTTCTTATGTATGCCTTTATTTATTTTTCTTTCCTTATTCTACTGACTAGGACTTCTAGTGCAATACTGAATAGAGATGGTGAGGATGAGTTCTTTGTCTTGCTCTTGATCTTAGGGGAAAGCATTCAGTTCTTCATCTTTAAGTTTGATGCCACCTGTAGGTTTTTTTGTTTTTTTAGAGACAGAGTCTCGCTCTGTCGCCCAGGCTGGAGTGCAGTGGCGTGATCTCGGGTCACTGCAAACTCCGCCTCCAGGGTTCATGCCATTCCCCTGCCTCAGCCTCCCGCGTAGCTGGTACTACAGGTGCCAGCCACCACGCCCGGCTAATTTTTGTATTTTTAGTACAGACAGGGTTTCACCATGTTAGTCGGGATGGTCTCGATCTCCTGACCTCGTGATCTGCCCACCTTGGCCTCCCAAAGTGCTGGGATTACAGGCGTGAGCCACCGCGCCCGGCCCCAGCTGTAGGTTTTTCAGGGATGTACTTTATCAGGTTGGAGATGCTCCACCTGCTATTGTCCTAGTTTTCTGAGAGTTTTAATCAGGACTGAGTGTTGTCACATGGCTTTTCTGCACAGATGCAAATATTCATGATTTTTCTGTTTAGTGCATTAGCATGGCGAATCAAGTGGCTTTTTTTTTTCGTGGTAAATCAACTTTGCATTCCTGAGATAGAGCCCACTTGGTCATGATTTTTTAAGTGTATTTTTGGATTCGATTTGTTAATATTTTGTTAAGGATATTTTGCATCTGCATTCATGAAGGACAGGGTGATATGGTCCCTTCAACCGTGACACTAACTAGATGGTCAGCTCTGTGGGAAACGGGATTTTGTCTCTTCAGTTCGTCTCTGTGTTCCCAGCTCCTAAACAATGCTCGGCATGTTGTGGGCCCTCGGGGTGTGTCTGCTGAATAAACGATGCATGGGAATAAACCGCAGGCTGCTTCATGCCAGGCAGAATCATGTGAATCATTTATCAGAACCTGTTTCCTGCACCGAAGAGAATGTGGTTCAGGTGTGTTCACAGGCTGTCAGGATGGTTGTTCTAACTCTTAAAGCGGTTCTAACTCTTAAAGGGTGGAGGTGATCTGAAGCTGGAAGAGGAAAGAGAGAAAGAAGGAGCCTGCTTTGGGCAGCGTCACTGCTGTCTTCTAACTCTGGACCCACTTCTCTCCACCAGACGGCTCACTAAACTCCCCTCCCGACTGGGGTTTAGGCAGCTGCAGCACCTCTCCTTACACGGCTGGCGGGTCCTGGCATCCCTGCACCACCTTTGTTCACAATCTCACCACACTGAAGGCAGTGTGGTGTTTCTTCTGTTACACACAGATCCTGAACTCACCCTTCACGCTCTCATTTTCATCACCACTGTGATCCTTAAGTATCCATCGGGCGAATGGCCATGTGGCCACCACTCTGTGCTTGGCACCCCTCATTTCTCTGGTATTTCATATAAGAAATCGTGCTTATGGGCCGGGCGCGGTGGCTCACGCCTGTAATCCCAGCACTTTGGGAGGCCGAGGTGGGCGGATCACAAGGTCAGGAGATGGAGACCGTCCTGGCTAACACAGTGAAACCCCGTCTCTACTAAAAAATACAAAAAATTAGCCGGGCGTGGTGGTGGGCACCTGTAGTCCCAGCTACTCAGGAGGCTGAGGCAGGAGAATGGTGTGAATCCGGGAGGTGGAGGTTGCAGTGAGCCGAGATCACACCACTGCACTCCAGCCTGGGTGACAGAGCGAGACTTGGTCTCAAAAAAATAAAAAAGAAATCGTGCTTATGATTCACTGGCTCACTGCTACGTACTGGGTGCTCATATGCTATTTCTTTAGATTAAGTAAACTATGATGCTTCTCAGAGACAGATGTTTTCTTTTTCTTTCTTTTTTTTTTTTTTTTAGATGAAGTCTCGCTCTGTTGCCCAGGCTGGAGTGCAGTGGCACGATCTCGGCTCACTGCAACCTTCACCTCCTGGGTTCAAGCAATTCTCCTGCCTCAGCCTCCCGAGTAGTTGGGACTACAAGTGCACACCACCACACCTGGCTAAATTTTTTTTTTGGTTTGTATTTTTAGTAGAGACAGGGTTTCATTGTGTTAGCCAGGATGGTCTCGATCTCCTCACCTTGTGATCCGCCTGCCTCGGCTTCCCAAAGTGCTGGAATTACAGGCGTGAGCCACCGTGCCCAGCCGACAGATGTTTTCATAGTCTGGAAATCGAGGCGCGCTCACTGGCCAAAGTGTGCAGTGGACAGGGTCTGGGCTGTTTCTCTTGTTTGTGCTGCTCCTCCTCAGAATGGCCAAACCCTGTAGCTGTGTCCTGTGCTCTGGTCATTGGCCTGTCTGGCCGCCCTCAGTAACATCACCACTGATATGGTTTAGCTGTGTCCCCACCCAAATCTCATCTTGAATTATAGCTCCCATAATTCCCTCATGTTGTGGGAGGACCCAGTGGGAGATAATTGAATCGTGGGGGCAGTTTCCCCCATACTGTTCTCGTGGTAGTGAATAAGTCTCACGAGATCTGATGGTTTTATAAGGGGAAACCCTGTTAGCTTGATTCTCATTCTTTCTTGCCTGCTGCCAGGTAAGATGTGCCTTTTGCCTTCTGCCATGATTGTGAGCCTCCCTCCTCCCGGCCCTAGCCATGCGGAACTGTGAGTCCATTAAACATCTTTTTCTTTATAAATTACCCAGTCTTGGGTATGTCTTTACTAGCAGTGTGAAAACCGACTAATACAACCGCCAAGGCTCAGTCCCCATCCCCGCCGCCGGTCAGGCCTCCTGCAGGTATCTGTCGTGGTCCCACCCAAGCTGCCCTCTGTCAACAGCTCCTGGGCTGGGATGCTGTCTCGCCGGCAGCCAGGGCGATGTTCCTCTCAGCCCCCCATGCCGTTCACAAGAAAATCCTCAGCATTTCTAAAATCTGTTATTTCATGGTATTTTCAAACTGGCATAAAGGTTGCAAGAATGGTACAGAGACGCCTCATATACCTTTCCCCGATCACCCATTTTAAAGCCTTCTCCCACATTTCACTTTTGCCATTCCTGTTCTTAGGATTTGAATTTCTGATTCTAGTTGTTTCTTTTTATATATCTCCAAGTGCCTGTGTTAAGATATCTAATTAGTCTGAAGGGCTG
Source organism: Homo sapiens (assembly GCF_000001405.40). Classification (NCBI taxonomy): domain Eukaryota; kingdom Metazoa; phylum Chordata; class Mammalia; order Primates; family Hominidae; genus Homo; species Homo sapiens. The sequence goes on along the minus strand of NC_000017.11, from coordinate 78,659,357 downwards.
AATTACAGCTTTCTTCTATTGCATGGTTGATTTTGGGGCGAGGGATAGGGTGGGGTGGGGGGGGATCTGAAGTGCTTTGTTTCAGGTTTGTTTTTTTTCTTTCTTTCTTTTTTTCTTTTTTTCCAGACAGAGTTTCACTTTTGTTGCCCAGGCTGGAGTGCAGTGGTGTGAACTTGGCTCACTGCAACCTCCGCCTCTCAGGTTCAAGCGATTCTCCTGCCTCAGCCTCCCGAGTAGCTGGGATTACAGGCATGCGCCACCATGCCTGGCTAATTTTGTATTTTTAGTAGAGACGGGGTTTCTCCATGTTGGCCAGGCTGGTCTTGAACTCCCGACCTCAGGTGATCCACCCGCCTCAGCTTCCCAAAGTGCTAGGATTAGAGGCGTGAGCCACTGCGCCTGGCCTTCTATTTTGTGTAGAGTTGCTCCTGACCACTCCTGGCCACCCCCTTCATCACTCATTCATTCATCTAATGTTGACTGGGAAGAATGTTGAGTCTCCTAGACCCAGAAGCCAAAAGTACTGTCAGGCTTGAATCCTCTTGAGTCTTCCTCTCCTGCTGCGCCGTCTCCATGATCCCCGTCAGGAGGAACGTGGCAGCCTGTTAGTCTTCCTCTCCTGCTGCGCCATCTCCACGATCCCCGTCAGGAGGAACGTGGCAGCCTGTGGCCCGTGAGCAGCTGCACTTGGGGGCTGGGGCCATTCCAGGGCACCCGGATCCGGTGACTGCATATGAGGCTCCTGAATCTCATGTTTTCCTAAACTTTCCAAAATCAACAACAGGTGCCTGCCAGAAGGACGTTACTCGAATGAACAGACTACTGTTGGTGAGCAAATACAAAAGCATGTTTTTTGTGTTATTCCAATGGCATGACGCAGAGTCTTGAATACGGAGAAGTAAAGTGCTCCGGAGGGGCAGTGTGGCGGGGGCCGAGCCTCCTCGCCTGCCCTCCATGAGCTGTGCTGAACAAGTGGGGTGACCTCCCACCCTCCTGCAGGACCATGTTCTCTCCCTGGCTGGTCTCCTGGGCTCCAGCCTTTGGGCAGGGCTAGCCTCGGCCCTCACCCCTGGGTGACTATGTTGCCGGCTTTGGCCCTCACTATCTCTACACAGACCTTGCCCATCACACCCTGGAGGGCAGCAGCTTCACCCTTTACCGTTTGAATAAGGCCTCACTCAAGTGGCTGGACAGTAAGAGGCTCTCAGGGTCAGACCTGTGCAAAGGTGTCCTCACTGGAACTCTGCTTCCTGTGAAAGCAGCCCCCTGGGAGCTGGAGAAAAGTGGCCAATGTGGGAAGATACCGGATGCCAGGGCCAGGACTGACCCTGGGCTCAATTTTAAATTTTGATATTCACCTGTCTGTCACCTCCATGGTTTTGGTCCTTCTGGTTGGAGACGTCCTTGGTGAAGGAACTGGTGAGTGTTGGCCCTCAAGTTAGGAAACTTCAAGTCTGTCTCCCCTTGTGGCCTTCCGAGTCCCTCCTGCACACATCCACCTGGTGCCTTCCTGATTCTCAGGGTGCCTGGGGCAGAGCTTTGGCTTCCCCTACCTGAGCTCACACGTTGGTGATGGAAAGGAGGACCCCTTTTCTCCACTTGAGATCAGATCACAGCATTCGTGTTATCACAGTGAGGGCTCAAAAAATGCAACACAGAAAACATTCGGACCAGGAAGGGGGAGATCCAGATACATTTAGAAAGCAAGGACTCCAGCTAACATGCGTCAGAGTCAGGCCCATTATGGAGAACGTGGTCTCTCTCCTTCTTCTTCTACAAGCTCCCCTCTGCCCCGGTACATGCACACACACCCACCCACAAACTCCCCCATCCCCCCAAGACTTGACTCCTGTTTTCAGCGCACTTTTTTCTAACTAATAATCTAAATTTAAGAATCGGCTGAGCATGGTGACTCACGCTTGTAATCCCAGCACTTTGGGAGGCCAAGGGGGGTGGATCACCTGAAATTAGGAGTTCGAGACCAGCCTGGCCAACATGGTGAAACCCCTTCTCTACTAAAAATACAAAAAATTAGCTGGGCATGGTGGCAGGCACCTGTAATCCCAGCTACTCGGGAGGCCGAGGCAAGGAGAATCGCTTGAACCCTGGAGGCAGAGGTTGCAGTGAGCCGAGATCACACCATTGCACTCCATCCTGGGCAACAAGAGTGAAACTCCGTCTCAAAAAATAATAATAATCTAGGACAGAATAGTCTTTTCTGAATTACGGACTATAAAATCATCTTGGCCAGGCACGGTGGCTAATGCCTGTTATTCCCAGCACTTTAGGAGGCAGAGGCAGGAGGATTGCTTCAGGCCAGGAATTCAAGACCAGCCTGGGCAACATAGTGAGACCCCCCCCCGCCATCTCTAATTTTAAAATATTAAAATAATCATCCTATTGGCAAATGCCAGTCAGAAGGAAAATCTGCACCAGAATGCAAGAGGCTCAAATATGTGTGTAAAATCTGTCTGGTTAGTGGTGACAGGAAGTGGCAATAGCACCAGGTGCTGGGGAATGGCCTGTGCGTGGCACTCGCTGGAACAGGGTATGCTGGGCTAGGAGTCTGGGGGCAACGTCTCAGTCCACAAGACGTCACACTTGGAGGACATAGGGACTTGGTGGCTGCAGTTTTTCACATTTGGGAGAATGGAACACGGGACAGATGATGGGGACAGGGGGACACGAGGGTCAGGCCGAAACCAGGTCAGGCTGCGCAGTCAGCCCTCCTGCTTCTATTTTTTTTTTTTTTTTTTTTTTGAGATGGAGTCTCACTCTGTCACCCAGGCTGGAGTGCAGTGGCGCAATCTCGGCTCACTGCAAGCTCCACCTCCTGGGTTCACGCCATTCTCCTGCCTCAGCCTCCCAAGTAGCTGGGACAACAGGTGCCTGCCACCACGCCCGGCTAATTTTTTTGTAATTCGTATTTGTATTTGTATTTTTAGTAGAGACGGGGTTTCACTGTGTTAGCCAGGATGGTCTCGATCTCCTGACCTCGTGATCCGCCCGTCTCAGCCTCCCAAAGTGCTGAGATTACAGGCATGAGCCACTGCGCCCAGCCTATTTTTTAATTTTATTATTTTATTTTTTTCTGAGACAGAATCTCACTCTGCTGCCCAGGCTGGAGTCAATTGGCATGATCTTGGCTCACTGTAACCTCTGCCTTCCAGGCTCAAGCGATTCTCATGCCTCAACCTCCTGAGTAGCTGGGTCTACAGGTGTCTGCCACCAAGCCTGGCTAATGTTTTTGTATTTTTAGTAAAGACGGCATTTCACTATGTTGGCCAGGCTGGTCTCGAACTCCTGGCCTCAAGTGATCCTCCCACCTCACCCTCCCAAAGTGCTACGATTACAGGTGTGAGCCACTGCACCCAGCCAGCCTGCCTGCTTTTAGAGCCCTCCTGGTGTTAGGTGTTTAAGGAGAGCAGGTGCACCTAAAAGGGAAGCATGGGGAGTGGGGGAATAACATGGGGCCATGAGTGGATGGCAGAGTGGGGAGTGGTAGGGAAGGGCCGGGAAGGGCTGGGTTGGAAACTTCCAGGGAAATACAGCACATGACCCTTAGAGGTGGCTCATGATGGGGGAGCTCCAGCACCGATGACATGAGTGTTCAAGGGCTGTTGCTGACCACCCCTCAACCCCGCCCACCATTTGCCTCTCCTGCATGGAAGGTACTTAGCCAAGGAGAAGGCAGGCTTTTCTGAGGTGGTTGAGATTTCTGCCAAGGTCAAGCCTGCCCAGAGGATGCAGCTTAGAGGCGACACTACCTTCTGAGACCCTTGAACGGTTCACAACACAGAGACTTCCATGGGGTTGATATTGACACATCAGGCCCCTGATGTAAATTTACAGGAACATTCACCTGGCAGAGGCTGGTGTGGCTGGAGCATCCCATGCTGTGTGGATTTCATCAGATCACATGGATGCACGTGCACACAACATTTTGCCCACAAGGTTAGTGATCAACAGGCCCCTCACGCCAGTCTACGGACTGCAGGTTGTGTGACAAAGTCACACTCTTCACATGTATTTGGAAAGGGGGGGGTTTTGGAACAGCATCCAACATGGCAATATGAAATTGATCTTATCTCTTCCTACACGGATTTCCTGGGCGTGGTGGCTCACGCCTGTAATCCCAGCACTTTGGGAGGCTGAGGCAGGTGGATCACCTGAGGTCAGGAGTTTGAGACGAGCCTGGCCAACATGGTGAAACCCTGTCTCTACTAAAAATACAAAAATTAGCTGGGTGTGCTGGCATGCGCCTGTAATCCCAGCTACTTGGGAGGCTGAGGCAGGAGAATTGCTTGAACCTGGGAGGCGGAGGTTGGAGTGAGCTGAGATCGGGCCACTGCACTCCAGCCTGGGTGACAGAGTGAGACTCCATCTTAAAAAAAAAAAAATCTAATTTAAGTGGGAGTTTAGGGGAAACCCCATTGATACAATCATATCTGCTGGTGAAGAACTTTCTCTGAATAAATGGATTGATTGTGGAAATGCAGAAAGAAGTCACTTTCCCTGCGGTTCAAATGACAATCTGATAAAGAGTCTTAAACACAGATAAACCTCTAAAGAGCTGTTGAAAGACAGGGAGGGGTAAAACAAGAATGCAGGGTTATCCCATTTCCCCCCAGGAGACCCTCATTAGTTAATTTAGTTACTGAAGTTGCATCTGACACAGCATTTTGGTCATAAAGAGTTCATTGTTTTAGGCTCCTGCTATTGGCTACTTTGGTGGGAATGCTGACTAAGTAAGTCTTGGATGCTTGAAAGTTGGTTCAGGTTCATGAAGATGAGGACATTGCATAATTGTCCTGTCAAAATATTGCAAATGTCTAAGAAGTTATCTCTGTCAACTTTGCCAATGAACACATGACTCCAAGATTGAGTGAGGAAGTGCTCTCAGAATGGGGTGAAGAACAACCGTGTGTGTGTATGTGTGTGTATGTGTATCTGTGTGTACGTGTGTAGGTGTGTATCTGTGTGTGTATGTGTATGTATGTGGGTTTGTGTGTGTAGTATGTGTGTGTGTATGTGTGTGTGTCTTCCCAAGACTTGTGCCTTTACTAGAGAATGAAACGCAGTAAAGTTCACGTAAATTTGTAGCTAGCCTTGAAGAGGACTCAAATATAACAGAAGAGACAAGTGAATCCATTTGGTCCAATTCAACAAATACTCATGCACCCATGAGGTTTCAGGGTAGTGTGCGGGATGCTGGGTATACAGGGAGGGACGGCATGTGCCCCCAGCCTCAGGGCACACACGTGAAGCTAGAGGAAACAAGACTTATAAAAGCAGTGTCTTCAGGGCCAATTTCAAATCAGCCTAGATGTTTTAGTCTATTTCGGTTGCCGGTATATGTGTGTTTTTTAAATCAAGTGTTTATGGTCCCCTTCACATGATCATTCACTGCACAAATAAAATTATCCTTAAGGTTAATTATCCTGAAATCTGTATGAATACAACAGTCTAATTCACCTGCAAATCCTTTCTTGATCGAGGATGGAGAGACGGTGGTTTTGAAAGAGCGTGGAATAATATGTGCAGGTGGAGTCCAAGTGAGCTAGGGACATCCCTAATGTGTGGGGTCCTGCCTTGTCTGAATGTCCCCCTAATGCAGGATGACAGGCTGGGTGGTGGCCATAGTGTGACTGAAAGGCGCGTATCCCAAGGCTAGCTGTTGATGGAGTCAATCCAGTGGCAACAGGTTGTCCTAACCCAGCTTAACTCCAAGGCAGCTTGTGCTGAAAGCTGCATAGAAGCCTGAGCTCTTCTACTTCCAGCCTCAAGACAGTGAGTCAATGAGCTTGACTTTCTGCCAAATTAAACTGGACAAATAGCCCAGACACCGTGGCTCACGCCTGTAATCCCAGCAATTTGGGAGGCCGAGGTGGGGGATCACTTGAGCTCAGGAGTTCAAGACCAGCCTGGTCACCATGGTGAAACCCTGTCTCTACTAAAAAATACAAAAATTAGCTGGACATGGTGGTGCATGCCTGTAATCCCAGCTACTCGGGAGGCTGAGGCATGAGAATCACTTGAATCTGGGAGGCGGAGGTTGCAGTGATTGAGATCGCGCCACTGTACGCCAGCCTGGGTGACAGAGCGAGACTGTCTCAAACAGACAAATAAACTGGACAAATATAAGAGGTAAATGTTTTCAGGTATTGGACAACAGACAGCACGGGACTGTGATTTTTGAGAGCAGAGAATCACATGAGCTGAAGCTCCCGTGACTGCCTCTGACTTGCAGCCACTTTTGTGTCACAGTTGAGGAGGAAGAGACCGAGCGGAGTGGTGCAATCGCTGAGCTAAGATGGAAGAGGCCAGAGTGCTGGGCTGTCAAAGTGGCTGAAGTTTACAAATGAGAATCCCAGAGAAAAACGGGTAGCTCTAGAAGTCCACAGCAACACTCATCACAGGTCTTTGTTCAAGAGCTGAGCTGTATGGGGTAGGGCAAGACTCCATGAGGCCCAGCAGAGATTGCCTGTTCCAGGGCTGAGGGCCAAACGTGATACTGGAGGTCTTGATGTACTGGGGAAGAAGAGGTGCTTCAGCCCAGCCAGGATGAAGAGACCTCGCATTCAGGTGTGACCCCAGAAAGGTCCAGTCTTAGAGGAACTATTTCCTAGGACTATGTTCAAGACCAAAATAGCCCTGCCCTAGCCAAGAATAAAGCAAACCAGATGGGACCAAAGAGCCTTCCAGTCATCAAACTACCTGCCAGACAACTCTCACAACTCTGTAAAGGAGGACAATCTAATTCAGATTGGCTACACTATATTATCCATACTTTCCAATATATAATACAAAATAACTAGATGTGCAGAAACACAAAAATGCAACTCATAATCAAGAAAAAATAGCAAGTAAAAACAGAGCCCAAGATGACCCGATGTAAAGACTGGCAGACAAGGACTTTCATGCAGATTATATGAATATATGACCAGTTGTTTAACAAAGTCACCAAGGCAATACAATGGGGAAAGGAAAGACTTTTCAACAACTAGTACTGGAAAAATGGAATAAACACATGGGAATATTTAATTTGTTTGTTTATTTATTTATTTTGAGACAGGGTCTCACTCTGTCACCCAGGCTGGAGTATAGTGGCGCAATCATGGCTCACTGCAGCCTTGACCTCCATGAGTTCAGGTGATCAATCTTCCCACCTCAGCTTCCTGAGTAGCTGGGACCACAGGCACACATCATCACACCCAGCTAATTTTATATTTTGTAGAGACAGAGCTTCACCATGTTGCCCAGGATGGTCTTGAACTCCTGGGCTCAAGTCATCTGCCTGCCTCAGCCTCCTACAGTGTTAGGATTCCAGGTGTGAGCCACCGCACCCGGCCAACAAATGAAAATAATTGAACCTCAACTACTACTACATTATGTGCAGAAAAATTATTTTGAGATGGATTATAGACCTAGCTCCAAACCTTAAACTATGAAACTTCTAAGAGAAAACATAGAAGAATATCTTTATAACCTTTGGAGTAAGCAAATATTTCTTAGAGAACAGACAAAAATTTCATAAAAGAAAAAAATTAATGACTCAGACATAAACCACAGTGTGGGGGAAAATATTTGTAAAATATTTTCTGTCCACAGAGTGAAAATGATATCTCATGCAGTTTGGATGTGTATCTGCCTGACTCCTGGAGATGGTGCATATTCTTTTATGTTGACTTAAATTTTTTTTTCTGTGAATTGCCAATTCATGCCCTTTGACTATTTTTCTATTGGTTTGTCCTTTTTTAAAAATCGATGTTTAGGTGCTTATGTTAAGTAATATGAAACCTATGCTTACATGTGTACTACAGATATTTTTCTAAGTATAATATTTGTCTTTTGATTACATTTGTTATGTTTTCCAAAGTTTTAATTTCATAGGATCAAATATGTTCATTTTTCCTGTGTAGTTTTTGTGTGTTCTTTGTTGTTTGATTTTGAGATGAAGTCTCCCTCTGTCACCCAGGCTGGAGTACAATGGTGTGATCTCGGCCCCCTGCAACCTCCACCTCCCGAGTTTAAGAGATTCTCCTGCCTCAGCCTCCCAAGTAGCTGGGATTACAGGTGCCTGCCACCAAGTCCAGTTAATTTTTGTATTTTTAGTAGAGATGGAGTTTTGCCATGTTGGCCATGCTGGTGTTGAACTCCTGACCTCAGGTGATCTGTCTGCCTCAGCCTCCCAAAGTGCTTGGATTACAGACATGAGCCACCATGCCTGGCCTAGTTTTGTGTCTTATTTAAGGAGATTGTCTTTATTCCAATATTAATAATTCCCTGAATTTTCCTCTAATTTTTAATTTTTTTAACCTTTAGATTTCTAACTTATCTAAAGTTTATTTTTAGATGGAAGGGATTTAAGTTTATTTTGCTCCAGGAAGGTAATTGATAATGCCAACACAATTCATTAACTAAATCTTCCTTTTTTCATTCAGTTGAGATACCACTTTTATCATGTATTAAATTCCCATACATTTTTGAAATTACTTCTTTTCTTGTGCCAAGAATACTCTTTTCATTTCAGTAGCTTCTAAAGGAGCTATTAATAGCTGGTGAATGAAACCTCCCTTGCTATTCCTCAATTTCTAAATGTTCTTAGCTATTCTAAGACATTTATTCTTTCTGATAAGCATTAAACATATTTTGTCCTGTTTAAAAAGCATAGTCAGGGAGCATGGGCTCGAGCCCCCTGTGCTTCCAGTGCTTCCTTGGAAGAACAAGAATAAATTAATGAGAGGTGCTTCTTACCTCCAGGGCACTCCCAGTGCCTGGCACGCATCAGGCTGGGTGTTTGTTGAATGAATGCACAGTTGACTGCTGCATCCACCCCACGACCTTAACACACACCATCAGCCTTGGAAGCAGAACTCCGGGACAGATCCGACGTGGCCACTGTCAATAGCCTTGAAAGCAGGAATGTTTGTCTCCGGTAAATAGAGAAGTGGCATCAGAGGGACAAGCTCCTCTGAAGTGTCAGGTGATTTCCCAAAGGATCATTTGTGGGGAAATATTTAGGGAGCTCTAATTTGGAAGTCCTGTTTTCCCCCCAAATACCAGGACTCCTCCCCATGCTCAGGGGGAAAACTCTACTGCAAGACCTCCCGTTTCCAGCTGACCAGCAGCCCAGAGAGCCTCCTCCCTGCACAGAAGGGCTCAGGGCAGAGTCCTTTTTCCCGTCATTGGCTGCAATGCATTGAGGAGGACCCCAAGGCAGGGCCTGCGCATCTGAACTGCCTTGGACTCTGGGGCGCCCTCACTGGAGCTCCCCTCCTGGAACCCATTTCCTCCAGGAGAAACCTTGAGAATGAAGACGGGGTCTAAGGCGTGTGAGTCCAGGGGGGCCCCTTGCTACCTCAAACTGAGAAGTAAAATCTCAAACTAAATATATGACCAGCTTAATTATGTTTATCACCTGCATAAATGTCTCTTGAAAGAAATCTTATGTCTTTGCAGTCTGTGAAGGTGTTCTTGCCTGTCTGGAACAAGAAAAGAAGATAAACATGTAGTAAAATATAGGGAAACTTGATTGAAGAACTAGTGCATTTTAACTTTGGTGACTTTTTGCAAAGCCAGATCTGAGAAGGAAAAAAAAAAAAAAGAGTCCTGCTGATGTTGGGTCCCTCCCAGAGCTCTCTTTCTTCTCCGTCAACCAATAGTTGTTTTTTCACACTGTGTGTAAAGAGAATTTAAGAAATTCTTCTGTCATTTAAGACTTGACGACCAGAAGGAATTCCACTATCTCCCTGAAAATAATTTCTCCTCGTCTGTCAATGACATCATGATTAACCTAATTTCCCAAGTTAAGTCATTTCTTCCTTTCTTCCACAAATATTTATTAAGTGCCTTCTAGGTATCAGGCATTGTTCTAAGAATGGCAGCAAAGCCGTGAATAAAATAAAATCCCTCCCCTCATGGAGCGTATAGACTAGAACGGGAGAGAAGGACAATGTACAAATTGATATGGTTTGGCTGTGTCCCCACCCAAATCTCATCTTGTATTACAGTTCCCATAATCCCCACGTGTCCTGGGAGGGACCCAGTGGGAGGTAATTGAACCATGGGGGCCGTTACACCCATGCTGTTCTCGTGATAGTGAGTTTTCATGAGATCTGATGGGTTTTTTGTTTGTTTGTTTTTGTTCTTTTTTTTTGAGACAGAGTCTCGTTCTGTTACCCAGGCTGGAGTGCAATGGTGCAATCTCAGCTCACTGCAACCTCCACCTCCCGGGTTCAAGCGATTCTCCTGCCCCAGCCTCCCGAGTAGCTGGGATTACAGGCACGTGCCACCATGCCCGGCTAATTTTTTTGTATTTTTAGTAGAGATGGGATTTCACCATGTTAGCCAGGATGGTCTCGACCTCCTGACCTCGTGATCCGCCTGCCTCGGCCTCCTAAAGTTCTGGGATTACGGGTGTAAGCCACTGCACCCTGCCGATCTGATGGTTTTATAAGGTGTTTTTCCCCTTTTGCTCAGCACTTCTCCTTCCTGCCACCATGTGAAGAAGGACATGTTTGCTTCCCTTCAGCCAGGATTGCAAGCTTCCTGAGGCCTCCACAGCCCTGCGGAACTGTGAGTCAATTAAACCTCTTTTATTTATAAATTGTCCAGTCTTGGATATTTCTTCATGCAGTGTGAGAACAGACGAATACACAAATAAGAAAATAAAAATAAGAGATGGAGGTCACATTTCTAAGCTATGTCTGGGAGCATATATGGGGACTGGGGGTTTTCTTCCCAGCTAGCTGTTATCTGATCCAAGTAACCATTTAGGGAAAAACACTTTGAAAATCGGTTGGAGCCCCTTGCCAGAGTGTGGCTGTGGTTGACCAATTATGATGAATCCGCATTTCTTGGACAGGGTTCCGAGTGATGCTGTTTGCTGTTCGAGGGGCTTGTGCAGAAAGAGCGCTTGGAAGAGCAGCTGCCACAGCTGGTGTGGGCAGGAAGCAGGTCTTTGGGCCAGAAACCTTTCTCTCAGTGGCCCTGGCAGGCCTGTGTTCTTGCATCTTCTGGGGCTGCCCCTGGGCATCTGCCTTCCAACTGAACTGACCTCAGCCTTGGAGCCTCTGTGATTCTGTGTTCAGCCTCGGCCTTGCTGCAGTCCGGGCCATCTTTCTCTTACTCCTTATCATGTCAACCCTGCTCCACACTGGAATGGTCAGATGCTAAGATGCTCTTCAGAGCTCAGTCACAAAAAACTTAATGTCAGTCTGCATCCTTGCCCGGCTTCCTTCTGACTCCACAGCTCCACGGTGACAGCAGCAAGGGCCAGTTGGGAACAAAGTGTGGGCAGTTGACAGGCACTGGGAATAGGGACAGGGGCTCTCCCTGGAATTGTCCCTCCTCTGGCCCATCCCTCTGCATCTTGATGTTACATTTCCCTGGGCAGAGTGAGCGGGTAGGGTGTATTTCTGAAAAAGCAGCAATTTACCCTTTCTTTGTACTTTTCAGAATCCCTGGTGGACTCTCGCATTTGGTGGCATTACCTGATTATCTGTGTGCCCACCATGTAGCTCCTGGGCTCTCTGCCCACGGCTTGTTCTACATCAGAAAGAGAAACTGCAATGACCCCCTCCCTGCCCTCCGGAGCCTCCTTCACCATCGAGGTGGCTTGGAAAACCCAGACGTAAAAGCTTTAAGGCAGAAGGGGGAAAGCACTGCGGTAATAAGGATGAAACTGCCCCCAGCAGGTGCTGGCAAAGTCAGCTCTCGGGGCCTTGTTCTTCCCGTTTGATCACTGCTTCTCAGCCCTCTCCTCCTCCCACCTCTGCACCCACCCTGCCTCTCTCTCCTCTCTATGGTCTTTGTTTTCCTCCCTCCCCTTCCCCAACACACATCCATGCATGTTCACACACATAGATAAAGGTCTTGCCTTTCAAGGCATTTAAAATAAAGTTGGAAGAAATATATGTATAGTGTAAAGAACACTTCTATGTCTGGATTTGCTTGTTAACATTTTGCCCCATTCGCTTTATCGTTTGTGTGTGCGTCCTCTCTTGCTCTGAAGCATTTGAAAAGTTGCTTACGTACCTCAGACCTTTGGCCCTAACAGTTTTGGGCATATTTCCTAAGAAAAGGGATATTCCCTTATGTAACCACTGTACAGTCATCAATGTCAGCAGATTGAACATGGACACAATACTTCCGTCTGATCGGTTTTTGTTTTTTTTTTAGACAGAGTCCCACTCTGTCGCCTAGGCTGGAGTGAAGTGGTACAGTTTCAGCTCACTGCAACCTCCGCCTCCTGGGTTCCAGCAGTTCTCCTGCCTCAGCCTCCTGAGTGTCTGGGATTATGGGCACCAGCCACCAGGCCTGGCTAATTTTTTTTGTAATTTTAGTAGAGATGGGGTTTCGTCATGTCGGCCAGGCTGGTCTCTAACTCCTGACCTCAGGTCGATCCACCTACCTTGGCCTCCCAAAGTGCTGGAATTATAGGCTTGAGCCACCGTGCCTGGCCAGATCTGCTGTTTGAATTCAAATCTTGTGGGTTGACACAATGAAGTCATTCATAGCCTTCCTCCGAGCCTGGGGTCCAGCCCAGGGTTGGGCAGGACCCTGTTCTCTCTCTTTAGCCTTCTTCAGTCGGGAACATCCCAACATCCCACAGCCTTTCTTTTCTTTTCTTTTCTTTTTTTTTTTTTGGAGACAGAGTCTCACTCTGTTGCCCAGGCTGGAGTGTAGTGGTGTGATCTTGGCTCACTGCAACCTCCACCTCCAGGGTTCAAGCGATTCTCCTGTCTCAGCCTCCCAAGTAGCTGGGATTCAGTCGTGTGCCACCATGCCCAGCTAATTTTTGTATTTTTAGTAGAGACAGGGTTTCACCATGTTGGTCAGGTTGGTCTCGAACTCCTGACATCAGGTGATCCGCCCACCTCAGCCTCCCAAAGTGCTGGGATTACAGGCGTGAGCCACCGTGCCCGGCCCCGACAGCCTTTCTTTTTAAAGAATACTCCCCTCCTTTGATAATGGATGGCCCTTCATTTGGGGTTTGTCCTGTGTTTCCCCACGAGTAGACAGAGGTTTTGACTCTTTGGCCGGGACCCCATGCTGGGGGTGCTGGCCCAACTCTGAGCGTCCCCTCTAGGGCCCTCCAGGTCCCACCACCCTTCGCTAGGGACATCACTGTCCACCACCAATGAAGGTGTGCCCAACTTCTCCACTGCAGAATCGCTGTTTCTTTTTCCTCCCTGCAACTGAGGAGCAGCTGGGGAGGGGCTTTCCGATGACGCCGTTTCCCGTCAGAACATCCTCCTGGCCACACCTCCCCGGATGAGTCCCGCCTGCCGCACCCTTCACCCTTCCGAGGGTTTCACATCCTCTTTTCTCCCAGGAGTCGGACAACCATGTGCTGCTGACCTCAGCAGGATAATCATGACCTAAGCTGTTCTTCTGGGGGTGAACTTCCTTAGGAAGTTTTCCCGACATTGATACACTCCCTGATAAACACTGCAGAGAAGAGCAGGGCTGGCCAGGGCTGACTCGCCTGGATTGTCTAAAATATGACAGTGGTTCACGGAGTGGGGCTCTGTGCATTCGTTAAACGCTATCGGCAGTTTTTCAGACTTTGCATGCATTGTGTATTTACTAAACTTTGGGGACAAGCTCAGTGATATCACTCCCTTAAAGCTGGTCCTTGGTCCCCGCTGTTAACCTGCCTGGATGATGCGCGCAGGTGAGGAGTTTCTGGTGCTCTCAGTTCTGCAGGTGCGGATGGAATCGTTACTCTGAGTCCCCTCCCTGCAGGGGCGCTGCCTATTAAAGAGCATTCCCTACCAGCCACTCACCTTCTCCGCAAGCTGCACACTTTCATATCCCCTGCCTTGCCTCTTCTGTGGCGAGGCAACGATAACGTCGTTGAATGGCTTGTTAATGGTGTTTTCACTAAATGCATCAGAGATACGAGTATTACCCACCATGATGATTCACTCGGGAACGCGTAGGGCTGCCCATAACTGAATGGCCACCAGTGGTGGTTTGGGCAGATAGAGATGTGTTTTTCTCTATGACAAAGAGGCACGTGTTTCAGCTGCCCCTACCGTTGCCACAGAGGCTGTCATCCTCCTGAAGGCCCACCATGGCGGTGCGATGACCTGGGCGGCCCAGGAGTGGGTCTGCATTCAGGGCAGGAGAAGGGATGTGATGGAGACCGTGCCATCTGCATCTGTCCCTTTTAGTAAGGAAGTGTGTGCTTTCCCACAGGCTCATCTCAGGGCCTCCCCTGGACTTGGCCTTCCTAGAATCATGAGTGAAGGATGCAGCGGGGAAGGGCTTGGGCACGGCGTCGAGTCTCCTGATCTGTAACACCTGCTGACCCGTCAGCTTCATTTACTGTTCAGCTACGCTGGCCACTTTCCAACCGCTAGGTAGACGCAGAAGTTAATGGCTCCTGGTGGATCCATAAATAGCTATGGTCTGATATTAGAGAATAAGACACAGGCAGACTCATAGATGGCTGGCATCCTTTCTTCCCCTTCACTAGTCTGCACTCCTGACGTTCCATCTGCGGCTTGGGGAGAAGACGGGTGATGGTGTCTCATCCCATAAAAAGAGGCCTGCTAATCCCAGTAGAACAACCCAAGGCACCGCACTTTAAAAAGCAACGACCCAATTTTGATGTTTTGGAAAAGAAGAAAGCCAAGTTGCCCTTATTTAGAAGTTAGGAGCAGCTGTCACAAAACAGTTTCATGCACGCGGCAGGAGAAGAAATAGGGTTTACAAGGTAAGGCACAGCGGGAAAACGCACGCGGGGGACAGCCCCACATATCCCCCATCTGCCCTGCGGCTAGCTCCTCTCTCTAGCTTCTCCCCTGCTCTGTGCGTGTCTCATGGGGTCTCCCAGCTGGAGATGGGGAAGGAAAGGAGGAGAGAGGGGCTGGCTACTTATTCCTCAGCCCCTCCCTGTTGGCTCGAGGTGGTCTCCTGCACCCCTGACCAGAGGCCTGGGCTCCATGCAGCACTCTCCACACAGCTTGGTCCTGGTAGATGCTCCCTCCCTTGCCCTGCAGGCCCAGCCGTGCTAGTGGTTTCCTGCTCTTCTGGCCCTGTCCTGCACTCTCCCTCTGTGGTCTCTTTCTTTTTTTTTTTTTCTTTTGAGACACAGTCTTGCTCTATCACCCAGGCTGGAGTGCAGTGGGATGATCTTGGCTTACTGCAACCTCCGCCTCCTGGTTTAGGCGATTCTCCTGCCTCAGCCTCCCGACTAGTTGGGACCACAGGTGCACTCCACCATGCCCAGCTAATTTTTGTATTTTTAGTAGAGACAGGGTTTCACCATGTTGGCCAGGCTGGTCTCGAACTCCTGACTTCAAGTGATCCACCCGCCTCAGCCTCCCAAAGTGCTGGGATTACAGGCATGAGCCACCACACCCGGCCTGTTTGTTTTTTTTTTTTTTAATTAAAAAAAAAAAACAGAGATGGGTTTTTGCTATGTTGCCCAGGCTGGTGTCAAACTCCTGGGCTCAAGTGATCCTCCCGCCTCAGCCTCCCAAAGTGCTGGGATTACAAGCGTGAGCCACCATGACCGACCTCCATGGTCTCTTTCGACCCTGGCCTCACTGCTATAAACCACCCCTTTGTTAAACTCGCCAGGATACCCAGTCTGAATGTCTGGATCCTTGACTCTCACAGAGATGGATGGAGAGAAATGAAGGAAAAATGGTGGACAGGGCAAGGGAAATGAGGGCAGAAGGAAAAGGAAAGGAAATGAGAGCTAAAGACGGGAGAAAGGAAAGGTGAGGGTGAGACCCCAGCAGACTGGCAAGAAGCCGGGACAGAAAAGCTTGCGGAAGAGGGAGGAAGGAAAGACGGGATCGAGCCCCGCAGGCGCCCTCGGGCGTGCTGCGGGGAGCTAGGGGCTGGGTGCCTCTCGCTGGTCTGTGTGTGACAGGAATCTTCTTCTGCTCCTTGACCTTGTCCTTTGTCCTCCAGCAGCCTCGGAAAAAAAAAAATCACTTCTGTATTTTGTAAAGTTTTTTTTCGTTTTTGTTTTATTTTTACTTTGTTGCTTTTAGGTTTTTCTTTTTTCTTTTTTGAGACAGGGTCTTTCTCTGTCACCCAGGCTGAAGTGTAGTGGTGCATGATCACGGCTCCTGCAGCCTCAACCTCTTGGCTAAAGCGATCCTCCTGTTTCAGCCTCCCAAGTAGCCGGGACCACAGACATGTGCCAGCCACCATGTCTGGATATATATAACATATATATCATATATAATATATAACATATATATCACGTATATAACATATGTAACACATATCACATATATAACACATATCACATAATATATATAATATATAACATATATATCATATATAATATGTAACATATATATCATATATAATATATAACATATTCAAGACCAGCCTGGGCAACATAGCAAGACTCCATCTCTTCTAAAATCATATATATGTTATATATTATATGTAATATATTACGTATATAACATATTACATATATATTATATATAAAACATACATATATTACATATATTATACATAATGCACATATTACATATAACATAGCATATATTACACATAATATATAACATATCACACATATATTACATATATTACATATAATATATAATGCATATCACATACAATATACAACATATATTGCATATATAACATACATATAACACATATTACATATAATATATAACATATATATGATTTTAGAAGAGATGGAGTCTCACTATGTCGCCCCGGCTGGTCTTGAACTCCTGGCCTCAAGTGATCCCCCTGCTTCAGCCTCTTAAAGTGCTGAGATTACAGGTGTGAGCCACCGTGCCTGGCCTGGCTCCACCATCTTTAACTGCTCTGGCTCTAACCATCACATCTGCATCCCAAAGAAAGGGAATAGGTTGGAGAAGCATGTGCCTCCTCCCAAAAGACACTTCATTCACACCCCCTGTGCTCACCTGCACTGGTGCACTGGCCAGGACACAGTCTCGTGGCAGCCACACCTCGCTGCAAGGGAGTGGGGACAAGTCAGGCAGTGTGTGCCCTGCTAGCATTTGGGAAGGAGGACAATGGTTACTGGGGGACCCGCTGTCTCAGCCAGGGGGACAGCTGAGTTTCCCTGAGTTTTATCTTTGGTGAATCTGAGCTTGTGTGGCTGGCTGGAGAGGAGGCCTCAGTGGGAGCAGTGAGGGTCCACTGGGCTCCAGAGGTGAACTGGAAAAGCCCCATTAGTGGAGGTGGCTCTGAGAGCCAGTCCCGCTCAGCCCCTCTCCTCTGTGACTCTCACAAGCCCCACCCTGCCAAGTGTAAAGTGGGGGCTAGGAAGAGCCATTGCAGACCCTTTACGCAATGCCGGGCTGCTCGCGGGCTCTCCAGCACTGGTAATTCTTCGGTTTATAAGAATTCATAGTCTATCATCATAGGATGGTCACGGCAGGTCTCGGTACCTTTTTGTTCATGGCTGCAGAGGCTCTCCAAGGGTTCTGATGGAGACCGGGCACTTGCTCTGAGCGGAATGACCCCCGCAGCCTGCCCGGGAGATGAACATACCTGATCCCGCCACTCCGGTGGGCATTACGCTCAGGCAAGCATAGCATGTTTGCAGAAGAGCCCAGTTTCAAACAAGGCTGCAGTTGAGGCAGAGGGACCCAAGCGGTGAGTTCTGATTTTCCTCGTCTTTCCTTGTCCCTGGAAGAATCGTCCACTGACCACAGATGACATCGTGTTCAGGCAGTGGTGGCAGTTCCTCAAGGACCAAATGTCCCAGCCAGATTGGTTGGCCTTGTTCCTGATGATCAAGGTAACACAGGATGTGTGTGCGTGTGTGTGTGTATGTGTGTGTGTGTGTTGGGAGGTGACTTTGTGGCTCAGGTGGGCCATCCTGAAACAACCACCCGCATCGTTCCCAGAATTCCATAGGCTTCTCTGCAGGTGAGTCACTGCTGGAGCAGAGCTGAGTGCAAAGGTCCAGGCTTTAGGCCTCAGGCCAGACCCGGGCGGCCCCAAGAGACTCCAGCCATTGGCAGTCAGAGGCAGGAGGGGTCCAGGATCATCCTCTGGCTGGTTGACCAGAGGGAGCTTGGCACATCTGGAGAAATGGATGTCAAGATTGTATGACCTTTCTTTTTTTTTTTTTTTTGAGACGGAGTCTCACTTTGTCGCCTAGGCTGGAGTGCAGTGGTGTGATCTCGGCTCACTGCAACCTCCACCTCCTGAGTTCAGTGATTCTCCTGCCTCAGCCTCCTGAGTAGCTGGGACTACAGGTGAACACCACCACGCCCAGCTAATTTTTATATTTTTAGTAGAGACCTGGTTTCACCATGTTGGCCAGGCTGGCTTCGAACTTCTGACCTCAGGTGATTGGCCCACCTTGGCCTTCCAAATTGCTGGGATTATAGCCATGAGCCACCATGCCTGGCCTGTATGACCTTTCTTATCTAAGCTTTTCTCTCTCTCTCTTTTTTTTTTGAAACAGGGTCTTGCTCTGTTGCCCAGGCTGGAGTGCAGTGGTATGATCACGGCTCACTGCAGCCTCGACCTCCCTGGCTCAGGTGATCCTCCTGTCTCAGCCTCCCAGATAGCTGGGACCACAGGCGCATGCCACCATGCCAAGCTAATTTTTTTTGGTTTACTTTTTGTAGAGATGAGATCTGTGTTGCCCAGGCTGGTCTTAAATTCCTGGACTCAATGATTCTCTCACCTTGGCCTCCCAAAGTGTTGGGATTACAGATGTGAGCCACTGCGCCCAGCCTAAACTTTTGAGGGAAGTTGAAAATTAGGCAACTTGATATTCTAATTTTTGGCAAAATTCAGGTATGTCAGCATTCTGTGTTGCTGATTAAAGGAGAACCCATACTCTTTGGACTCCAACCACTTTAAAATCTGTTGTTATTTAATAATATAATATGATGATTATCAAAATTAAATAATATAAGGGATAATGAATAATAATTCAACATTCCTCAGACTATAGATATTATTCCTAAGA
The DNA here is from genome assembly GCF_000001405.40 of Homo sapiens. Classification (NCBI taxonomy): domain Eukaryota; kingdom Metazoa; phylum Chordata; class Mammalia; order Primates; family Hominidae; genus Homo; species Homo sapiens. The sequence goes on along the minus strand of NC_000017.11, from coordinate 78,640,405 downwards.
TTGTAATAATATTATTAACATCTCTCATATAATACATTTTGTTTTAAATTTAGTACCAAGGAAAGATGCTATTTTTTCCTTCTTGCAGAACAGACACACTTTCCTTTTTTCAGAGAGCCAGTACCACCCTTCTGCGTTTCTGTTTGTGTTGGCTTCCAGTAAACTTGTAGTAAAATTCAATGTGTAGCTCAGCCCCAGCCCCCAAACACTGGGAGAGAATGAAAGTTACTTTTATTCTTAGGCCACAGTGAGAAGTCTCGACACTGTTACAGATTTTATGCTGAAACTCTCCAATTGAACACAGAACATCACAAAATTCCTGGTTTCTGGACTATCAAAGGTACATGGAAATCATCAGCCTGGCATTTTGCAATGGCATGATCTCGGCTCGCTGCAGCCTCTGCCTCCTAGGTTTAAGCGATTCTCCTGCCTCAGCCTCCTAAGTAGCTGGGATTACAGGTGCCCACCAACATGCCTGGCTAATTTTTGTATTTTTAGTAGAGACAGGGTTTCACCATGTTGGCCAGACTGGTCTCGAACTCCTGACCTCAGGTGATCCACCTGCCTCAGCCTCTCAAAGTGTTGGGATTACAGGTGTGAGTCACCGCGCCCAGCCGGGTTCTTTTATACCCATTTTACAGAAGGGGAGGCCGAGGACAAAGAAGAATAATGCATTACTTACACTTTCACAGCTGGTGAATGAGAGAGAGGGGAGGGTTGGGTTTTAAACCAGGCCTGCTGAGGTAATGTTTCCTGTGTTACAGAATCACTTGAGAGATCCTAGTGTCTATTTAGAACACCCAAAGGATTTAGAAATGGAAAAAAGAATGGTTTTGGGACAGCTTAGTTCTCCTTCCTCATTTGGTGGTTGAGGAGCCTGAGCCCCGTGTGGTGAAGGTCACGTCCAAGGTCACCGGCAGGAGTTGGAGAGCCCGCTCTCACAGCCGTCACTGTTAGAAAAGATTCACACACACACACACACACACACACACACACACACACATACAGACACACATACACATACACACACACGTAGACACACACATACACACACACACATAGACACACATACACACACACACACACACATACACACACACATACACACACATACACACACACACATACACACACACACACAAACGAGAAAGCAAGGGCCCGCCTTGAAAGCTTGCTGTTGGCTTCCCAGGCTGAGTTGAGCACTGAATGGTGATTTGAGAACTTCCTTTTGCTCGGTTCAGTTGTGCAGATATAAGTGAAGTCAGTCTGTGGTCAGGTGTCTTACTTCAATACAAAATTATCTTGCGACAGTGACTCGGGTGGTTTTCCATTTCTCTTATTGCATCTCAGTTAGTCCCACACACAGAAGGATCCTTCAAGCTTTTAAAGGGTCTGGGACTTTTTTTTCACTTTTTTTTTTTTTCCAGACAGGGTCTTGCTGTCACCCAGGCTGGAGTGCAATGGACCAATCTCATCTCACTGTAGACTCAACCTCCCAGGATCAAGCCATCCTGCCACTTCCGTCTCCCAAGTAGCTGGGACTACAAGCAGACACCCCCATGTCTGGCTGTTTTGTTTTGTTTTTTAGTAGAGATGAATTATCACTATGTTGCTCACGCTGGTCTCAAACTCCTGGGCTCAAACGATCCTCCCACCTCAGCCTCCCAAAGTGCTGAGACTGCGGGTAGGAGCCACGGTGTCCAGCTCCATTTTTCACTTTTAAGTCTTTTTTCCCTGGGGTTTGTCTCTACCTGCATCAGCGATATTCAGACCAACGTGGACTCTGACTTGCTTTCCTTGCTGCCCTCTCGTTAACTGCACTTTGGGAAACAGGCAAAGGACTCTGTTGGGTGGGAGTCACCTCAGAGCATCACCGAGGCTCCCCAGCTCCGAGCTCTCTCCCCTCCCTACATCCTGGTAGCCTTGGGATAGTTACCAACTGCTTACAGATGATCGGAGTGAAAAATCCACAGTGTAAGACAGACATAAAGCATTTCGTATATATGATGAGCCTCCTATAAAACGTAGGGGGTTGAAGGGGCTTAAGTGTCCTCCATAGTCCCTCAATATAGGGAGGTGGGACATCTCACAGGTAAGTGATTTGCTCACGGTCTTGCCCACAAGTTAGCAGCAAATCTGGGGCTGGGATTCACGTTCCTAAGTCCTCACCCATCACACCATGAGGGTGACAGACTTCCCTATTCAGAGTCCACAACTGAGAAAGGGACTTTCCTTTACTCTGTCCAAATAGGGAGCCCCGGGGAGTCCAGAGGATGGGGGCTCCTGCGTGGCCCATTATTTTATTTTATTTTATTTTTGTACTTTAAGTTCTGGGATACATGTGCAGAACATGCAGGTTTGTTACATAGTTATACACGTGCCATGGTGGTTTGCTGCCCCCATCAACCGGCCATCAACATTAGGTGTTTCTCCTAACGCTATCCCTCCCCTAACCCCCCACCCCCTGGCCCATTCTTATTAGTTATGTAGGCAGTTGTCTAAAATGTGTGTGTCTTAGTTCATCCCTGCTGCTGTAACAAAAATATCTGACACCGGGTCATTTAAACAGAAATGGATTTCTCACCGTTCTGGAGTCTGGGAAGTCCAAGATCCAGGCGCCAGCAGGTTGAGTGTCTGGTGAGGACCTGGCCTCTGCTTCCAAGGTGGCACGATGTTGCTCAGGTGGCAGAAGGGACAAACGGCTCCCTCGCACCTCTTTTACAAGGGTACTCATCCCGCTCATTAGCACTCAGCTCCATGACCTCATCGCTGGAAAAAGGCCCCTCTTGTTAATACCATTGCCTTGGGGATTCTGTTCCAGCCTGGGACTTTGTGGGGACATCAACATTTAGACCACAGCAACATGGAAAATGGCTTCAGACAAACACCATGTAACTGGATTCGATAACTGTCTGTTGCACACCTACTCTTTGCAGGAAGGCCTGATGAAGGGTTCAGAGCTAGCAAGACAGAACTCTACACGAGGGAGCAACTAATTCAGAGAAAGGGCCGGACTGTCCTTCCCGGACAACCCTGGAAAGGCTTCTCGGGGGGGCACCATCAGGGTGTTGGAACGCCAAGGTAGGGGGCTAGATCTGGCGGCCGTGGACCGGGAAAGCTTCGCAACTGGTTCTCATTCTACGTAAGTCTTGGGAGATGGGGTAAAATTTCAATTTGAGCAGTTCAGGGAGAGTGTGAAGTGGCTTTTAAGATGAATCTTGGAGGAGAGGAGGGATTGTCTTTGAAAGGGGCAACATGTCCCAGTAGAGGAAATTTAAAAATCGGTTTTACAGAAAAAAGAAAAAGATAGTTTTCTTTCCCTATTTATTTATTTATTTTTTTGGTGGGGGGATGGAGTCTCTGTCACCAAGCTGGAGTGCAATGGCACGATCTTGGATCACTGCAGTCTCTGCCTCCTGGGTTCAAGCAATTCTTCTGCCTCAGCTTCCTGAGGAGCTGGGACTACAGGTGCGCGCCACCATGCCAGCTAATTTTTGTGTTTTTAGCAGAGGTGGGGTTTCACCATATTGGCCAGGCTGGTCTTGAAATCCTGACCTCGTGATCCACCTGCCTCGGCCTCCCAAAGTGCTGGGATTACAGGCATGAGCCACCACGCCCAGCCCCCTCATTCTTTTTGAGGCCACGCTTGATATTTGGTTTTCTGTGCTTTTTTTGCAATGAGGGTTGACAGCTTGGCTCCTGGCTGCCGTGGATGATTGAGTCATTACCTTGGCTCCAAAACCAAGTTATTGGTTAAACTACATCAAGATGAGAGCTGGAGTTCCTAGATTGTTCCTAGATTATCATCCAAAAGCACTGTTTAGTATATTTCTTCACTTTGGCATATTTCCTCCCCTCTCATCTTCACTTGCATTTCTTCACCCTGTGCCTACTCACCTGTTTAGCTTTTTCACCAAACAGGAAATTTATTAGGGCAAATCTCGAACCTCAAGGCGTCCTTGGGTAGTGTGGCCCGCCATTGTCTCCCGGGCCAGTAATTGAATCCAGTGATTTCACTTATTTTATGTAATTTATTCTGAAAACTTAGTCAAAAAAATAAATATGACAGTTTTTAATATAAATAAGTAGAATTTATCTCAATATAAATCAGCAGCCAGGTTTAAACAATTCTGTTAAAATATACATAACATAAAATTGGCCACTTTTACCATTTTAAGTGCACTATCCTGGGCATTCAGTCCATTCACGTTGTTGTGCAGCTGCCGCCACCATCCACCTGCAGAACTTCTTCTATCCCAAACTGAAACTCCACACCCACGAAACACTCACTCCCCATCCGCCCTGCCCCGGCCTCTGGTAATCGCTAATCTACTTTCTGTCTCTACGAATTTGACTCCTCTAGGTGGTCAATTTATACCTCATATAAATGGAATCCGGCAATATTTGGTCTTTCATGTTTGGCTGGTTTTGATTGGCATAATGTCTTCATTTTGTAAACAGCCAGGTTTTTAAGTTTTTGGTTGTGGGCCAGGTGCGGTGGCTCACGCCTGTAATCCCAGCACTTTGGGAGGCTGAGGCGGGTGGATCGCTTGAGGTCAGGAATTCGAGACCAGCCTGGCCAATGTGGTGAAACCGTGTCTCTACTAAAAACACAAAAATTATCCGGGCATGGTGGCTATAACTGTAATCCCAACTACTCGGGAGGCTGAGGCAGGAGAATCCCTTGAACCCGGGAGGTGGAGGCTGCAGTGGGCTGAGGTTGTGCCACTGCACCCCAGCCTAGGTGACAGAGCAAGACTCCATCTCAAAGGAAGTAATATAGACATTCTATTTCTAACTTTTTGTATCAAGTAAGATAGCTATTTAGTTTTATTTTTTCCGAATCATTTCAACACTGTGTATTGTGTAAATCCCCCCATGCTTTCCAATATTATATTTGTCATGTGCTAAATTCTCAGACATACCTGGATCCTTTTTTTTTTTTTTTTTTTGAGACAGAGTCTCACTCCGTCGCCCAGGCTGGAGTGCAGTGGCACGATCTCGGCTCACTGCAAGCTCCATCTCCTGGGTTCACGCCATTCTCCTGCCTCAGCCTCCTGAGTAGCTGGGACTACAGGCGCCCGCCACCACGCCCGGCTAATTTTTTGTATTTTTAGTGGAGACGGGGTTTCACTATGTTAGCCAGGATGGTCTCGACCTCCTGACCTCGTGATGTGCCCACCTCGGCCTCCCAAAGAGCTGGGATTACAGGTGCCCGCCACCACGCCCAGCCTACCTGGGTCTTTTTCTGAACTTCAGTTTTCTTCCACTGATCATTTGTCTATGCTTTGGTCACTGCCATATAGTTTTAATAACAAGAGCTTACTGTACATTTTCTTCTTTGAGGCAGCGTCTTGTTCTGTCTCCCAGGCTGGAGTGCAGCGGCACAATCATAGCTCATTGCAACCTTGAACTCTTGAGTTCATGCAATGCTTCTACCTCAGCCTCCCAAGTAGCTGGGACTATAGGCATGAGCTACTGTGCCCGGCCTGTTTTTATATCTGATAGAGAAAGGTTTCCTGAACATTCTTCTTTTTAAAAATGTTTGGCTAATTTTCTTTCAAGCATTCTTCCAAGTGTACTTTGAAATTCAACTTAAGTTAAAACAAATAAACAGAAAACAACGCAACGTAATTCTGATTGGGTCTGTATTGTATATGGAAGAATTGGCATGTTTTGTATGATTACATTTTTCCTACCCAGGAACACAAAATATCTCTCCTTTTGTTCAGGTACCTTGTCCTCCAGGGAATTACTGCAGTTTTCTACTCCAAGCATTGTTATTTGTTGAGTTTATTTGAAAATTCTTTTTACTTTTAGTAGCTATTTGAAATGGAAAGTTTAAAAGTTTGTGTTTTCTAAATGGTTACTACTGATACATATGTGTAAATACTCATCCGTTTGGTAATTTTTTAGTTACGTAGGCTAGATTTCCTCGTTAATCATGTCATTGGCCAACAGGAACATGTTTATCCCTTCTTCTTCAGCATTTACACCCTCTGGCCCTGGCCTTGGGCATAGGATACAGGACTTCAAGACGGCAGTGCCTCTTCCAGGAAGGCCTCTGGAATTTCATCCCTCAAGATGATAGTGCCTTTGGCTTTTGGTTTCAATATGTACATACATTTTATAACATTAAGCAGGTTTCATTGTTTTTCTGGTTTGCTAAGGATTTCTTTTTTTAGTGAGAACATTTTCTAAATGTTATCAAGTGCCTTTCAGTAGCTATTGAAATGTTACTGAAATGTTCAAATGGTCTCTCACTTTTAGTTTATTCATATAACAATTTATGTGGGTAAATATCTTAATTTGAACCAAACTTATGTTCTGGAATCAAGCCTACTGAGTCATGGGATTTTTTTTTTTTTTTTGAGATGGAGTCTCACTCTGTTGCCCAGGCTGGAGTGCAGTGGCGTGATCTTGGCTCACTGCAAGCTCTGCCTCCTGGGTTCACACCATTCTCCTGCCTCAGCCTCCCAAGTAGCTGGGATTACAGGCACCGCCACCATGCCCAGCTAATTTTTTTGTATTTTTAGTAGAGATGGGGTTTCACTGTGTTAGCCAGGATGGTCTCGATCTCCTGACCTCATGATCCACCTGCCTCAGCCTCCCAAAGTGCTGGGATTACAGGTGTGAGCCACCATACCTGGCCGGGATCACTTTTATTTTTTTAGAGAGAGGGTTTCACCATGTTGCCCAGGCTGGTCTCAAATTCCTGGGCTCAAGCAATCTTCCCACCTTGGCCTCCCAAAATGCTGGGATTACAGGTGTGAGCCACCGCACCCAGCCTCCTAAGGATCATTTTTAATAGGGACAGTTACTGCCCACTTGCTGATGGTTGATTTGGGTTCTTGAATCTCTCATTTCCCGTGAGACATTGATCTCTCATTTTCCTTGACTACTTTGGTCAGTCTTTGCTAGCAAAGCCTTCACTTTTATAAAATAACCTAGGAAAACCTTCACTTTATAAAAATAACCTCTTGCCTGTAATCCCAGCACTTTGGGAGGCCGAGGCGGGAGAATTGCCAGAGGCCAGGAGTTTGAGACTGGCCTGGGCAATATAGTGAGACCCCATCTCTATAAAAAAAAAGATAAAATAATCTCTTCAGGGGTTCTGTAGTAATTTAAATAACATGGAAATTATATATTCATGGAAGGTTTGTCAGAATCGGTAAAATGGTGTTGGCCTGGCGACCTCTGGGGGGAAGGGAGAGGGGGAGAAGTTTGTTTTTGTTTTTGAGACAGTCTCTCTCTGTCGCTCAGGCTGGAGTGCAGTGGCGTGATCTCAGCTCACTGCAACCTCCGTTTCCTGGGTTCAAGTGATTCTCGTGCCTCAGCCTCCCAAGTAGCTGAGATTACAGGTGCCTGCCACCACGCCCTGCTAATTTTTGTATTTTTAGTAGAGACGGGGCTTTGCCATGTTGCCCAGGGTGGTCTCAAACTCCTGGGCTCAAGTGACCTGCCCGCCTTGGCCTCCCCAAGTGCTGGCATTACAGGTGTGAGCCGCCCACCGTGCCCAGCCTGTTTTTGTTTTTTTGATTTTTGTTTTTGGCTCAAACCAGCAGTCCCCAACCTTTTTGGCACCAGGGATGAGTTTTGTGGAAGAAAATTTTTTCCATGGATGGGGGCAGGGGTGGGGGATGGTTTCAGGATGATTCAAGCACATTACATTGATTGTGTACTTTATTATCATTACATTGTAATATATAATGAAATCCTTATACAACTGCGCTATCATGAAGAATCAGTGGGAGCCCTGAGCTTGTTTTCCTGCAACTAGACAGACCCATCTGGGGGTGATGGAGATGGTGACAGGTCATCAGGCATTAGATTCTCATAAGAAGTCCACAACCGCTGGGCGCGGTGGCTCAGGGGCTGGGCTCGGAGGCTCACGCCTGTAATCCCAGCACTTTCGGAGGCCCAGGAGGGCAGATCACGAGGTCAGGAGATCGAGACCATCCTGGCTAACACGGTGAAACCCTGTCTCTACTAAAAATACAAAAAAATTAGCCAGGCATGGTGGTGGGCACCTGTAGTCCCAGCTACTCAGGAGGCTGAGGCAGGAGAATGGCGTGAACCCGGGAGGCGGGGCTTGCAGTGAGCCGAGATTGCGCCACTGCACTCCAGCCTGGGCGACAGAGCGAGACTGTGTCTCAAAAAAAAAAAAAAAAAAAAAAAAAAAAAGCCCACAACCTAGATCCCTCGCATGCGCAGTTTACAATACCGTTCGTGCTCCTCTGAGAATCAAATGCCACCACTGATCTGACAGGAGGCGGAGTTCTGCGGTAACATGAGTGATGAGGAGTGGCTGCAAATACAGATGAAGCTTCGTTTGCTCACTTCCTGTTGTGTGGCCCAGACAGGGCACTGTCTGTGGCCCCAGGGGTTGAGGACCCCTGGCTTTAACAACAGAAAGGTACCATCTTACAGTTCTGGAGGCCAAAGTCTGATATCCAGGTGTCTGCAGGGTTGATCCCTTCTGAGGCTGTGAGCAGGACCCCCTCCAGGCTCTCCTCTGGCCTTTGGTTTCCTTCCTTCCTTCCCTCCCTCCCTCACTCCTTTTCTCTCTCTTTCTTTCCTCCCCTCCCCTCTTCTCCCCTCTTCTCCCCTCCCCTCCCCTCCCGTTCTCCCCTCCCCTCCCCTCTCTTCTCCCTTCCCCTCTTCTCCCCTCCCCTCCCCTCTTCTCTCCTCTTCTCCCCTCCCCTCCCCTCTTCTCTCCTCTTCTCCCCTCCCCTCTTCTCCCCTCTTCTCCCCTCTTCTCTTCTCACTCTTTTGCCCAGGCTGGCGTGGTTTATGTTTGTGGTTTTTCTTTATTTATCTTGCCAGACATTTGCACGTTTTGATGAACTTTTCAAACAGCCAGTTCTTTGCTTTATATTCAATTGTAGACTGAGTTTTCCTGGGGGGTGTTGGAATTGGGGAGGAAGGATCTTTTTTTTTTTTTTTTTTGAGATGGAGTCTCACTCTGTCACCCAGGCTGGAGTCCAGTGGTGTGATCTCCACTCACTGCAACCTCTGCCTCCCAGGTTCAAGTGATTCTCCTGCCTCAGCCTCCTGAGTAGCTGAGATTACAGGCACCTGCCACCACACCCAGCTAATTTTTTGTTTGTTTCTTTGTTTGTTTCTTTGTTTGTTTGTAGAGATGGGATTTCACCATGTTGGTCAGGCTGGTCTTGAACTCCTGACCTCAAATGATCTGCCTGCTTCAACCTCCCAAAGTGCTGGGATTACAGGCATGAGCCACCGTGCCTGGCTGTGATCATTTATCTTGGCTTTTTTCTTAAGTCTTCTTCTGTTTCTGTTCTGCAGTGCATGGTGGCTCGTTTGTGTGAGTTCAACGCTCAGCTGTGCATTGTTTATCTCTTAGAGCAGGTGTGAATTTTCTGTTTTCAACCAGCTATGTGCAAACATGAACTCCTATTTTTATAACTGCTCAGACATTCCTATGACAGGGCCTCATTTCTGCTTGGCAACAAGAAAACTGAATTTAATTTCATTTAATCGGGTAAACAGTTCTGTCGGGTATTTTTCTCTAGCGGAGTCTGGTTGAAAGCTTCATCGCTCACAGAGAACATTCCAGCATTAGTGTCATGGCCTCTGGCCGGTGCAAGGGTTTCTCGGAGCCCAGGTGGCTCCCTGCGGGGAGGAGAATTCGACGCTCTGTCCCCTTCCTCTGCCAGGGACCCACTTACTAGTCTCCGGGGCTGCTGTAATAGAGGAACACAAACTGGGTGGCATCAAACAACATCACATTTCTCACAGTTCTGGAGGCCAAACTGCAACATCAAGATATTAACAGATAATGACCTGCTCCCTCTGCAGGCTGTAGGGGAAGAGCCTCCCTTGTCTTTCCCGGCTTCCAGGGCTGCTGGCCATCCTGGGCGTCCTTTGGCTTGTGGCTGCCTGGCTGCCATCCCTGCACCCGTTGTCGCTTGACCTTCCGTTCATGTGCCTCTGTTCTCTCTCCTTATACAGACCCCAGTTACTGGATTGGGATCCACCCTCACTCAATATGGCCTCAGCTTAATGAAAGACATCTGCAGAGACCCTATTTCTACTAAAAGCCACATTCTGAGACTTCTCGTGGGCGTGAGTTTTTGAGAGACACTGTTCTGCTCCATGCAGGGAGGGAATTGGGATCTGAAGACGTTGCATTCGAGGTCTCGGGGCTCCTGATGAGCAGCCTCGGCCTGACCTGGGGCAGGTGTGATGTCTGCGGCTCACCATCTCCACCCTGCCTGCTGTGGAATCTCCACAACGACAGGTGCTTTGGAGGCCAGAGTGCATGCGTACGGGCCCTGCACACGCTGAATGTCACTGGGAACAAGGACACACCCCGCTTCCAGGAGAAGATAGAACATGTCGACCCCTTTTGTGAGTACAATTTTTTGAAGTCTCCAAAGCAATGGGACTGCCCCGGGGAAGATGGAGGCTGTGAAGGGAGTGTTGACCCCAGTGGGAGGTGAACGGAACGGGATATGCGGGCGCTCGGGGTGGAAGAACGACGTAGGCGGTCAGTGGTCGGTGGGCCATGCCCACATCCGGGCTAGATGTCACTATGGTGCTGTTCTGTTTCCACACAGCCAGACAATGCACAAAATAGGCCATCTGGGCCATCTGGGGCGAACATCCAGCCTGGAGGCCCTCGAACAAGCCCACTGAGGGCCTCCAGTTGGGGGCACACATGGGTGACACCTGGCCTAGTGACGCCCCACCTGGGTTGCACGTTAAAGTCACTGGGGAACTTTTAAAGGGCTGATGTCTGATTTCTCCAGGGATTCCGAGGTGAGCGGGAACGAGGTGCGGTCTGGGCTTGGGGGTTTTAGTGTTGGTCATCCACAGCGACACTGAGAACGGAGGCTCTCTGTGGGTGAGCCCTTGGGGAACCCAGCTGACCAGGCCCCTGGGGTCCCATGAGGCCTAAGTCTGAGAAGACTTGTGTCTCCCAGAGCCTGCGGGCCGTCCCAGGCTTGTACCTCTGGCCCCGCTCTCCGCTCAGGCCGCTGAACAGGGCTGATCCACGTCCTTCAAACAGCTGCTCAGATATTTCAAATCAGCTTTCATGGGCTTTTCCATAGGAAGGGGACGTCTGCTTGCTGAAGCCAGCAGCTGGCCCGGCGGGAGGTGTGTCAGATGTGCTGGGGGAGCCGTGACCTTTCCTGGGTCCCCCACTGCTCAGCGCAGCCGCCTCAGGCACGCAGAGAGGATGGCCGAGGCTGCCAGAGGCCCTGTGGCTAGGTGTGAAGGACCTCTGGGTGCTGGAATCTGCACGTGTTCCTGTGTAGTGCTCAGCCCCTAGAGGACTTGCAGGTGGAGTGGGCGAGGACAAGTTTCTGGGGAGGACAGAGGCCTGGCCCTGGGGTGACAGATGGTGGTGTCACCTCATCCGGTCATTCATGAGCTGTGCACACTGGGCAGGTGGCCCCCTGCAGCCTCCGTTCTGCATTTTTGAAATGAAGGGGGCAGAGGGTGGCGTGCACAGTCTCAGCACATCACTCAGCATGGAGGGGCGCCGGTCATAATAATAAGGATGAAAAATCCCCTCTAGAGTTCCTTACCAGCCATGCGTGGTCCCAGGGCGTTCGCCAGGTTGGCAGTTGATCTAACCCCGCCACCCCAATAACCCAGAGTCAGCGACGCCTGTTGCCTCCACCCCAGCGCTGTGGGACTAAGGCCCAGGCAGGTTCAGTGGCTTGAACAGGTCACCTGGTTGGTGGGCAGGAGAGCAGGCGCCCCCGGCCACCAGTCTCAACGCCTCCTGGGCCCACTTGTGACTAGAATAGTGCTCTTGTGTTGACTATTGACTGACCAGGGCGCCCCTTCCACACCCACTCATCCCTGGGGTTCCTCTAGGGTCCCACGCCTCCTAGGGTCCCTCTGCAGCCTCCACTCACAACTAGAAGCTGAATGACCTTGGTTCTTCCAAATGACCTTTGGAATGACCGATTGTTCTGCTTTCTTCTGAAGACCATATGACACATTATCAGACCAAACCAGAGCTCTTGGTTTTCGGATCTGGGGATGAATTCTTTAGCACAGATGGAACCATGAACTTCTATGATCAACTGCCAGGAAGGAAATACCTCAGGTAATGCCGCTGCCTGCTGCTGATGCGGGGACAGCCAGTTCCCCACGGTCACATCTGCCTGACGATTAGACTAGGGAAGAATTTGGGCAAAACAGCAAGTCTTAAGGTTTGTTTGGAAATGATCAGGCCAAGCAAAGCCAGAGACTGGAAATTGTATTTCCAGATCTTCATTCAGATTCTTTTCTCTATGATTCGTAAAATTAAAAAGATTAAAAATTCACATTTGAATTCCAAAAATTCTTACTTTTTTTTTTTTTTTTTTTTTTTTTTTTTTTGAGACAGGCTCTCGTTCTGTTGCCCAGGCTGGAGTTCAGTGGCATGATCTTGGCTCACTGCAGCCTCGAACTCACAGGCTTAGGTGATCCTCCCACCTCAGCCTCCTCAGTAGCTGGGACTACAGGTATGTGCTACCATACCCGGCTAATTTTTTAAAAAACCTTTAGTAGAGATGAGGTCTTGCTATGTTGCCCAAGCTCGAATAATCCACCACCTCGACCTCCCAAAGTGCTGGGATTACAGGTGTGAGCCATTGCACGCAGCCTCAAAAATTCTTACTATTCTTCTAAAGCCCTCATTGTGTAGTATCTTCTTACCTTTTCCCCCTTTATTCAAAATATTCCAAATCTCTGCCCCTGGAACTGCCTTGTGTCGTCTTTTTTTTTTTTTTTTTTTTTTTGAGATAGAGTTTCGCTCTTGTCGCCCAGGCTGGAGTGTAATGGCATGATCTCCGCTCACCACAACCTCCACCTCCCGGGTTCGAGTGAATCTCCTGCCTCGGCCTCCTGAATAGCTGGGGTTACAGGCACGTGCCACCACACCCAGATAGTTTTGCATTTTTAGGGGGTTTCTCCATGTTAGCCAGGCTGGTCTCGAACTCCTGACTTCAGGTGATCTGCCCGCCTCAGCCTCCCAAAGTGCTGGGATTACAGGCGTGAGCCACTGCGCCCGGCTGCCTTGTGTCTTCTTAAAAGAGGAAGCTGCGGTGTCCTTATCATTTCATGGCTATGTTGATTTCTGTGTAATTGGAGGCCCTGAATTTTCATCCTTAACATTGTCCTCTGGGTGGTGGCCCCAGACGGCTCCGATGGCAGCAGGCACATGTCCAAGCCCGCTCTCCAGCCCCCATCAGGTCCCTGGCTTGATACAGGGCAGCGTCTTCCCATTCTATGAGCACTCAGACTCTCTGCTCAGACACGGTGGGACTCTCCACCCCGGTCCTTGGCGTTCTGATGGGGTCGGCTTCCTGGGGCTCCTGGAACAAATGTTCATGCATTGGGCAGCTGAAAGCAACAGCAGCTGATTCTCTCGCGTCCTGGAGGTCAGAAGCCCAGGATCCAGGTGTCAGTAGGGCTACTCTCTCTCCGAAGGCTCCCAGCGAGGGTCCTACCTGCCTCTTCCAGCTTCCGGTGGCCCCAGGTGTTCCTTGGTATGTGGCGGCGTCACTCCAGTCTCTGCTCCATCTCACATGAACTTCTCCTCTGGGCCTGTGTCTCAAGTCTCCCTCTGCCTTTCTCTGATAAGGACACCAGTCACTGGATATGGGGCATGCCCTAATCTCATATAATCTCATCTCAAAATCCTTAACTTAATTACATCGGCAAAGGTCCTTTTTCCAAGGATTCACAGGTACTAGGAGTTAGGACTTGGTGAATCGTTTTTCCAAGGATTCACATTCACAGGGGCTGGGGTTAGGGCTTAGACATAGCTTTTAAAAAAAAAATGGCTTTAGGCCTGGTGCGGTGGCTCATGCCTGTAATCCCAGCACTTTGGGAGGCCGAGGCAGGTGGATTATGAGGTCAGGAGATCATCAAGACCATCCCGGCTAACATGGTGAAACCCCATCTCTACTAAAAATACAAAAAAATTAGCCAGACATGGTGGCGGGCGCCTGTAGTCCCAGCTACTGGGGAGGCTAAGGCAGGAGAATGGCGTGAACCTGGGAGGTGGAGCTTGCAGTGAGCCAAGTTCATGCCACTGCACTCCAGCCTGGGCGACAGAGCAAGACTGTCTCAAAAAATAAAAATAAAAATAAATAACTTTATTGACATAATTTACATACCACGTAATTCACCCATTTAAAGTGTACAATTCAATGGGTTTGAGTATATCATGAATTTCTTAAAATTGTGGTAAAATATATGTAGCATAAAATCTGCCATCTTAACATTTTAAGTGTACGGACATGATTTTTTGGGGGCATAGCCTACTGCAGGGATGGTTGACTCATGCAGGGAGCAGCCCTGCCTTGGGCTTTTCTGTCCTGAAACCTCAGAGCTCATGCCTGCATTTCCCTCTGCCCAGGCCCCTGGCTGCTGTTCCCCCAGGGGGCTCCTGGAAAGTCCAGCCCCCAACTCCAGCGAAGGAGCCCCCTGCTTCTCTGCATGGCCACTGTTCATGTCCTCCGCAGCATCCGGCACAATGCACACCTACCTGCCTCTGTTTGCAGACCCGATGATGATGTTTTCCTCCAAGATACCCCATCGGGTACCCGTCCCCGTCCTAAGCTCAGCTCAGTGCATGGCAGAGTGCAGGAGCCCTGTAGGGTTTTGGAAGGAGGACAGTGAACTTGAAGTCTTGGCTGGCGGGCAGTGGAAGGTGGGAGAAGATCCTCGGGTAGCGTCGGTTTTCTTAACTGAGAGGAAATTCACATAAATGAACCATTGTTAAGTACACGATTCCATGTCATTTGGTGTATTCACAATGTCGTACAGCCACCAGCTCTTTTCTAGTTTCAAAACTTTTTCATCACCTCATAAAAACACTCTGTTCCAGCTGGGCGTGGTGGCTCATGCCTGTAATCCCAGCACTTTGGGAGGCCAAGGTGGGCAGATCACTTGAAATCAGGAGTTCAAGACCAGCCTGGCCAACATGGTGAAACCCCGTCTCTACTACAAATACAAAAACTAGGCGGGCGTGGTGGCATGCAACTGTAATCCCAGCTACTCAGAAGGCTGAGGCAGGAGAATTGCTGGAACCCGGGAGGCAGAGGTTACAGTGAGCTGAGATCGAGCCGCTCTACTCTAGCCTGGGTGACAGAGCGAGACTCCATCTCAAAAAATAATAAAAACATAAAAACACCCTGTTCCCATTAAGTACAGCCGGCCCTTGGTGTCCACGGGTTCTACATCCATGGATTCAGCCAACTGTGGATTGAAAATATTAGGAAAAAAATAACTGTACCTGGCCATGTTGGCCAGGCTGGTCTTGAACTCCTGATCTCAAGTGATCCGCCCACCTCAGCCTCCCAAAGTGCCGGGATTACAGGCATGAGCCACCACGCCCAGCTGGAACAGGGTGTTTTTATGAGGTGATGAAAAAGTTAAAAAAATACTGTGTAACAACTATTTACATAGCACTTACACTGTATTAGGCATGGTAAGTAACCTCGACGTGATTTAAAGTGTGTGGGAGGATGTGCATAGGTTATAAGAAAATACTATGCATACATCAGGGACTTGAGCAACTGTGGCCTTTGGCATCCTTAGGGGACTTGGAACCCATCCCTCAAGGACAGCAAGGGATGACTGTAACCACTCCCGCTTCCTCCCCTCTCCTATCCCCTGCTAACGGCTAATCCGCTTTCCGGCTCTACAGATTTGCCTATTCTGGGTACAGCCTCTAAAAGGAATCACGTACTATGTGGCTTTTTGTGTCTGACTTCTTTCACTTACATAATGTTTTCAAGGCTTATGCAAATAATGTTTTTCAGGTTTATGCAAATTGTAACATGTATAAGAACTTCACTCGTTTAAAGGCTGAGTAATGGCCACATTTTGTTTATCTGTGCATCTGTTGATGGGCATTTGGGTGGTTCCCACCTTTTGGCTACTGTGAATAACGCTGAACGTTGCAGTGTAGAACTCTGCGTGGACATATGTTTTCATTTCTCTTGGGTGCATACTTGGATATTGTGTTTATGACACCATGAGAGATTCCAGGATGCCCATGCCTTGGGTTACAGGCACATGGAAACTTGCTTTTTTTTTTTTTTTTTTTTTTCAGAGCCATCCCCAGTGCAGGACATGCTATTGACTTCCATGAGACAAACACCTACTTGGAAATCAGGTTTTTTCTGTACCTTTTGAAGGAGCAGGAATTTCCCAGCATTTCCTGGACAAAGACGGAGGTAAGTGTTGGATACGGAGTGGAGTTCAGAGATGGAGACTCATCCCTGTATGTGACAGGGATGGGGATTTACCAAGAGAGGACAGTGCCCAGCCTGAGCCTGGGAGTTTGGTTGTTGGGTGGCAGAACTCGTCTGAGATGTGCCATTCTGGTGTGTCCTGGATCAAAATTTGGGCCAGGCTGGGGTGGCTTCAGCTGGAATCACCTGCAACCTGTCTCCTCAAGTCCCCAGCCCCTAATGCCGCTGGGTAATCCCTGGGCTTATCAGCCATGTAAATCTCATACCAAAAGGCGAGGCACAGTGGAAACATTTGGAAGCCCCCAGGATAACGCGTGGAGCCTGAAGCAGCCTGGCCCAGCCTCTCAGGCCTAGATGCGCCTCTGCAGATGTCGGGGGCAGGTGGGTATTTGCATTCCATTGAAACCTGTCTGTGCTTGTCAGAGGATGGCCAGAAGCAGACCCAGGAGGAGCTTCGGAACTGCACGGGGCAGGTGCAGCCTGGGGGTGGCACGGACCACAGAACACAAGAGGCATCCAGGAGTCAGATGCAGCAGATAGAGGCCGCGTGCCTCACCGCCTGTGAAATGCAGGGAGAGGAGGATGTTTATGTCACTGAGCCCATCGGGCACAGCATGGAAGTATGTGACATCCATGGTTGACACTAGGAAGACAGCACTTGAGTTAGGCCTATGAAGGGTGGATCATGACCTTGGGCTTTTGTGCAAAGATGACACTCCTATGCGTGGCCGTGTCCTCAAATGCATTGACATTTAGCATAATGTTTTTAAGGTCCACCTATGTTGTAGCCTTTAAAAAAATCCAGGTGTCCTCAGGAGGTGTGAGTCCAGGGATACCGCAAACGATGCTTGTTCACTACCAGAATGGGACCCTGGGAGGAAGAAGGCGTACAAAGTGTGTGAGCTCTGGGAGGGAAGAGATATCTCGTTGAGAGAATCCCAAGGGTGTCAGAGGCTTGGAGATCATCCAGTAAGGAAACGAAGGCGCAAGCGTCGATGTGGCTGTCTCTGGGTCCTAGGACAGGGCCTGTCCCCCCTGCCAGGGTGGTGCTGGCTCTTGGCCGCCTGCCATCTTCCCTGCCTCACTGACCCAGCAAGACAAAGGTACAGAGAGAGTGTCCCCTCCTTTCAGACAGCGAGGCTGGGCATCGTCAGGTTCCACACTGACGTGGAGCCCCTCTCCATCAAGGCTTGGCCAGCAAAGGCCTGTGGTGGAGAAAGGTACTGAGAATTGTGGAACCCGTGTAGGGCAGTGGCCCCGATGTGTGGGCATGGGGGGCATTTCCCTCCCTTTTTGGTACCTCCTCAGGGTCCGCAGTGTGGTCCTGGGACTGCCTTCATGGGCATCATAGGAAAGCCACACGGCAAGGCCCAGGCTGACCATCTAATCGGAGGACAGTACCCCTCGCTTCCTGCAGACCCCGGGCGGGCATGTGGCACCCCAGTGAGGGGAAGAAGGGGCCATGCCCCGACGGGTGCCGAGACCCACCTCCCGTGCTCTCCCTTCCTGTGGGGGCCTCCCTGCAGCTCCTCCCGGCGCCTCTTTGCAGCAGAATCCCACGCATTGCACCTTTCTTGAGCCCCTCCCTTCTTTCTTGGGTACTTGCCTGGTCTGGCAGCGGCCCTGACAGCTGGGCATGGGGGCCTATTCCACCTGGATCTGCTTCGGGTTAAATGGTCATCAGTGATGCACACTGACCCTTTTTTGTAAGTGTTGCTGTCTCTGGGTAACATATTTATTTTTATGGGGTCTCGTTCTGATACCTCGGACGTCACCATGGCACAGGCGCACCTCTGCAGATGTCGGGGGCAGGTGGGTGTTTGCGTTCCATTGAAACCTGTCTGTGCTTGTCAGAGGATGGCCAGAAGCAGACCCAGGAGGAGCTTCGGAACTGCACTAGGCAGGTGCAGCCTGGGGGTGGCACGGACCACGGAACACAAGAGACATCCAGCAGGCAGATGTAGTAGATAGAGGCCGCGTGCCTCACTGCCTGTGAAATGCAGGGAGAGGAGGGTGTTTGTGTCACTGAGCCGCTCAGGGAGCAGAGTTTCTGAGTCAGTTTAGACAAGACACACTCCCGTGGTGGCTCTGGGGCCATGTTCTCCTGTGCCTGGTCACTGCAGGGGGGGCTGTGGCATCCCTCCGTCTGCAGCCACGGCAGCAGGAGAGCCACATCAGTAGAACTCAGTGACTCCAACAACGGGGCATCCTGGCCTGGGGAGGTCCGCCGCAGACCTGTGCTTCAGGACACGGAAGTGGCATGTTTGAGAAGGGACTAGACCTGGGCAGCCGTTAGGTTCAGCCCTGCTTTGACAGGTGTGGCTCGAGGAATCCAGCGCCATCAGCCGGGGCAGCGCAGGCGGGAGGAGCTGGGCCTCTCACTCCCGGCAGGGCCCTGTCACTCCTGCTGCTGCTGAATCTGTGTGTTCTGTTCCCTCAGAAGAGAATTCTGGTCCTTTTCCCCTGGGATTGAGGTCTCCTGGGCTCAGTCTGCAGTGGGAAACCCGGTAAGAGGAGCCCCCCGCACTGCCCCACTTTCCAGATCCTTTCTCCATCAGTACCAGGGGCTGCAGCAGCGGTGCCCAAATCGCCCTCAGCCTCCCTTTCTGCTCTGCCGACTCCTGGGACACGGCCCTCCACCGTTCCCCAGCCTCTGGGCACCCCGGCTCGCCACAGTGGCCCTTGGTGCCTCTGGACTGGTCCTGAGTGTGTGCCGGCAGCCTCTGGCTTTTGAGGCAATGCTTTCCTGACAATACATCTGTGGGTTGAGTGGGTGGAAACTGAATCGCCGACTTACGTTTATTTTCTTTTTTGCTTTTGGAATTTTTTTTTCCTGAGCTGAAATTCACATAACATAAAACTAACCATTTCAAAATGAAGAATTCAGCAGCAATTAGTACTTACACAAGGTTTTCCAGCCACCATCTCTACCTACTTGTAACACATTTCCCTCACCCCAAGAGGAAACCCCAAGCTGGGCATGGTGGTGCGTGCCTGTGGTCCCAGCCAGTCAGGTCCCAGCTGCTCGGGAGGCTGAGGTGGGAGGATCACTTGAGCCCAGGAGGTCGAGGTTGCAGTGAGCCGTGATCGTGCCACTGCACTCCAGCCTGGGCAACAGAGCGAGACCCTGTCTCTAAAAACAAAAACAGAAGGAAACCCTGAGCCTGCGAAACAAAAGGAAACCCTGACCCCATGAACAGTCTCTCCTCATTCTGCCTCCCCACAGTCCCTGGCTGCCGCTCATCTGCTTTCTGTCCATGGATCACCTATTCTGGGTGTTTCATGTACATGGAATTGTATAATATGTGGCCTTTTGTGCCCAGTTTCTCGCACTAAGCATAACATTTTCAAGGTTCATCTATGTTGTCACGTGTATCACTGCTTCAGGACTTTTTTTGCTTTTTTGTTTTTGAGATGGAGTCTTGCTCCATCACCCAGGCTGGAGTGCAATGGTACAATCTCGGCTCACTGCAACCTCCGCCTCCCAGGTTCAAGCGATTCTCCTGCCTCAGCCTCCTGAGTAGCGGGGATTACAGGCGTCCGCCACCACGCCTGGCTAATTTTTTTATATTTTTAGTAGAGATGGGATTTCACCATGTTGGCCAGACTGGTCTCAAACTCCTGACCTCAGGTGATCCACCCGCCTCTGCCTCCCAAAGTGCTGAGATTACAGGCGTGAGCCACTGTGCCTGGCCGGGATGTTTTAAGAATGAATAATGTTCATGTGTATGAATAGACCACACTTTGTTTATCCATCCGTCTGTTGATGGACACCTGGGTTGCTTCCATCTTTTAGTGACTATAAATAATGATGCTATGAGTATATGTGTACCAGTTTTTGAGTACCAGTTTTCAGTTCTTTTGGGTGTATACCTAGGAGCGGAATTGCTGGGTCATACGGTAATTCTATGTTTAACTTTTTAAGGAACAACCAAACTGTTTTTCATAGCAGCTGCACCATTTTTCATTCCCACCAGCAATGTATGAGCGTCCTAATTTCTCCACATCCTCACCAACTCTTGTTATTTTCAGTTTTCTTTTTTTAAATTGTAGTTACCCTAGAGGTTGTAAAGTGGTATCTCATTGTTGTTCTGATTTGCATTTTCTTAATGACTGGTGATGTTGAACATCTTTTCATGTGCTTATTGGCCATTTATAGATCTCCTTTGGAGAAATATCTATTAGGTCCTTCGATCATTTTAAAATTGGGTTGTTCGTCTTTGCTATTGACTTGTAAGAATTCCTTTATATTCCAGATGCTAGATCCTTATCAGAGAGATGATTTGCAAACGTTTTCTCCAACTCTGTGGGTAGCCTTTTCACTGTCTTGATAATGCCCTTTGATGCACAGGCGTATTTCTCAAGTGATTTTATTCCCACAAGGCTAAACGTTACCATATTTCTCATACTTCACTTTTCTGACAAAATCCTGCTGAAAACTTTAACAATATTATTGAAGTTTGGTTTGAGCCTTTTCCCCCAATAAAACACACAGTCCTCAAGGCTTTGATTTAATTTAATAATTAAATACTTGAATCCCTGCACACCCTTGCACTGCTGGGGGAGACAGGGAGATGTGAGGAGCTCTCCAGTGGCACTGCCACCTAAAGGCAACGTGGCTGCACGTGACCAAATACGTCACTGGCTGTCAGGCAACGAAGTGGTCCAGTGGATTCACTGGGGTGGGCATGATAGTTCCAACCAACCAGAGCTGGATGCACATGAGCCTGCACACACTCTTTAGCCCACCTGATTGTTTTCTACTATAAAACTCAAGGCATATGTAAAATAGTCACGGATACCTTAAGGAAGGCCCCTGTTAGGTTTATGGTGACTTCAGGGTGGGTTGACTTCTTTATGATCAACCTAGACTTCCACTCCCTCCCTGGGCAAAGAGCTGGCCCAGCACTCCAAGTAGGGAGCTCTTTATGGATATTGATCGCTGCTCTGGAGATGAGCTAGGACCAGACTGGAAGCATGAGTTGCGGGGCTGCTGGGGTTAAACGGGAAGAGAGCATGCTGGTGGGGGCTGCCAGGAGAGCTTGATGAGGGAGCAGTTCTCTGAATGGGAGACTTGTTACTTGCACACAGAGCCTTCAATGACTGTGACATTTTGCTCTATGTCACAGGCTCCTGGGGCCTACAGAAAGGAGCTGGAGGTGCCTAGTGCAGGCTGGGAGGCCTCCTTTATTGAGGTGACATCCCTGGATGCTGGCTTGGCGGAGGTTGGGGAGAACGCTGCCTCCCTGGAATAGAAGATGCCTTGGAAGCCCTGGGTGCAGGCTGGCCGACCCTGCCTGAGCTGCCTGTCTTCATTCCATGGCTCTGCTTGTTAGAGGAGGAAGTTAGGCAGACATGAGTGGCGCCCACCAGCCCAGGAATGTCAGGTGACCATCAGGTGATGGTCAGGCAGTTGTTAAACTGTCTCTCTGAAATGATCATTGGTTGCAGCTCACACCAGGGGAAGATGGTCTCCCAATAAATAAAAAAACACCTGAAACTGGTGATCAGCAGCTTCCCGATAAGCTCTCGAGTTGGGCGAGTGGGCTCAAGCGTGCGCACTAAGAGGCAAAATGGCGGATGTATGAACTTCCTCTGGGGGCATTCAACCAGTAAAGGAAAACCGCCCCTAGAGAGCATGCGCACAACCTCAGTCAACTCACTACACATGCAATTACCCTCCTGAGTGCTGACCAACACTGCTGCATGGGGCTGTTGAGCAACAGCCCGCCCCAAGGGAAGAACCGAGGGAGGAGAAGAGAAAACTCCAGAGCCGTGCCAACGGATAAACCCCACGCCCAGGGCTGAGCGGTCACTTGGATCTCTCACGTGGCGCACTCAGCCCTCTTCCAAGTATACTTTAACTTCCTTTCACTCCTGCTCTAAAACTTTTTCATAAACCCTCACTCCTGTTCTAAAACGTGCCTCAATCTCTCCCTCTACCTTAAACCTACTTCTGCTCCAGATTCTTTCCACTGAGGAGGCAAGGATGGAGTTGCTGCTGACCCGTGCAGATTTGCTGCTGGTAACATACTCATGGGCAAAGTCTGAAAAACCTCTTCCTGCCCTGGGCAAGGCAGATGGGGCAGCCCAGCAGGCTGGCTTTGCCCACCGTCTCCGATATCATCCAACACAGTCAGCCAGGTTGTGTGGCCCTCTCATCTACATTCTCATTTGCCAACAAGATGGTGTGGGCTATGCTGTCTTTGCACAGCGATCTGATCCCAGGGACATTTGTGTGGGTGTGTGCCCGGGAGCTGCATGTCTGCAGGTTCAGATTGGGGTCAGCTTTGCTGGTGAGTGTGGCTTCCTGCCATGGCACCAAAGAAGAGGGCTGGCGGATTAGTCCTGTTGTCTCTCATAGCTTTGTAGGGACACAGCGGGCCATGTGGACTGACAGCTGGAGACTTCATAAAGATGGCCTAGAAAATTAGGACACTGTCCTGTTGACAAAGCCCCTAGGCCTGCCCCCATCAGGCCTCATGGGTCCTTTTCAGGCCTAAGCCAGGGTTCTGAAATCATCTGTAATGTGAATTTATATTTCTAGGCCACATTCGCTGCATCCTTTCCAGCAAGATGTCATTCTGAGATTTTTGTCATTCCTGGGCGTTATGAGGACTGCCAAGGGACACAATTCCATGGGAGGAAAGTTTTCTTCTAAGCTGCAAGCCAGCTCTGGCTTCTGGAGTTTCTCCTTAGGATTGCAAGACAGTAGTTCCCTGTCCTTTAGGTCTTCTCCAGAAATACCTTAAAATAGCAAATAAAATAAGATATAAGCAAACAAAACCTGAAGTTAACAGCTGACTCGATTTCTGTGCACCGGAAGCTGTGTTTTATTCACCTTTCACAGCCCATCTTCAGGCTGACGTGTTAGGGTGTGCACACCGAGACATTTCTCACCCGTTTTTGTAATGTCTTCAAGTTGGGATCAATGCCCTTGAACTTCTAGGCCTGTGCCTGCACAAGCTGCCCCTCCCCGTGTCTTCGGAGAAGTCCTACTGCGGGGACACAGAGTGGGGGAGGCAAAGCACCGTCAGCTACCATGACACGAAGCTTGTTGCTGGACCCAGAGGACATGAAGGAGGGGAAGGGGCTCCCAGTACAGTCCAACCCATGCGCCGCTCAGACCCGCTCTGCCCTCCCGTTACTTCTGGCCCATCACAGAGCCCCCTAGCTGGCAAGAATCGGCAGCATTTGAGGCCTCTTGGTGTCAGTGTCAACTCAGACCGTGGATCCAACAGCCCTGAAATGTCTGCATCCTCCCTTTTCCCAGCGTATACTCTGACACATGTCCGTAGGTTCCTTTAGGGAGAGGTTAAGGGACTCGGCCAGGTGCAATGGCTCACACCTGTAATCCCTGCACTTTGGGAGGCTGAGGCAGGAGGATCACTTGAACCCAGGAGTCTAAGACCAGCCTGGGCAACATAGTGAGACCTTGTCTCTATGTTAAAAAAAAAAAAATTGAGGGACTCTATCAAATATACTTGCAGGGCCACTGTGGGGCTCTTTCTTAAGGAGGCCTGGGATCCTCGTGTACGGATGGGCTCTGGGGCTATGAAATTGACTGAAGATGCTTTTTCATTGCGGTGGCTGATACCAGCCTTTGGTTCACCAGCTCTGTATTTCCCTTTTAGGGATACAGATTAAGTCACCATGCTCATCCCAAAGGGCACTGGGCCTTTCTGTCATTATAATAATCATGCCCCCTTAGCCACTGGCAGTGCAGGGCCACCCCCTGCCCTC
Organism: Homo sapiens; assembly: GCF_000001405.40. Classification (NCBI taxonomy): domain Eukaryota; kingdom Metazoa; phylum Chordata; class Mammalia; order Primates; family Hominidae; genus Homo; species Homo sapiens. The sequence goes on along the minus strand of NC_000017.11, from coordinate 78,616,430 downwards.
TCCACCCTGTAGTCTTGTCATCTCTGTTGACACTCAGGAGGCTGTGGAGGACAGTATCCCTCGAGCACCCCAGATGCACCAGTGCCCCTCTAATGCTTCAGCCAGAGGGGTCCTCTGGACCTTCTTAGGGACAATGGTCAGGGCTGCGTTCTCAAATCTCACTTGGCGAAGTCGTCTGGCTTCTCCTTCTCTGGACGTGGAGAAGTCGTCTGGCTTCCCCTTCCCTGGACATGGCAAAATCATCCGGCTTGCCTTTCCCTGGACTTGGCGAAGTCGTCCGGTTTTGCCCCTTCCGGGGCCTTCTGACCCCTACCTCAATGCTTTGCCAAGGCAGTTCCAGCCTCTCCTAATTTACTGTAGGTCTTCATAATATGAAAGCCTCCAGGAGCCACCCAGGCAGTGTAGGAAGAAGGTTTCAGGGCCTCAGGCCACTCCACCTCAGATCACAGGACCGTGATTGCATGCTGGTAAATTCTCCCCGACTGAGCCTTCTCTCCCGACCGCTGGTCCCACACCCTCAAGACCCGCTCCCCACATGCGCTCCTGGTTCTTGCACATGAGCCAGACCTTATGGTCCTTTGGACGTGTATGCGATTTCCTCCTACAGCAGGTGGTTTGGGGTGGGGGCTCCCCAAGGCCAGCCACACACTCAGTGATGGACCGGAAGGGCTCATGGGACACAGCGTGTGGTTTACTCGCAGCCGAGGCCCAGTACGGTGAGAGGATACACAATAGGACCAGCAGGGGAAAGACATGGGTAGGGGCTGGGGAGGCCCACACACAGGCCTCTGTTTTCTCTTCCTACTAGGAGGGGTGTGTTAGTCCCTTCCCACACTGCTAGAAAGAAATGCCTGAGCCTGGGTGATTTATAAAGAAATGAGGCTGGCCGGGTGCAGTGGCTCACTTCTGTAATCCCAGCACTTTGGGAGGCCAAGGCAGGTGGATCACTTGACGTCAGGAGTTTGAGACCAGCCTGGCCAATATGGTGAAACCCCATCTCTACTAAAAATATTTTTTAAAAAATTAGCTGAGCATGGTGGTGGGCACCTGTAATCCCAGCTACTAGGGAGGCTGAGGCAGGAGAATCACATGAACTTGGAGGCAGAGGTTGCAGTGAGCCGAGATTGAGCCATTGTACTCCACCCTGGGTGACAAGAGCGAAACTCCATCTCAAAAAAAAATAATAAATAAAAAGAAATGAGGTTTCATTGGTGCATGGTTCTGCAGGCTCTCAGGTATAGGAAGCATGGTGGTATCTGCTTCTGGGGAGGCCTCAGGGAGCTTTCAATCATGGCGGAAGGCAGAGCAGGCATAGGTGTCTTACATGGCAGGAGCAGGAGAAAGAGAGAGACGAGGGAGGTGCTACACACTTTTTTACATACTTTTTTTTTTTTTTTTTTTGGAAACAGTGTCTCTTGCACAGGCTGGAGTACAGTGGCATGATCTTAGCTCATTGCAACCTCCACCTCCCAGGTTCAAGCAATTCTTCTGCCTCAGCCTCCTGAGTAGCTGGGATTACAGGCACCCACCACCATGCCCAGCTAATTTTTGTATTTTTAGTGGAGACAGGGTTTCGCCATGTTGGCCAGGCTGGTCTTGAACTCCTGACCTCGAGTGATCTGCCCACCTCGGCCTCCCAAAGTGCTGGGATTACAGGCGTGAGCCACTGTGCCCAGCCAGTGCTACACACTTTTGAACAACCAGATCTCACGAGAACTCACTCACTATTGGGAGAACAGCACCCAGGGGGATGGTGCTAACCCATTCATGAGAACTCTGGCCCCAGTCACCTCCAAATACCTCCCACCAGGCCCCACCTCAAACCCCAGGGATTACAGTTTGACATGAGATTTGGTGCGAACAGAGATCCAAACCATATCAAGGGGGCACGTTGTCCTCCCTTCTCCAGTAGCGAGAACCTCAACCACACGAGACTCAGAATGTGGAATCTGTATTGGTTTGTTCTCATGCTGCTGATAAAGACATACCCGAGACTGAGTAATTTATAAAGAAAAAGAGGCTTGATGGACTCACAGTTCCATGTGGCTGGGGAGGGCCCATAATCTTGGCGGAAGGTGAAGGGCACGTCTTACATGGCGGAAGACAAGAGAGAATGAGAGCCAAGAGAAAGGGGAAACCCCTTGTCAAATCATCAGATCTCTTGAGACTTATTTACTACCATGAGAACAGTATGGGGCAAATCGCCCCCACAATTCAGTGATCTCCCACCAGGTCCCTCCCGCAACATGTGGGAATTATGGGAGCTACAATTCAAGACAAGATTTGGGTGGGGACACAGCCAGACCATATCAGAGTCCCAGCCACGTCACACAGAAGCCACTGCCAGCAACCTGCATGGCTGACAAGAGCCCCTCATTGTGGTTGTTCACCTGGCTACAATTCCTCCAGGATACGTTATTTTTCAGCCCATGTTTCTCATTTGATTAAAAGCCTCCCTGAAATCTAGTCACTGCACCTTCAAAAGTGCTATCAAAAAAAGGAAATTAGGTGGGGCCCGCTAATGAGGTTATCTGACTTTCATCAATGGGGATTCCATCTCCAGCTTGCTGAGCACGATGGAGAGATCCCAGCGATGACCCGGTCTGGCTTTCAGAGGCTGCTTAGCCTAAACCACCAAATACATAATTCATGCTTTGTACAGATTCTTGACACACACAGAAAAGATGATATCAACGCATCAGGCAAGGGTACGTCGTGACATTGTGAAATGTACTCTCTAAAGGTTATGAGACTCAAAGACATCTTTTTTGCGTGTGACGCAAGATGGGCACGTTCTCCAGAGGAGGAACGGTTTCCTTTCTCGTGACACCCTGCAAGAGGTATTTGCATGTGATTATCTTCTAATTGCAGAACAGAGCCTGAGAAAGCCATATGGAGGATGTGGCTGGCACGTGCGATTCTTTGCCTGATCCAGGAGAGGAAAGGTGCTGGTTACTGAGATCTCTCAGTCCTACATGCAAATGGAGACCAGATGGATTGAGGGTTTCTCCGTAGTTTTGGGCCTAGCCTTGCTTGAAAATCTTGACAATCATCAAAACTATCTTAAGGCTGGGCATGGTGACTCATGCCTGTAATCCCAGCACTTTGGGAGGCCAAGGTGGGAGGATTGCTTGAGTCCGGGAGTTCGAGACCAGCCTGGGCAACATGGCAAAACCCCGTCTCCACAAATAGTACAAAACATTAGCTGGGCCTAGTGGTGTGCTCCTGTAGTCCCAGCTACTGGGAAGGCTGAGGTGGGAGGATCACTTGAGCCCAGGAGGTCGAGGCTGCAGTGAGCTGTGGTCATGCCACTGCACTCCAGCCTGGGTAACAGAGTGAGACCCTGTCTCAAAAAAGAAAAAAAAACTATCTTAAGCAACATGAAACTCAAAGCCACCACAGCATCCTAATTATGTGTGTCTCTGGGACAATAGATAATGGCCTAATGCACGCATCTGCAAGATTGTGTAATGTTCCAAAGCATGGATGCACTATTGTTTATTTCCCGCGTTTTATTGTCTTTGTAGCTATTGTCACTGGGATATTTTTTCCCATTTATAACAGTTTTTTTCCTAATATAAAGGAAGGCTGCTGGGCGTGGTGGTGGGCGCCTGTAATCCCAGCTACTCAGGAGGCTGAGGCACAAGAGTTGCTTGAACCCGGGAGGTGGAGGTTCAAGCTACCAACCCGGGAGGTTGAGCTAAGGTCGTGCCACTGCACTCCAGCCTGGGTAACAGCATGAGTCTCCGACTCAAAAAAAAAAATAAATGGGGATCACCAGCGCCTCCCCTAAAATGAGGATTACCAGCGCCTCCTTAAATGGGGATCGCCATGCCTCTTTGGTGGGTGGTTGGAAGATTAGAAATAGTCGCACGGAGAAGGCTCCTGCCCAGCACCTGGCTTGTGGCAGGCACTGGCACACAAAGCTCAACCACAGATGCCTGAGAAGCCACGTTAGGAGTCACCCGTGTTCGCTGCTCAGCTTCCTTTAAATCCCATGGTGAGCGATCCAGAGCTGGCCAAAAAACTCGGATTTTGCTCTTGAAGAAGAGTGAAAATCCTGATGCCACCAGCTGCCATCGTGGCCTGCCACGTTCGCGGTGTCGCAGGTAAACTCACCATTGCCAAACCCAGAGGTCCCTCCTCCACCCGGGCTGCCACAGAACAGCCACAGGTGTTTCTGCTCCAGTTTTCCCCATCATCGCTTCCCTCCCCAGTGAAGTGGTGGGAGTTTGGGAGACTCAGAGGAGTCCTCCTCAAAGATTAGAAATAGTTGCACGGAGAAGGCTCCTAGAGGTGTGAAGTGAATAGACCAATCCGGGTAAAGCCACAGAGCAGAAATGACAATTCCAGATCTTGGTTTGAGTTTTTCCCCTGGATCCCTTCACGCAAAGAAGCATGACCCTCTGCAGCTGGAAGAGTCCGCTTTTATGCTTTGGGCCCCAGAGTGGGCTGTGTTTGCCATTCTTTCAGCCCTAGTTTAATCAACACCTGCGTTTTTCTGCCCCTGAGAGTGACTCACACATGGAAATATAAACTGGGAACTGTCTCCAGGCTCTGTGACAAGATCCAGCTCCGTCTGTAAGGGAAAGTTCTGCCCTCCCATCCCATTTTAGCTTTGTTTTGGTTTTCAAGAGGTCCCTAGGGCATTTGGTTTCCATCATTTTCCAACGTCTTCCAGTGGAAGGACCCAGCCAGCTCCCCGTGGAGGGTGCACATGCTCACACTCTTATTCCTGCCCCTGGAGTCTCGTTCCTTATGTTTGGAAAGCTGAAGATTTCCTCGGCATTGCATGGTTTATGTCAAATATCTGTGCACATTCAAAGCAAATGGACAGCTCCATCCATTTTAAGGTTCCTTGGTGTAACTTGAATGACCCAACTCTTGGTCGCTGGCATGGCTGTTGTTTTCGTAAATTGTGTGAGAGGCAGAAGCAGGTTCTCAAGTTAATAAAAAAGGCTGGGTGAAGAGCATGGCCTCAGACACCTCCTACCACACGTAGATAATTGAATCGTTGCCCTATGTGGACTTTGGGTGCCGGAAGAGCACCATGCTGGTTTTTAAAAAGCTGTTTCCCTGTTCTCAGCATGCAATTGATTTCCATGTCAAAGAAACCCTACTGGCCATCGACAGCTTTTTCCCAAGACTTCTGATGGGGCAAACATTTCCCAGTGTTTCCCGGGCAAAGATAGAGGTAAAGTGCCAGGTACTGAGGTTGCATGTGAGTTAGACAAACCCAGGGAAAGCCCGTGGAAGGGGGCTCGAGTTTGACAGGCAGCATCAGGTGGGTGAAAGCGGAAACTTGACAACTCTTGCAGGGAGCAGGGAGCTCTGGGTGAGTTAAACTCATTCGGCTCATGTCTAGAGGTGGCATTCATAACCCGGCCAGATGTCAGCAAGAAGATGGGCACAGGTCAGTCATGGGCTAGAGACTCACAGGTCCTCAAAGCTTGTCCAACAATTCCAGAGGAGGCTGGATGTGGTGGCTCACGCCTATAATCTCAGCACTTTGGGAGGCCGAGGCGGGTAGATCACCTGAGGTCAGGAGTTCGAGACCAGTCTAGCCAACATGGTGAAACCCTGTCTCTACCAAAAATACGAAAATTAGCCAGGCATGGTGGCGCACGCCTGTAATCCTAGCTACTCGGAAGACTGAGTCGCACCATTGCACTCCAGCCTGGGCAACAAGAGCAAAACTCCATCTCAAATAAATAAATAAATAAATAAACCCAAACAAAAACAAACAATTCAAGAGGAGAGCACAACACAACTGGAGTAAGGCTCCCATGATGACAGCACAGGTGTCCACGCTGGAAGGCTGTTGCGTGCTGCAGAGTTTGGTGTCTCATGGATTCAACCACAGGATACCGGAGGAGGAGCTTGGAGATAATCCGGCCAACTTATTTCACAGACAAGGACACCGAGGCACAGAGTGATGAGGTCCCTTTCCGGGCACACTGAGCTAGCCTGTAGTAGGCAGGTTTGAGAGCTGAGTTGATGGCCGTGGTCCTGTCCCAGGCTTTCCTGCATGGCCCGGCTGGTGCTGGGATGTGTTGCGTCTTCTCTCCAGCTTGCCACGTTGGTCTCTTCATTGTTAATGTGAAGAAAAGGGCATTTGTCTTAAGAGGAAGAGAAAGGCCATGAATTCCCTTTCCTTTTTTTTTCAGACCTGAGTCTCGCTCTGTGGCCCAGGCTGGGGTGCAATGGTGCGATCTTGGCTCACTGCAGCCTCCACCTCCCAGGTTCAAGGGGTTCCCCTGCCTCAACTTCCCAAGTAGCTGGGACTATAGGTGCCCGCCACCATGCCTGGCTAATTTTTTGTATTTTTAATAGAGATGGGTTTTGCCGTGTTGCTCTTTCCTTTTTTCTTGTGTCTTGGCATCCCTTTTCACAAAGATGCCGAGACGTAGGTTCTGGTCCTTTGCAGGGTCCCCAGCCCACACGCAGGCCCGGATGCTGTTACTGGCATCAACTTCGCCAGGCTCTGGACCTATCTTTGGCTGTCGGCTGCCGAGGACCAGCAGAAGACATGTTCTGGGTACACACAGAGGACTATGCTCAACCGCCAAGGATTCAGAAAATAGGAAATGGAGCTTCTTATGCCACTCTGTGAGAGTTCTGTTGGCAGCTGTATTTGGATAAACAGAAGTTTGAGATTTCGATGGGTTTCTGGTAGTCTGACCATGTCAAAAATTGGCCCACGTTACTAACACAATCTGTATCTGTCAAGATTTAACCAGAGAAACAGAACCAGCAGGAGACATAGGATATATATATGTGGATTTATTGCAGGAAACTGGCTTCTGTGGCTGTAGGAGCTGGCTAGACACATCAGAATTCATGGGCCTGGCCATCAGGAAGAGCAGCCTGGAACTCCTGGGCACGAGCTGAAGCTGCTGGCTGAGGTTTCCCCATAGAAGAAAAAAATTCCATCTGAAGCCAGCAGCTTTGGCCAGTGGTAGAGAGATGCCCCGTTCACAAAGGGCAGGGGGTGGTGTGGCAGGCACCCTTCCCGGGGACACAGTTTGGTGACTGTCCGCATTCCCCCAGGCAAGTGCGTGCAGGGGCATGAGGATGGGGCAGATTCCAAGAAGGCCTTGGCCCCCATCCCCCCTGGCCCTTCTGCCTGGGGTTTCTTTGTGGCTGAACGCTGCCTGGCCACACACAGCATCTGCACTCTCCAATGTTCTTGGCTTGGAAATCTTAGAAGCGTAGTTTTCCTGTGTCCCAGTTCTTTCGACTTTTTTTTTGTTTGCTGGCCTGGTACTTCTCTAACTATCTGGTAAGGACACATTTTTATTTTGTTTTAATTTCCAGTCCATCGTGGGACCCACACTTTTGTAAACCACGATAAAGATGAACTACCAGAAAAATGATGAAGCACTTAGACAACATGGCAAAGTGAAGTGGCTGTCAGCGTTTCTACCCGCTCGCTCTCAATTTCCACACTCAACGAGGCCCAGAACAGTCAGTTCCCGGACTGTCCCTGGAGCACAGGCCAGGCACCCTGGATGATTAACTGAGGGGTTCCATGAGTATTTCCTGAGCACTGTATGCTGAGCGCTGTTGTAGCCCATGGAACTAAACCTAGTACCCAATAGTTACTTTTTCTAAGCCACTCTCTCCTTCCACCCACCACCTTCAAGTAGGCTGCAGTGTCTGTTGTCCCCCTCTTTGTGTCCATGTGCCCTCATTTAGCTCCCACTTATAAGTGAAAATGTGCAGCGTTTGCTTTTCTGTTCCTGAGTTAGTTTGCTAAGGATAATGGCCTCCAGCTCCACCCATGTTTCTGCAAGGAACATGATCTCATTCTTTTTTATGGCTGCATAGTATTCCATAGTGTATATGTAACACATGTTCTTTATCCAGTCTACCACTGATGAGCACTGTGGTTGATTCCATGTCTTTGCTATTGTGAATAGTGCTGCAATGGACATATGCGTGTATGTGTCTTTACGGTAGAACAATGTATATTCCTTTGGATATATACCCAGTAACGGGATTGCTAGGTTGAATGGTAGTTCTGTTTTTAGCTCTTCGAGGAATTGCCATGCGGCTTTCCATAATGACTGAACTCATTTACATTCCCACCAACAGGGTATAAGTGTTCCCCTTTCTCCACAACCTCACCAGCACCTGTTGTTTTTTGACTTTTCAATAACAGCCATTCTGACTGGTGTGAGATGGTACCTCGTTGTGGTTTTGATTTGCGTTTCTCTCTAATGATCAGTGATGTTGAGCTTTTTTTCATATGCTTGTTGGCCACACGTACGTCTTCTTTTGAAAAGTATCTGGAACTTTGCTTTTAATGAGGGATACAGACAATAAATTAACATAATAAATAAGTAAATTAAACAATACTTTAGAGGGCGGTGCATCCTAAGGAAAAACTAAAGCAGAGAAGAGGGATGCCAATGATGAGTTGGTTTCTTTTTTCCTGTTGGATGGGGGTGTTGCCATCAGGGATGAAAACAAATGAAGTAAACCCATCTATTGAAAGGAATTCACAGTTGTCCTTATCAATGAATACTTTTTTTTTTTTTGAGACAGGGTCTTGCTCTGTCCCCTAGGCTAGAGTGCAGTGACATGATCTAGCTCACTGCAAACTCTGCCTCCCAGGTTCAAGTGATTCTCCTGCCTCAGCCTCCCGAGTAGCTGGGATTACAGGTGCCTGCCATGACAACTGACTAATTTTTGTATTTTTAGTGGAGACAGGGTTTCACCATATTGGCCAGGCTGGTCTGGAACTCCTGACCTCAAGTGATCCACCCATCTCGACCTCCCAAAGTGCTGGGATGACAGACATGAGCCACCCCGCCCGGCCACATTTTTATTTTAACAAGATTTTCTCATCAACAAACACACAAAGATGCATGCAAGATGAGAATTTCTGAACCAACCATTGATACACACAGGGAAGACTTCAGGGCAGTTAACATCTGGGGCTAGGGGAAATCTCTCTGCATTTGCAGGGGAGAGCTTGGGCAGGCCCAGGAGGAATTTCTGAAAGGAGCCGGGAGGAGAGAACAAGAGGACGAGATAAAAGATAATGGAAAAGACGAATGGTGTTTAGAAAGCCAGGTACCCACCACCCATGAAGCTTAACAGGAGGAAGAAGTTTCTCACTGGGCTCATTTTCCCAGTTACCTCGGCAGGAGGAGGCGTGGAAGGAGGGCTCCAGAGTCCCATACACTTCACACAATGCAGACAAGCTGGGAAATCAGTAATCTTGTCACAATTAGCAACTCTTTAGCAACAATAACGTGCTCACTGGTTTAGCTCAGTGGACTGGGTGTTCAACTGTGAAAGAGAAGAACAAAATTAAGGAATGCACACAAAAGGCTGGGAAGAGAGTGTCAACACTGTCTAAAAGCTGCAGTGAAATTAGTACTTTCTAGCTTGCAAGGTGAAAAAGATTCCATGAGACCATGTGAGTTTATTGTTCTACTTGGCAGTATATAAAATGGAGGCAGGTGACCATAATAGGTGAGGCTTATTCAGCACCCACTGTGTACACCAGGACTGTTCTAAGAGCTTTATATATATGTATATATATATATATACACACACACATATATATATGCGTGTTTGTGTGTGTGTGTGTGTGTGTGTATATATATATATATATATATATATATATATATATATATATATATATATACACGTATTATACACGTATATATATAGGGTTTTTTTTTGTTTGTTTTTTTTGAGACAAGGTCTCGCTCTGTCACCCAGGCTGGAGTGCAGTGGTGTGATCTTGGCCCACTGCAACCTTCGCCTCCGGGGTTCAAGGAATTCTTGTGCCTCAGCCTCCCGAGTAGCTGGGACTACAGGCGTACACCACCATGCCCAGCTAATTTTCGTATTTTTAGTAGAGACGGGGTTTCCCCATGTTGCCCAGGCTGGTCTCGAACTCCTGACCTCAGGTGATCTGCCCGCCTCGGCCTCTCAAAGTGCTGGGATTCCAGGCATAAGCCACCACGCCTGGCCAGAGCTTTGGAAATATTAACTCACTGAATCGTCACAACCACCCTGGGAGCTAGGTACATCTCTTATGCCCCACTCAGAGATGAGGAGACTGAGGCTGCCCTGTGTGAGCTTGCACTGTAAGAAGTGGGCATGCCAGCATGCAAACCCTGCTGTCATATTTTCTTCTAACTTGGCCTTGAGATCTCTCTCTGGAGAGTATCCATTGGCCAAGAGAGCCACTTTCTAGGAGAACCGTGACCAGGAGCAGAGTTAGGTTGGGGGGCGCCGGTCAGGTGCGATGGGTGGGGGGCAGCTCAGTGGAAGACAGGAAGACACTGAAGTGGTTCATTACTCACAGGTCCTGGAGTAATAATACCTAATAAACCTCCTGGATGCCCAGGAGGACTGATGGGCAGTCCAGAGACAGCAGAGAGCTCATTCAGTGGGTGGGGGCAGGGGAGAGAGGGATCTGTGGACCAAAGGCTTTATTGGGGTCATGGGAATTACCCGGCAAGTTTCCCACAGGGAGTTCCCATTGGTGGGTTTGGAGCATCACGAGCTCTGTGGGGTCACCCTGTGACTGAAGGGTGGTCACTGCACAGTCCGTGTGGGGTGTGGGATCAGTGGGGTGAGTCCAGTAGGCTGCACGTAGCTATCCCAGCTTAGCTGATAAATACTAACTCGTTCAATCCTCACAACCACCCTAGGAGCCAGGTGCTACTGTTATGCCTCAGTCTCCTCCTTTCTGAATGGGGCATAAGAGACGTACCTAGCTCCTAGGGTGGTTGTGAGGATTGAGTGAGTTAATATTTATAAAGCTCTTAGAACAGTCCTGGTGTATACAGTGGGTGTGAATCAGCCTTACCTATTTTTATCACCTGTCTCCATTTTATGTACTGCCAAGTAGAACAATAAAGTCACATGGTCACATGGAATTTTTTTCACCCTGAAAGCTAGAAAGTACTAATTTCACTGCAGCTTTTAGACAACCTTGACACTCTCTTTCCAGCCTTTTGTGCACATTCCTCAATTTTGTTCTTCTCTTTCACAGTTGAACACCGAGTCCACTGAGCTAAACCAGTGAGCAGATTATTGTTGTTAAAAAATTGCTTCGGGAGGCTGAGGCAGAAGAATCGCTTGAACCCGGGAGGCGGAGGTTGCAGTGAGCTGAGATGGCACCATTGCACTCCAGCCTGGGCAACAAGAGTGAAACTCCATCTCAAAAATTAAATAAATAAAAAATAATAAAAGAATTGCTAATTCCAGCTGAGTACGGCAGCTCATGCCTGTAATCCCAGCACTTTGGGAGGCTGAGGCCGGGGGGATCACAATGTCAGGAGTTCAAGACCAGCCTGGCCAATGTGGTGAAACCCCATCTCTACTAAAAATACAAAAATTAGCCAGGCAGGTAGTCACCAGGAGATGGTGGTATAAGGCAGGTCTCTGGATCAACTGCCTTGAGGAACTGGGAGGAAGAGGAGAACTGGAAGCTGGGTTGAGGGTGACTGTGCCCTGCTTCTGGCCTGAGAATGTATATTCAGAATGGATGCAGAAGCAACTCATTACACCCGGCAATTTGGCTCCATATCTGGGCTCCTGCCTACGATGCCATCCTGCCTCTCAGCAAGCACCCATCATCCTTCTTGGCGAGTTGGGAAATGCTGTCCCGGGTGGAGGGAACACCCCTGCTTCCCACCCAGGGTCCCGGCACCCAGGACCCCCAGAGCACGCCATTTCAGCCCACTCAGAGAGGGAGTGCTGGGACATCATCTGTCCCTCAGCGAGGCTCCTTATGCCCAGGGCACGAAGCTGGAAGGTTTTAGAAAGCCTCTTGCTGGCTTTGCCAGGACGGTCTGAGACCAAGCAATTAGAATGAACAACAACAACAAAATGTCTGCGTTGTCTTGACTTTGAGAAGAGAACAAACAGGTCCAAACCCACAGTAGCTAAGCCTGCCCTGTCTGAGGGTGGCCTCTCCGCAGCAGCTCCATCTTCTCCTGGAAATGGATGAAGACTTCCCAGATGAGAACAAGCAGAGGCTGTCTACTCAGAGCTCGCTAGGGTAAGGAGTCAGCCACCAGGCTGGCGCTGGGGAGGGACTCAGGCAGGTGGAGGAGGGGAGGCTCCGGAGGGCCTGATTGGAGGCTGTTGGCACAGGGAGGCTGGCGTGCGGCTGGTTACAAGCGGGCCTTGATTGGTCAGGGGAACGTATTTGCTTTTTTCTGGTTGGTCCTGAGTTGGAAACAGGGACAAAAATTAGGGAAGCTGGTGGTCCCTGCCCAAGTCCTGGCCAGCTTGGCAGGATGGCTGCAGAGGTGGTGGGCCAGAGTTCTGTTGTCCTATAGGGTCTGGCTGTGGCCCGACTGTGTGCTCGACCTCTTTTTTTTTTTTTTTGGAGACAGAGTTTCGCTCTTGTCACCCAAGGCTGGAGTGCAATGGGGCAATCTCGGCTCATTGCAACCTCTGCCTCCCGGGTTCAAGTGATTCTCCAGCCTCAGCCTCCCCGGTAACTGGGACTATAGGCACGCACCACCACGCCCGGCTGATTTTTGTATTTTTAGTAGAGATAGGGTTTTCCATGTTGGCTAGGCTGGTCTCGAACTCCTGACCTCAGGTGATCCACCTTCTTCAGCCTCCCAAAGTGCTGGGATTCCAGGCGTGCACCACCACGCCCGGCCTTGATCTCTTGCACTAAGTGAGAAAGTTCTCCAGGATCCTGGGACTGGGGTTCCCACGAATTCCACGGCATCGTGCTCTGATGGACAGCAGTTCCCAGGAACACCAAAGACCATGGCACCAATGGGAAGGACTCGCAGACCCAGGTGCTGGGAGGCGCTACACCCTTGGGTGGGAACGGAGGGCCACACTGTGGGTTTCCCGAGTGGCCTCCATAGTGACTGCCAGAGCCCTATGCGGTCCTCTCTGCAGGGACTAAAATGACCCCCAGGAGCTCTCTGCCTCCACGGTTTGAGATAGCCAGGCAGCCTAGAAAAGCCAGGGAGCTTGGAGGTAGGGGTACTGAGAGGGGAGGGAGGCCCACTCAGGGTGCTGGTTCCTGGCATCCTCTGCCCAAGCATCTTCCTACGCACTTATCCGGGGCTACACTGTGATACAGAATGGGAACTGTCCCACGGATCCGGCGATGGCTCAGCTATCAGAGCTGATGGGTCTCACTGCACAGAGGGCCTCAGTGCCTCCCATGACCTAAAATTCGAAAGCAGATGAATACACCCCAAGCACCCCTAACAACCCAGCTCTAAATCTACCTTGGCCTCTGCTGAACCCCTGTGTGTCCCTGTTTTTAGCCAGCGCCACCTTTGGGGTTAAGAAGCCCCTTATCTCTGCCATCTGTTGCCAAGGGAGGTTTGGGGTTTTCTTTTCTTCTCTGCCCTCCTGGTTTCTTTTTCTAGCAGTGCCAAGACTAGGTGGGTGCAATTTTTCCTTGGGCACAAAATCAGTGGGAAGTCAAGGGGTTGGGCCAGAGTGACCGATTCTTCCTTTTGCCTCTGGTTCCAATATCGGCTACAGCACTATCGCTAATCCTGTCTTTATGGCAAATTTGGATATTTTGTTATCATGAATGTTTGCATTAAATTTGGTTTTCTTCAAATATTGCATTTAAATATGAGTTATCTCTGTCACTGAGCTTTGGGGGCCCCCTTCAATTGTGCACCCCAGGCGAGGGCCTCGCTGGCCTCCGTGCTCCCTCCCTGCTGTGGAGCCCACAGTGCCCCTCCACGTGGAGTGTTCCTGGGTGGGTGAGTAGACCCCTCACAGTGTAAATGGATTTTTAGGTTTCAGTCATGATTTCTGCATAACCTTTTGTTAATTAATAATTAATTCATTGTACAAATATTTCTTGAGCCAGCTCTGGTCCAAGAACTGTGGCAGGTGCCAGGATTCAAGAGGGAGCAAAGCCTTTGCCCTAATGAAGCTCATGGGTGTCTTCCTCGCCTGTAGACCCTGCGGCTCTGCAAATCCCCGGCTGCTCAACCTTGTCGGGGTGGATGAGAAGGGGTCCTGGGAGGGGCCTGGGAGCCAGCATTGCCCCCACTCAGATTTTGAAGTCCCTGGTGGGCAACATGCATATTGGGAGAGGGAGCTGAGCCAAATGCCTCGGGCCCTCAAGACAGGCTTAGATGTCTCCAAGGGGGAAAAGCTTCCTTCGTCCAGGCATTCCTTCTATCATGGAAACAACTGTCAGAACCAGCATGTGAGACACCTGCGTGGACAAAGAGCAGACGGAGCTGGATGACTTTGGGGAGCCCCATCCTCTCCCACCCTAGGCAGGCACATTCCTGCTCTTTTATAAACACACTTAGGGTTTCAGAAACAAGTTCCCCCAGCCCCCAGCCCAGGACCTCACAAGCAGTTGGTGATGTGTTGAAGAAACAGTGATGAATGAACGCACCCCATAAACAGTCCATCTTTAAAACCCCCAGGTGTCATCTGTCTTGCAAATCCAGAGATGTAGTTGCTATTAGATCAGCGTTGCTGCTGACAGCAGTCATTTCTATTTGCCTTGTAGGGGAGACTTTCAGCTGTTTGTAAGTTGGAGTTCATGGGCACTCTGTACTTTTCCTTACTAGGAATCAGAGAAAGGTGGGCCCCTGGGTGTCCTTCAGCACCAAGCCTGGTCATGACGCTGGAATCTCCCGACCTGGACCTTCGCAGGTTCTCGCTGTGATGCCATTTCAGTAAAGCTGTGTGTGACCTTGGGCAGGTTCCCAGCTATGTGGGTTTCTTCACAGGATTTCTCATTTTTGGGCATTAAAAGGACCAAAGGTCGGCCGGATGAAGTGGCTCACGCCTATAATCACAGAACTTTGGGAGGCTGAGGTGGGAGGATTGCTTGAGCTCAGGAGTTTGAGACCAGCCTAGGCAACACAATGAGACCTCGTCTCTACAAAAAAAATTTTAAACTATTAGCTGGGCATGGTGGTGCATGCCTGCAGTCCCAGCTACTCAGGTGGCTAAGGTAGGAGGATCACTTAAGCCCAGCAGGTCACAGATGCAGTGAGCCGTGATCATGCCACTGCACTCCAGCCTGGGTGACAGAGTGAGACCCTGTCTCAAAAATAATAATAATAATAATAATAATAATAATGATTTTAAAAAGGTCCAAAGGTCTAAATCATAACTTCAGTCTCTCACCCGCTAAAGAGCTTCTCCCTCATCCTCATTCTCATCCCCATCTCTCCTCCCCGACCCCCACCTCCACCCCCACCTTCACTCTCAGCTCAGGCCTGGCTGTGTAATGTAATCATTGATAGGAATGAATGTAAACCTACTGTCTTGCTATTTGTTTTCAACTTGTTCCATCCATCTCTCATTCGCTTCCCCTGTTTCTCTGCTTTCTTTCAGACTAGGTTATTTTTATTTATTTTTTGAGACAGAGTTTCACTCTTGTTGCCTAGGCTGGAGTGCAATGGTGCAATCTTGGCTCACCGCAACCTCCACCTCCCTGGTTCAAGCAATTCTCCTGCCTCACCCTCCCAAGTAGCTGGGATTACAGGCATGTGCCACCGTGCCCGGTTAATTTTTGTATTTTTAGTAGAGGCGGGGTTTCTCCATGTTGGTCAGGCTGGTCTCAAACTCCTGACCTCAGGTGATTCGCCTGCCTCAGCCTCCCAAAGTGCTGGGATTACAGGTGTGAGGCACCACGCCTGGCCCAGACTATGTATTTTATGATTTCATTTCATCTCCATGATTGTCTCCAGGGCTGTACTTTTGTGTTTCTTGGCAGTCATTCTAAAATTCACAGTAGATTCGCTTTTTGGCTTGAATAGCTGGCAGAGGAGGAAAGTGACTGTAAGAAATTAAATGTGTCAATTACAATGTCTGTAATTCACTCGAAAACACCCCACCATCATTAGTGTGATGTCATGTATGTGAGAAGGTTGAAGCTTTAACTTGACGAATTAGTCATTGACTTACTTGCACTCTCATAGGCACAGGCCAGGTGGTCAGCCGGCGTTTTATCAGAAAGAGCCACCCTCTCGAGGTGGTGACTACAAGTCCTGCTATTGGCATCCCCATTTGCAACCGGCACTTTGCCAAAAGGGTGTCAAAAATAGCTTCTTTTCTATTGTTGAGATTAGAGACTGGCTAATGACCACCAGGGTATGTGAGTCCGCTGTGGTTTGGAGACCTTCCCTGCCCCTGCGCAGACAGGGTGGAAGAGTCCCCCCGGCCTGCACCCTTCACCCCTTAGGGGTGGCTGCAGCAGGAGTCCTAGGAGGTCCTTTGTCCAGCCAGGGGTACTGGGGGATTCCCACAGCATGACGCTGACCAGAGGCAGTGAGATTGCAGTATAATCCCAGCACTTTGGGAGGCCGAGGTGGGTGGATCACCTGAGGTCAGGAGTTCAAGACCAGCCTGATCAACATGGTGAAACCCCGTCTCTACAAAAAATTAACTGGGCGTGGTGGTGGGCATCTGTAATCCCAGCTACTTGGGAGGCTGAGGCAGGAGAATCGCTTGAACCCGGGAGGTGGAAGTTGCAATGAGCTGAGATTGTGCCATTGCACTCCAGCCTGGGTGAAAAAGTGAGACTTCGTCTCAAAAAAAAAAAAAAAAAAAAAAAAGGAGATCCTGCTGGGTGCCCATGTGCACTTTCAGGGCACCTATGGGACAAACTTTAGATGTCGGTCATGCTTGCAGGACATATGAATGTTTGGTGCCTGCTCTGCTGATTACTGTTTGTATAATAAATGCCATTTTGTGTGGTAGACTCTGCTCCGAGCCTTGCTTTATGATCATCTGGCTGTGAGATTGGAGGTGGGGGGGGCTAGCTCTCCCCTCTGGGATATTTTGGTAGCTGCTGCCATGAACAAAAAGAGCTTTCTAGTTGTGCACCATATGGTCTTATCACAGCTTGCTGAATCCCAATAAGACCCCACGGATAGAGTTACATCATTCGCTCTGTTGATTACATCATGGTATTCACTGTTCATTTTCAGCTACCAATAATGCAATGATTTTTCCCCTGAAATGTGACTAGGAAATTTCCATTTCTCTTCACGTCAGTCAGGTTTTCTTGTAAACAAATGGTACTAGCCCTTGAGGATTTCTAAAGAAGTAACAACATGATTGAAAGTATACAAATATGAGAGTTTCTAATAAGTGAAAGAGTTAGATCATATTCGGCAACAAAAACAGTATAACCATAGAGATACTTCCCAACATCTATTTTCAAAACAGTGTGATCTGTAGGAAGAATTTGCTTCAAAAGTAGTTATTTTCTCATTCATTGTTAAGACATTATCTTGGCATTACAGAAGTGGAGTGTGTGTGTGTGTGTGTGTGTGTGTGTGTGTGTGTGTGTGTTTAAATATCTGCTGGGTAGCAATTTATTGACTAAAAGCTGCAAACATTTGTTAAGAGAAAATTTCAAAGACCTAAATATACGGAGAGATACGCCATGCTCACGGATCAGAAGACTCAATATTGTAAAGATGTCAGTTCTCCCCAAGTTGATCTACAGATTTATTGCAGTCCCGACAAATATGCCAGTAGATAATTTTTTAAAAATAGGAATTCACAATCTGATTCTAAGATTGCTATGGAAATGTGAAGGACCTAGGCTAACCAAAACGCCTTTGAAAAGAAGAACACGGCCAAGGCGCGGTGGCTCATGCCTGTAATCCCAGCACTTTGGGAGGCCGAGGCGGGCGGATCACGAGGTCAGGAGATCGAGTCCATCCTGGCTAATACGGTGAAACCCCGTCTCCACTAAAAATACAAAAAAAAAAAAAATTAGCCGGGCGTGGTGGCGGGCGCCTGTAGTCCCAGCTACTCGGGAGGCTGAGGCAGGAGAATGGCATGAACCCGGGAGGTGGAGCTTGCAGTGAGCTGAGATCGCGCCGCTGCACTCCAGCCTGGGTGATAGAGTGAGACTCCGTCTCAAAAAAAAAAAAAAAAAAAAAGAAGAAAGAAAGAAAAAAAAGAACACAATTGCAAGACCTCCACTGCTCCATTTTTAAAACTTACTATAAAGCTCCAGTAATCGTGACAGTGTGGTGTCGAAACTGCCTTTGCAAACTGATGACTGAGACAGTGAAAGATCTGACTTAACCGACCCCATCTTGCTTCTAACCTCCAAGCTGTCCTTGCTCATTCTTGGCCGTGGGTGGAATGAGCTCATTCCAAAGCTCATTCCTGAACTAGCTTTGGGAGAAACTTAGTTTATAGTTTATAACTCTATGATTTATGGTTTAAAACAAAGACGATAACAGCCCCTTCCCAAGGCAGACCTTCTTGCCTGGGGACTAGATTGCCTTTGTAGGACTAACATGAGCCACAAGATTAGAAATCGTGGTTTAGGAGTCACGTGGCTGGAAGTGACAAGATTCTGACCCTCCCAAAACTGCCGCTCTTGCTTCAGTGATTCTGCCGCAGATGCTATGCTGTGATGTGGATGGCTGAGCATGGACCCTGAGGAGCTTGGCTGTGTGGATTTCAGAGATCTCTGGCTTATGCCTTGTGAGGAAAATGGACATCTTGGATAAGAACATATGTCCCCATTGGGGCTTGGGTTTAGACAACAGATACGAGGCAAAGACCACGGAGCAACCACTGTGACGATTCATAGGTTTGCGAGACATGAGGTGTACATTTTCTGCAATTCAATAGTCTCAGCAACTGACAAAATGGGAGGTGTATAACCTATAGAACTTCTGGGGGTAAATAAGACATCAATCAATACATATAAGGTATACATTGGTTCGGTCTGGAAAGGTTTGGGACAATTCGAAGTTGGGAGCTTCCAGGTCATTCTAAATACCAGTCATGCTGTAAACCAACAGATGCCAGCACGCAAGGCCCAGCCAGCCCGGTAACTAACCATTTGCCTTTTTTAGGGCTTTCTATGAGGTCAGTAAACATTTTGAAAGGCTAAGTAAGGTTTTCCTCTTCCTGTTTCCTTGTGCTCTGAACCTCCCTAACCTGCCCCCTGGGCCTGCTGGCCTGGCTACACACACTGCCCCAGGCAAAAATGGTTGGAGGGATCTGTATGGGACTTTGATGAGAGCTGGTTTAGAGAAGGTGAGGATGGAGGTCAAAGCCACAGAGGCGGCTGAGGAGTGGGTGGGCTATGGGCTTTTTGAATCCGCTACTTGAAGCAGAGGGATGGGGTGGCAGCTGGAGGGGGGTGGCAGCTGGAGGGAGGTGGCCTTGTCTTGTTTTTGAGATGCGGGATTCTATGGCATATTTGCATTTTGGTGGCAGCGAGCTGGTAGACGAGGAGAAAGTGGGGGTAGGGACAATAGCAGGCAAAAAGTTTCTGAGAAGGCAACAGAGAGGAATAGTTTAGAAATGGGAGTTTGCCTCTCCCAATTACTGGGGTGACTGAAGCGGACCCAAATCTAGCCCTCTGCCTGTTTTAAGTAAAGTTTTATTGGCACACAGCCACGCCTATTCACTTACATATTGTCTGTGACTGCTGTAGAACTCCAGTGTCAGAGTTGAAATGCTGCCGCAGAGATCATCTGGCTCTCAAAGCCTAAAGTACACCCTGGCCCTTTGTGGGAGGTTTGCTGACCTCTGCCACCCCTAAGGTAGGCTGTGAACTTGAAGGAAGGGTTAGGGGCAGACCTAGCCCCTTGCAAAATCCTCAAAAATCCCTGTGAGCAGCTGTGAGCTCAGAGTTTTTGCATTTCAGCAAACTCAGAGAACTCAGAGTTTACAAATTTCCAGCCACAGAGAGTTCGCAGCCTGATGAGGAGTTTGCATTTTCCTCTCTCAGGAAGCCGTTTGCTACAGTGCAGATGTGGCCAGGAGGCCAGTGTGTCACACTGATCATGGTGGCATGTGCCTGCAGTCCCATTATGCAGGAGGCTGAGGTGGAAGGATTACTTGAGCCCGGGAGGTCAAGGCTGCAGTGAGCTGCGATCATATCACTCCACTCCAGCCTGGGTGACAGAGTGAGAACCTGTCTCAGAAAAAAAAACGCCAGCTCATATTAATTAAAAAATAGATATAATCCAAAACATATTTTCCGATAAATAGACAAATATACACACTGGGCCCAATACTCATTCCTTACAAGTACAAATTACATGTCTTCCTAAAAAAGAAGCTTCCTAACCATGAGACAGTCAACACTGGTCTTATAAACATAACTGGATGGTGGATTTATGAGCAAAAGAGAAAACTTACAAAATGAAATAAATATAAAAAGCCGTGTTTACTCATTTCTGCTTGTGAGCATAATTTCGCATAGCCCCTGACTCTGTGCTGACATGTAACTCTCCACAAAAATATTTAAAAGACAAAACAAAACACCTGCCCCTTCAACATCTCTTACCTAAGTCACTATATTCCTTAAAAAATACCTGACCTGGCCAGGCGCAGTGGATCACACCTGTAATCCCAGCACTTTGGGCTGAGTGAGCAGCTGTGAGCTCAGAGGTTTTGCGTTTCAGCAAACTCAGAGAACCCAGAGTTTACAGATTTTTGGCCGAGGCCGAGGCAGGCAGATCACCTGAGGTCAGGAGTTCGAGACCAGCCTGACCAACATGGAGAAACCCTATCTCTACTAAAAGTACAAAATCAGCCGGGTGTGGTGGCGCATGCCTACAATCCCAGCTACTCGGGAGGCTGAGGTGGGAGAACTGCTTGAAGCCGGGAGGCGGAGGTTGCCGTGAGCTGAGATCGTGCCATTGCACTCCAGTCTGGGCAACAAGAATGAAACTCTATCTCAAAAAAAAAAAAAAAAAAAAAAAACCTGACCCCTTGTTGTTTCCTACACACATGGTAACCACTGATGAGAGTCACAATGTTGATGAGAAAACCAAACTCTGTAAAATATTCAGAGATGCTTATCCTGAGCCAACATGAGCAACCACAGTGGCAGAACTGTCTCAAGAGTTCCTGAGAAAGTGTGCCCAGGGTGGTGAAGTTACAATTTGGTTTTATACTGTTGACAAAAAAGAGTCAAACTGTGTGAAATATTTGAAGAGATTTATTCTGAGCCAAATATGAGTGACCAGTGGCCCCCGGAGATCCTGAGAACGTGTGTCCACGGTGATTGGGTTCCAGCTTGGTTCTATACATTTTATGGAGACATGAGGCATCAGTCATTACACGTAAGATGTACATTGGTTGGGTCCAGAAAGGCGGGACAACTGGAAGTCGGGGTGGGGGTTGGGGGGACTTCCAGGTCATAGGTAGATTCAAAGATTTTCGGATTGGCAATTGGTTTAAAGAGCTATTCTCTAAAGACCTGGAATGTCTGGGTTAAGATAAGGGGTTGTGGAGACCAAGGTTTTACCACACAGACGAAGCCTCCAGGAGGCAGGCTTCAGAGAGAATAGATGGTAAATGTTTCTTATCAGATCTAAAGAGTCTGTTCTATCAGTCTTAGGGTCTCTGTGTTGATGTTACTGCTGGTCAGCTGTGCCTGAGTTCCAAAGGGAAGAGGACATAATGAGGCATGTCCAACATCCCCTTCTAGGCTGGAGTTCCAGACCAGCCTAGGCAACATAGCGAGACTCTGTCTCTTAAAAAAAAGGTATCCCAGTTTGTGTAACAGATTCTGTGATTACCTTTTCCGTGTAATAGGCACTCTCAGAAAATATCTTCTGAATTGAATGGAATAATTTGGAACATAACGAAGTAATAGTTTTGCTAAAATGTTTAAAGTGTTGAACTGTTTTTCAGGTTGACTTTGGAAAGCCCTTGGCCAAGAGGAGAGGTCCATTCAGATGATGGGGGAGCTTAGAATTGTATTTTTGGTTTACAGTGCATTTTAGGGAGACCAAAGTTACAGGCAAAGACATAAATCAGTACATGGAGCGTATACATTGGTTCAGCCTAAAGTGGTGGGATACCTTGAAGTGGGAGTTGGAGGGCTTACAGGTCACAGGAAGATTCAAAGATTTTCCAATTGGCAATTGGTTGAAAGAGTTAAGCTTTGGCTAAAGTCTTGAGGTCAGTAGAAAGAAATGCTTGAGTTAAGATAAGGGGGGTTGTGGAGACCAAGGTTCTTGTTGTATAGATGAAATCTCCAGGTAACAGCCTTCAGAGGAAATAGGTGGTCAATGTCTCTTTTCAGACCTTAAACGTGTCAGACTCTTAGTATTTCCTAGATCTGGGAAAGACCTGGCTGCATTAATGGTGCTTTTCTACAGAATGCAAATTTCCCTCACAAAAGACAGCTTTGTAGGGCCGTTTCAACATATGTCACGCCAGTAATCCCAGCACCTTGGGAGGCCTAGGCGGGCGGATCATCTGAGGTCAGGAGTTCGAGACAAGCCTGGCCAACATGGTGAAACCCCGTCTCTACTAAAAATACAAAAATTAGCTGGGTGTGGTGGTGGGCGCCTGTCATCCCAACTACTCGAGAGGCTGAGGCAGGAGAATCATCTGAACCCAGGAGGCGGAGGTTGCAGTGAGCTGAGATGTGCCACTGCACTCCAGCTTGGGCAACAGAGCGAGACCCTGTCTCCAAAAAAAAGAAAAAAATATATTGTGGGGTAAAATATTTTGATTTCCTTCAGGGTCTGCCATCTGTCATGTGATACTACACCAGGGCCAAGTTGGAACATGGTATCTCATTGCCACAGGAGTCTCTTCTGCCAGACTTCTGATCTCTTTTCTAACCTTAGTGCTGGTCATCTGTGCCTAAACTCCAAAAGAGAGGGGATAGAGACCATCCTGACTAACATGGTGAAACCCCGTCTCTACTAAAAATACAAAAAAGTAGCCAGGTGTGGTGGAGGGCGCCTGTAATCCCAGCTACTCAGGAGGCTGAGGCAGGAGAATCGCTTGAACCTGTGAGGTGGAGGGTGCAGTGAGCCAAGATCGCGCCACTGTACTCCAGCCTGGGCAACAGAGCGAGACTCCGTCTCAAAAAAAAAAAAAAAAAAAAAAACAGAAACAAAAAAAACAAAGAGAAAGAGAGAGAGGGGATATAAGCAGGTATGCCTCACCTCCCTGGGAGATCGGGCTGGGAATTCAATTTTTCAGGTGACTATGTGGTCAACTTGGCCAAGAGGGGGTTCATTCAGTTGGTGGTGAGGCTCAGGATTTTATTTTTCATTTTTAATAATTATTCTATAATCTACAACCAGATATACTCTTATACCCAAGCTTTAATATAATTTTACACCTACTAAACCCCCACTACCTGTATATAAACTGTAAATTAAAACACTATTTCAAAACAGTCCGACAAACCCCCTCTAAAAGACTTCTCCCAGGCTGTGGTCGGTCTCTAGTCCTCAATAAAACTTCTAAATAAAACTAACTTTGAAATCGTAAAAAATAATTTTTTTCCTTCCTCAACATACTTTAGCACTAGCCAGGCAAGACAAGAAAGGCAGTAAGGACTGTTGCGATTCCTCGTTCCCATCTATAATTTTTTTTTTTTTTTTTTTTTTTTGAGAGAGAGTCTCCCTCTGTCACCCAGGCTGGAGTGCAGTGGTGTGATCTCAGCTCACTGCAATCTCCGCCTCCTGGGTTCAAGCGATTCTCCTGCCTCAGCCTCCCCAGTAGCTGGGATTACAGGCGCATGCACGCCCGGCTAATTTTTGTATTCTTAGTAGAGACGGGGTTTCACCATGTTGGCCAGGCTGGTCTCAAGCTCCTGACCTCAAGTGATCCACCTGCCTCGGCCTCCCAAAGTGCTGGGATTACAGGCGTGAGCCACCGCGCCCTGCCCCCATCTGTATTTTTAATAGAGATGGGGTTTCACCACGTTTGCCAGGCTGGTCTCAACTCCTCCTAGTTCCCTATTGCTTAAGAAGCCTTCAGGGAGGGAGGCCAGACTGCACGGAAACGCGCCTTGGGTAATTAATTCCCAAAGCTGGGTTGCGCCATCCACCGCGGTGCTTGACGCGGGGTCAGGAGGCGGCTTCCGGAGGCCAGCTAGTCTCTGCAGCGCGGATAATCTTCCCTCCCCACCGCAGGAGTCTGGTGCTCCTCAGAGATGAGCCCTGTCACAGTGGAATAAATGTCCTTGGGGTAGATTTCGAGACAGACAGACGTGAGTCAAACCACAGGCAGGAAATTTCATTTCCAGACTGCGCTCAAATTCTTTTTTCCTGACTCATGACATTCAAAACACATTTCATTTTACAGACCAAGCTGAGCGCCCTTCGGCCAGAGGCCCCGACCCCAGGGCCATGTGGTTCACTCCCTTCCTTCCCTTCAAGTTCAGAGTTAAACTTGAGAGCTTCCTGCAAACAGGACCAAAGGTCAACAGAAGCGCGGGGCAGGAAGGGGAGGGTGCTCTCTGAATGGGGGAAGCCCAGTGCCTTGCCGCTTTTTGACATCATTTGGACTCAGATATTTAACTTACAGCACTTGATTTTCATCATAGAGTTTTTTTTTTCCCAATATATTATAAACCAAGTCACTGAGGAAGAGATTATTCTATAATACAGTTTAGGGTTTAAAAAAATATATTCCAGGGCCGGGCACAGTGGCTCACGCCTGTAATCCCAGCACTTTGGGAGGCCAAGGCAGGTGGATTACCTGAGGTCAGGAGTTCGAGACCAGCCTGGCCAACATGGTGAAACCCCCCCCCCGTCTCTACAAAAAATACAAAATTAGCTGGGTGTGGTGGTGCACACCTGTAATTCCAGTTACTCTGGAGGCTGAGGCAGGAGAATCACCTGAACCCGGCAGGCGGAGATTGCAGTGAGCCGAGATTGTACCATTGCACTCCAGCCTGCACAAGAGTGAAACTCTGTCTCAAAAAAAATAAATAAATAAAATATATATATATATATATATATATATATATTCCAAAGAAAAGGGGTCTTTGTCCCTTTAAGGAAAGAAATTTGGTATTTCCAGATGTCTGGTAGAAGTTGAGCTACAACATGCTGGAAGCCCGGGGAGGGACCATTGACCTCCTAGAGCCCAGCCTGTCCTTGAATCCCCACCCAGCGAAGATGTGAAGTGAGCTGGGGCAAGGGGCATGATGAGCGGACGGACGGCCCGGAAAAGCCCAGGTAGGCGCCGGGCACTCCCTCTCTCCCTGCAGCAGCAGGAGGCACAGGCTGCAGGGTCACAGCCAGGGTCTCTCCTGCTAGGGAAACAGTCACCGTGAGCGAGCCCAGCCACCATGGCAGAGGTGACAGGTACTCCCGAGTTCTGAGCGCTCCTCTATCGTTCTGCTGTGCGCCTGGCTGCTCACCGGAAAGCATTTGTCTCTGAGTCCAATCCGCCCTGATTTCTCATTTGTTTGGTTGGTGATGGTTCTGCTGAAATAGACCCAGAGCAGCAAGGGTCACTTCTGAGGAGCGTGGACCCATGGAGCAAAGATTCCCCGCCCTGTGTGTACTTGGACCCAAACAGGTGCTTTGAAAGCCTCCACGCTTGGCCCCGACCCTCCAGTGCCCTTAATTCTCAAAGCGTCCCAGGTGATTCTGCCCGTGGCTAAGCAGAGAACCTCAGCCTTAAGTTACACCTGCCACTCAGGTAACCCGTGGGGCTTGTTGAAGGCAACTCAGGCCTCAGGTGTGAATGACCATAAAGCAGGGAAGGCTGGGCGTGGGGGTTCATACCTGCGCGCCGAGAACTTCGGGAGGCCGAGACAGGAGGATTGTCTGAGACCAGGAGCTTGAGACCAGCCTGGGCAACAACGTGAGTCTTACTTTTTTGTCTCTACAAAAAATAAAATTAGCCAGGCGTGGTGGCAAGGGCCTGTAGTCTCAGCTACTCGGGAAGCTGAGATGGGAGGATTGCTTGAGTCAAGGCCAGCCTGGGCAATATAGAAATACCCTTTCTTTCAAAAAATTAAAAAATAAAAAAAGCCAGGCATGGTTGTGTGCCCCTGTAGTCCCAGCTACTCAGGAGCTGAGGTGGGAGGTTGGTTTGAGCCCCAGATGTCAAGATTGCAGCGAGGTATGATTGTGCCACTGCACTCCAGCCTGGGCAGACAGCAAGACCCCTAAAATAGGGAAACACTGAAAGCCTTTTTAACAAGGATAACTGGCTACTTTCAGTGAATTTGCTTAAAACAGAAACCAAAATTTTACTCTAAATCAGTGACTCTCAAACCTTAGCCTGCATCAGAGTCCATTGGGGGCTTGTGAAATACAGATTGCTGCCCCACAATCTGGGGTGGCCCCGGGCTCTGTGATCCCAACGAGAATCCAGCTGATGCAGAGGCTGTTGGCCCAGGGGCCCCACTCTGAGAACCTCCGCTCTAAGTGGAGTGGCGGTGGGGGGGGGTGGGGAATAAAAATGAAAATTATAGAAGACTTGTGTTATCTAATTAATAAAAATGCAGGTTGCAGGTGCTGTCAGTTCTCAGCATAATCACAGCATGACCGAGCAGAGAGGAAGGGCAGGGAGGGGCGGCCCCATGCCTGCGGGCCGGACTGCCTTCTCAGCACGCGTCAGATGGACCGATGCCACCTGAAGGTGCTTGCGGTGGACACAGAATGTGCGGATGGGGAGATGGCAGGAGGGACAGGGCTTGGCGATGCTGACATCACAGGCAGCCCATGTGAAGTGGAAGGGTTCCTACTGAGGGCTGAGAACAGACACCAGCCCCCAGGAGCCAGACCACGCCCCAGGGGAGGGACGCGCCCTGCCTGGAGTCCTGAGAATCTACCTTTCCTCCTCCCCCAGATTCAGAACCCCCTTATTATGCTGAGGCCTGACAAAAGGCTCCCTCCTTGACCCAACTTCAGGCAGACTCTGCTGAGCCCTCTTTTTTTTTTTTTTTGAGACAGAATCTCACTCTATCACCTAGGCTGGAGTGCAGTGGTGCGATCTCGGCTCACTGCAACCTCTGCCTCTCTGGTTCAAGCGATTCTCCTGCCTCAGCCTCCCAAGTGGCTGGGATTACAGGCGCCTGCCACCACGCCTGGCTAATTTTTGTATTTTAGTAGGGACGGGGTTTCACCATGTTGGCCAGGCTGGTCTCAAACTTCTGACCTCAGGCAATCCACCCGCCTCGGCCTTCCAAAGTGCTGGGATTACAGGCGTGAGCCACTGTGCCTGGCCCACTGAACCCTCTTTTGATAAGGCCTCCGTTCTCGAGCCCGGTCCTCAGCCTGCCCACGCCAGTCTCAGCAGAGAATCCTACTGAGTCACCCCAACCCTTGAAATCTGATCGAGTTCCTCAGCACCTCTGCTTTCCCCCGGCCATATCCAGGTCCTTGGTCTGCCTTTAGCAAGAACCCCCACTTGAAGTTCTCCTCTTAGCAATTTTCCATCCACTGACCCCTCGCTGCTCATGGCTGTAAGTCCCCATCTGCAGGGTGGTGTTGGGATCAAGTTCGGCTCTTTCCCCGGTTGCAACATCCCGTATATGGTCTGTCCCTATCTCTTTGAGTCTACATGAGGTGTGTCTGTGACCACTGCCTGTGCCCCAGGTACGTCTCCCTGTGTGGGCGGAGGCAAACTCCTCCAGAGACCCCACACTGTTTCCCAGCCTGGATGGCTTGGAATCCATGCATTTCTGTGCTTTGTTGGGGGCCTCACCCTTAGGACCTGTGTGCAGAGACTCCTAAAGAGAAAAGGTTCCCAGGTCTCCACAGCGTGTACCCTTGCTGTGACCTTTGGAAACCTGGCTGGCAGGGACTTCTCTGGCCGCGGTGTCCTGCCCCTGAAGGGAAGGGTGGTCTACCTGGCCAGCCTGACTGCTCAGGCCCAGCCCTCCCTTTCCACCCAACTTCAAGGGTAAGGACGCGCCTGGGCAGGAGGACAAAGGCCACCTCCTGTTCCTCTGCTGGGAACGCAGCAGGAGGACACGCGGCAGGGCCCCAGTAGACAGAGGGAGGTGGGGAGCCTGATGAAACACAGACGGCCCGGCCTCTCCTGTCTGCAAGCATCCCCGGCAGCGGGAAAGGGACCTGCGATTTTCTTTAATGATGGGTAATGTCTTCATGAAATTTGCCTTCCAAGTTCATTCAGCTGGGAGGAAGTGTTGCCCCTGGGGATGACTGAGTTCTCTCAGCTCATCCCGGCCCTACCTCGATGTGGGCTGTGACTGACAGAAGCAAAAAAAGAGTGAAGGGCATCCTCGGCTGGTGGCCCTGGCAGGGAGGACTGAAGCCAGACACCCACTCCCCTGCCCCCAATCCAACACCCAGCCAGGAAGAGAAACATGAGGCAAGTGCCTGTCAATCAAGGAAAATGAGCCAGGTGAGTCTCAATCATTTCAGGAGGTTTATTTGCCAAAATTAAGGACATATGCCTGGGAGGCAGGTCTATGCTTTTCTCTGAAGATGATTTTGAGGGCTTCAATATTTAAAGGGAAAAGGGCAGGCTATTGAGAAATACAATTTTCTTTCTCTTCTTTTTTTTTTTTTTTGGGAGATGGAGTTTTACTCTGTTGCCCAGGCTGGAGTGCAGTGGTGCAATCTCAGCTCACCACAACCCCCATCTCCTGGGTTCAAGTGATTCTCCTGCCTCACCCTCCCTAGTAGCTGGGACTACAGGTGTACATCATCATGCTCAGCTAATTTTTTTGTAGTCATAGTGGAGACGGGGTTTTACCATGTTAGCCAAGCTGGTCTGGAACTCCTGACCTCAAGTGATCCACCTGCCTCGGCCTCCCAAAGTGCTGGGATTACAGGTGTAAGCCACTGTGCCCAGCCAGAAATACACAGTTTTCATGTGAGAGGGAGGTAGGGGAAAATAGTCATTCATGCCTTTGTCTGGCTTGGTGAATCTGCATTGTTACCTAAGATAACGTAGACAATGGGGCAGAGGAAGCAATCAGCTATGCACTTGCCTCAGGTGGGCAGAGGGATGTCTCAGTCAGTGCAGTGTCTCCCCGACACCTGTGAAGGTAAGCTATCAATTGACATTGCCATGGTGAAATTTAACAGAAACCCTTTAGGGTAAAGATCTTGGGGCCCACAAGAAATTTCACTCAAAAAAATGAGTGAAGGGGGCCCTTGGCTGGTGGCCCTGGCAGTGAGGACTGAAGCCAGACAACCCCACACACACCAATCCAACGCCCAGTCAGGAAGAGAAACACAGCGAGCTCCTGCCAATTGAGGAAAATGAAATCATTTCAGGAGGTTTATCTGCAAAAGTTAAGGACACGTGCTTGGGAGGCAAGTTGATGCCTTTCTCTGATGATTTTGAGGGCTTCAGTATTTAAAGGGGAATTTCCTTGTGGGCGCAATGTGAGGGAGGTGTGTGGCCTTGTCTTGTAGCTGTCTCACTTAGGAACAAAAATGGGAGCGCATGGTCCAGTTCCCAGCTTGACTTTTCCCTTTGGCTTAGCGAGTTTGGGGTTCCCAAGATTTATCTGCCTGTCATACTCTGTCCCCTGCCTGTCATACTCTGTCCCCTGCCTGTCATACTCCTCTGTCCCCTGCCTGTCATACTCCTCTGTCCCCTGCCTGTCATACTCCTCTGTCCCCTGCCTGTCATACTCCTCTGTCCCCTGCCTGTCATACTCTGTCCCCACTGCTCTCGCCACTTCCTGAGGGCCTGATGTTTCTGCTGCACCGTGGACAGCATGGTGCATCCACCCCAAAAAGCTGGCTGTGCTCCTGGAAAGTGAGGGTCCTTCTCTATCTTCTTTGCACAAGGTCCTCAGGTGTGATGTCGGGGCAGCTGGAAGCTGTTTCTCCACATCCCTCAAGCCTCCTGCAATGCCCAGCAGAGCCCTAGTGCTGCAGTTTGAGGCTCAAGGGGCCACATCCCCAACTCCCTTCAGGTCACCACGTCACCAACAGATGTCCCAGTCTTGGTGTTGCAGAACTTAGCTCCTTCATTCAGCTAAAACCAGGCTTTTGTCACACGACCAGGAAAAATTAGGCACGCAGACACACTGAAGCAGGAGGGGAACGGAATTTACTGGGCAAAAATGAAAAATAAAAAACTCCCAGCAAAGTGAGAGGGAGCCGCGCTAACAGGCCCCCCACCTCATAGATTGATTCCGGGCCACACATCCAGGGACTAAAGAGGCCAGGCTTACCTCCCCCATGCAAACAGCGAGAACCTCCAGTGGCTCCACCCGGTCCAACCAGTGCGCAGGTTGGAGATTCTCTGGGGACCTCCCGCTTATCTGCCTCCTGCATCTGTCATGGAGCCCTTGAACTCGGAGACCCCAGAGAAGCACAGCTCCGGTGGGAGCTGGACCCACTGAGACCTTGGTCTAGTGTTCTTCAAACTGTTCCTCAGAGTAGTGATAAGGCTTCAGGTGTTAAAAACCTTAGACAAATTAAATGTAACCGTTTAATTGGGCAAAGACCAATTTGCAAATCGGGCAGCTTCCCAAGCCAGAGTAAGCTCAGACTCCAGGGCAGCCACGTGGTGGACGATTTATGGACAGAAGAAGGAAAAGTGATATGTAGAAAATGGAAGTGAAGCACAGACCAGCAGGATTGGTTACAGCTCCATGTTGGACTTGAACGTGGTTTGAACAGTCGGCCATCTTTGATTGGCCAAAACCCTGTGACTGGCACAAGAGTAGGTTACAGTCTGTTTATGACTCTATTTAGGTTATAGCTCACTACATACAGAGAAACCTTTAGACCAAACTTAAAATATGTAAGAAGGCAGCTTTAGGATAAACTTGATTTAGCAGGACAGGTGCAGTGGCTCATGCCTGTAACCCCAGCACTTTGGGAGGCTGAGGTGGGTGGATCACTTGGGGTCAAGAGTTTGAGACCAGCCTGGCCAACATAGTGAAACCCTGTCTCTACTAAAAATACAAAGATTAGCCAGATGTGGTGGCACATGCCTGCAATCCCAGCTACTCTGGAGGCTGAGGCAGGAGAATCGCTTGAACCTGGGGGTTGCAGTGAGCAGAGATCACATCATTGCACTCCAGCCTGGGTGACAGAGGGAGATTCCATCACACAAAACACACACACGCACACGCACACACACAAACATAAACAACAAACAAAAAACAACCAAACACAAACTGAAAGGAAAGAAGGCTTCCACGGCCAAGCAAGTTTGGGGATCACTGGGTAAGGTGAGGTTAGATGAGTCTTTGCAACAGGGCTTCCCAGAGCTGCTGTCCCTTCAGTGATGTTTATCAAAGGCTGGCTGTGGGCCAGACACAGTGTCAGATTCCAGAGTGATGGTGCTGATCAGAAGGGGTGGCCCTAGGTGTGAGAGGCGGCAGTGAGGTAACCCATGAGTGCTTAGGTGATTGGCTCACTGCAGCTGGAATGGGTGCCACACAGGAACACAAGGAGCTATGATAAAAAGAGCCTACTGGGGAGATTGACGGGAGACAGTAAGGAATGATACTGAAGCTGGGCTCTCAGGGCTGAGTAGGAGCTGGTAGGGGTGTGTGTACATGCATGCATGGGTGTGCGTGCATATGTCTGCATATGTATACGTGTGTGTGTGCGCGTGCATAGGATTCTTGGCCAGGCAGGAGGACCCTATGGTTGGCAGATGTCTTGGAGGACCTGAAAGAGACCAATGTGACTATAGCACGAGCCAGGATTGGACCCCAGGAGAGTGGGCAAGGCAGGGATCAAATCTTACAGGGCCCATGGAGGGCATTTGAATTGTATCCTAGGAGCAATAGTTCATGGGTTTTAAGCAAGGCATTGAGAGTTGTCTTTTTCTGTTTTTTTAATTAAAATGTTTTATATTCTGAGACCGAGTCTGTGTTGCCCAGACTGGAGTGCAGTGGCACAATCTCAGCTCACTGCAACCTCCACCTCCTGGGTTCAAGCCATTCTCCTGCCTCAGCCTCCCCAGTAGCTGGGACTACAGGCGCCTGCCACCATGCCTGGCTAATTTTTGTATTTTTGTTTAGTAGAGATGGGGTTTTGCCATGTTGGCCAGACTGGTCTGGAACTCCTGGCCTCAAGTGATCCGCCTGCCTTGGCCTCCCAAAGTGTTGGAATTACAGGTGTGAGACATGGCACCTGGCCTGAGAGTTGTCTTTTTAAAGATGCTGGAGAATGGGCTATATGGGGACAAAAGAAGTTGTTAAGAAAGGAATGAGGGTATCCATAGGCCTGGGGAGGGTGAGAGTGGCTTAGACCAGGAGGATTAGCTGTGGAAAGAGGTGGACAGAGCTCAGAGAGATTGAGGAGGTAAGACTGAATGGTACCACAGTGAGGGCGAGGGTCCTCTGGGTGCCTGAGCAGCTGTGGGTCACTCACGGAGCCAGGGAACCTGAAAGACGACCAGGAGTGTGGGGATGGCAGGGTGGGGGGGGGGCATGGGCAGAGGTCGGTTTTGTACATGTTGAGTTTTGAGGGTCCCATGAGGCTTCCAAGGAGTTTCTTTGAGCTCAGGATGAATCTAGGCGAGTGTGGTGGAGATTGGCTGTGGACAATCCTTCCATGGACTCTCTTGGTCCATTTAGTAACACAACTCTCCAAGTCTAGGGTGGACAGCTGGATGCCAGCCTGTGTTAGTCCATTTTGCATTGCTATAAAGGAATACCTAAGACTGGGTAATTTATAAAGGAAAGAGGTCTATTATTTGGCTCACAGTTCTGCAGGCTTGCACAAGCATGGCACTGGCATCTGCTCAACTTCTGGGAGGCTTCAGGAAGCTTCCAATCATGATGGGAGATGAAGGGGGAGCTGGAGTATCACATGGTAAGAACATGGCAAGAGAAGGAGTGAGAGAGTAAGGAAGGAGTTTCAGGATTTTATTTTATCTTTTATTTTTTTTAATTTTTTTGAGACGGAGTCTCACTCTGTCACCCAGGCTGGAGTGCAGTGGCGTGATCTTGACTCACTGCAACCTCTGCCTCCTGGGTTCCAGCAATTCTCATGACTTACCCTCCCTAGTAGCTAGGACTACAGCCATGAGCCACCATGCCTGGCTAATTTTTGTATTTTTAGTAGTGATGGGGTTTCACTGTGTTGGCTAGGCTGGTCTTGAACTCCTGGCCTCAAGCAATCCACCCATCTCGACCTCCCAACATGCTGGGATTACAGGCATGAGCCACCACGCCCAGCCAGAGTTCCAAGTTCTTTTAAACAACTGGATCTCACATGAACTCACAGAGCAAGAAGGCACTCATTACTGCATGGAGGGTACCAAACCATTCATGAGGAATCTGCCCCCATGACCCAATACCTTGCACTAGGCCCCACCTCCAACATGGGGGATCACATTTCAACATGAAATTTCGAGGAGACAAGCATCCAAACCACATCACAGCCAAAGACTACATTTCCCAGCCTCCTGTGCAGTGAGATGTGACCATGTGACCTGGCGTGACCAATATGGGGTGAGCCAACGAGCTATGAGCAGCCTCTGGGTTAAGGCATTCAGGTTACATCTCTTCCCTCCAGTTCAGTTCTTCTGGCTTCCCAGGGTTGGTGCAGTGGGCAGGGAGGAAGCCACATGGGAGTGGTGGTGTGGAGAGAAAGAATGGGAAAGTAGAAATATATGTTCCAGGCCATTCTCTTTTTGAGACAGCGTCTCACCCAGGCTGGAGTGCAATGGTGTGATCTCGGCTCACTGTAATCTCTGTTTCCCAGATTCAGGTGATTCTCCTGCCTCAGCCTCCCGAGTA
Source organism: Homo sapiens (assembly GCF_000001405.40). Taxonomy (NCBI): domain Eukaryota; kingdom Metazoa; phylum Chordata; class Mammalia; order Primates; family Hominidae; genus Homo; species Homo sapiens. Next base: position 78,583,024 of record NC_000017.11, on the reverse strand, counting down.
GCTGGGACTACAGGTGCGTGCCACCATGCCCGGCTAATTTTTTGTATTTTTAGTAGAGACAGGGCTTCACCATATTGGCCAGGCTGGTCTCGAACTCCTGACCTTGTGATCCACTTGCCTTGGCCTCCCAAAGTGCTGGGATTACAAGTGTGAGCCACCCTGCCTGGCCAGGCCATTCTTTAGAGAAATGTGGCAGTGAAGAGGCGTAGAGATGGAGAGGGCGAAGAGCTTGAACAGGATTGCTTTTTCCAAGATGGTAGTGACTTGAGCTGTTTGAAAGATGATAGAAGAGGTTGGAGACAGATGAGGAAAGGATTGGACTGCTCATGCTGTATATCATATACGCGTATCAGTGCCCTCCAGGGAAGCAGAACCAATAGGCAAGATAGAGGGACAGCAGTTTCATGAGGATTGGCTCACGTGATTATGAAGGCTGAGAAGTCCCACTCTGCTGTCTGCAAACTGGAGAACCAGGAAAGCCCACAGTGTAGTTTAGTCCAAGTCTGAAGGCCTGGGAAGCAGGGGCGCTGATGGTGTCAACAGCAGCCCAAGGGCAAGAGAAGATGAGATGTCTCAGCCCAGACACAAAGGCAGGAGCAGATGGGTGAATTTCTCTTTCTGCTTTTGGTTCTATTCAAGACCTTGAAGAATTAGGGGATGCCTGCCCACTGGGGAGGGCAATCTACCAAGTTCACTATCAAATGCCAGGCTCATCCAGAAACCCCCTCACAGACACACCCAGAATTAATGCTTAATCTGGGCACCATGGCTGTTCCAGCTGATGGGTAAAATGAACTATGTGCTGGCACAGACTGGGAGGTTTAAAGAGCGGAGATTCATGTTCTCACAGTTCTTGAGGCTGGAAGTCGGAGATCAGGGACCAGCATGGTTGGGTTCTGGTGAGGACCCTCACCTGGGTTATAGACTCTGACTTCTTGCTGTGTCCTCGCAGGGTGGAGAGAGAAAGAGATCTCTCTTTTGTTGTTATTATTTTTTGAGATGGAGTCTGGCTCTGTGGCCCAAGCTGTAGTGCAATGGCATGATCTCAGCTCACTGCAACCTCTGCCTGCAGGGTTCAAGCGACTCTTCTGCCTCAGCCTCTCTAGTAGCTGGGATTACAGGCACCTGCCACCATGCCCAGCTATTTTTTTTTTTTTTTTTTGTATTTTTAGTAGAGACGAGGTTTTACCATGTTGGTCAGGCTGGTCTTGAACTCCTGACCTCAGGTAATCCACCCACCTGGGCCTCCCACACTGCTGGGATTACAGGCGTGAGCCACCATTCCCAGCTGCTCTTTCTCTTCTTAAAATCCCACTGAATTATAGCCCCTCTCTAATGACCTCATTTGACTTTACCTCCTAAGGACCCCATCTCAGATACAGCCATGTTGGGGGTTAAAGCTTCAGCATATGAATGCTACCCTATTTGGAAAAAGGGCCTTTGCAGATGTGATTAAGAATCTGGAGATGATGATGTAATCCTGGATTACGTGGGGAGAACCTAAATGCCCTCCCAGGGGTCCTTGTAAGAGAGAGACAAAGGGAGATTGCTCCCAACACACACAGAGCTGGCTGTGTGAGGACAGAGGCAATGATGGGAGGGATGCAGCCACAGGCCAGGAATGCCGAGGACTGCTTGATGGCGGCCACCAAAGGCTGGAAAAGGCCAAGAAGTCTCCCAGAGCTGCGGAGGGAGCACAGCTCTGCCCGACACCTTGATTCAGACCTCAGCCCCCGGGAGAGAGAACTTTTTGTTGTCTTAGCCGCCTAAGGTTGTGGTGCTTTGATAGCAGCCACAAGAAACTGCGACAGTATCTAAGCAGAACATGGAGGAGAACCACGTGGGTACTCAAGCCGGAGAGGCTGTGTTGCACACGACAGGAGAGCTGAGGAGCCCAGCGGGACTGGGAGGTGACCCAGAGATCAGCAGCAGGAAGCTGCTACCTCCCCAGGGGGAAGGAGGTGACATCCCAGGGTCGAGGGCAGGGCCACAGGCAGAAGCTGAAGAAGGATGGAGCTCCTGTGCCTTCCAGGAGGCTCATGAAGTGTAGAACCTGCCACCCGGTGATCGCTCAGAAAACGGTAGCCAGGACTCTTCTTAGGCCAATGTGGGCATGAGCTGGCCAGCTCTCCTTTGCAATAAGCACCATGTGTTTCTGGAACCAGGAATGCCCTTCTTGCCCCTAACGCCCCATGGCTCAGGGATACTCATCCTCAGAACTGTGGCCGAGGAAGCTGACGTCTCCAGAGGGGCCTGGTTACTAGCTCAAGTGGCAGACAGCTGGAATTTGTGGGGGCTTGCTGAGTACCCCTGTGTCTGGGAGCTCTGGGGTGATATGCAGAACTGAAGTGACGGTTTAGTGGCACTGATTTTGCTCCTGGATGTTGGTGTGGGACAGTGCCAACTTCTGTGGTGGACACACCCTAAGATTGTACAAAGTCTGTTCCGTTCATTGCCCTTCCCTGGTAGCTTCTGGAGAGCCCGAGGGTGGCCTTCCTATCCTCACATGGCAGGGATGCTGCCGGGCACCCTGCTGCCAATGTGGCTGCCCTCAGCCCACCGGGGACAGGACCCTGCCACCCCTCCCATGTCCCTCTGAGCCGGGACAGAGGTCTTCCTTCACCTCTACTTTTAGTTTATTATGAAGAATGCTGCTGCGAATATGTGTGTGTTTTGATTTCTCCCTGGTGCACCCCTAGGAGGGGGTAGCTAATTGGTAGCCCCATGTTTAACCTTTTGGGGAACTGTCACTTTTCCAAAGTGGCTGCAATGTTTATACCATATCAGCCGTGGATGAGGGTGCCAATTCCTTCACATCCTTGCCCGTGCCTGGTGTTTTGTTTTGTTTTTTTCTGTCTTCTCAATTTTATCCATTCTAGTGGGAATGAATTGGGGTTTTTTTGTGTGGGAAAATACACAGAGCATAACATTTACCATTTTAGCCATTTTAAGTGTACAGTTCCGTGGCACTGAGTACACTTACATCGTTGTAAAAACACCACCACCATCCATCTCTAGAACTTCTTCACTATCCCAAATTGAAACTCTGACCCTGTTACCAGAAAGGGGTCCAGATCCAGACCCCAAGAGAGGGTTCTTGGATCTCGTGCAAGAAGAAATTCAGGGTGAGTCCATAGAGTAAAGTGAAACAAGTTTATTAAGAAAGTAAAGGAATGAAAGAATGGCAACTCCATAGGCAGAGCAGCCTGAGGGCTGCTGGTTGCCCATTTTTATGGTTATTTCTTGAGGATATGCTAAACAAGGGGTGGATTATTCATGCCTCCCCTTTTTAGACCATCTAGGGTAACTTCCTGACATTGCCATGGCATTTGCAAACTGTTACGGTGCTGGTGGGAGTGTAGCAGTGAGGACCACCAGAGGTCATCTTGGTTTTGGTGGGCTTTGGCCAGCTTCTTTACCGCAACCTGTTTTATCAGCAAGCTCTTTATGACTTGTGCTGAACCCCCGTCTCACCCTGTGACTAAGAATGCCTTCACCTCCTGGGAATGCAGTAGGGCCTTATTTTACCCAGACCCCATTCAAAATGGAGTGGCTCTGGTTCAAATGCCTCTGACGGCCCCATTAAAAAATAAATTCCTATTCTCCCTCCCTAGCCCTTGGCAACCTCCATTCTACTTAATGAATTTGACTACTCTAGGGACCTCATTGAAGTTCATTTTACTTTGATTTGCATTTTCCTAATGGCTAATGATATCAAGCTGCTTTCCATGTGCATACTGGTCATTTGTGTATCTTTCTTGAAGAAATATCTATATCCTTTACTCCTTAAAATTAGGTTGTTTTATTGTATTACGACAAGTCCCTTGTCAGATATATGATTTGCAAATATTTTCTCCCATTCTATGGGTCATCTTTTCCCTTTTTTAGGGTGCCTTTTGAAGCATAAAAGTTTTTGGTTTTGATGAAGTTAAACTTATCTTTTTTCCTTTGCTCACTTATGCTTTTGGCATCATATGTAAGACATCATTGCCTCATCTGAGGTCAGATCAACTCCTGTGTGCTCTTCTAAGAGTTTTATAGTTTTAGCTCTTACATTTGGCTCTTGCATTCTGTTAATCTATGCTGAGTTAATTCGTGTAGATGGCGTGAGGTAAGGGCCCAGCTTCGTTTTTCCGCATGTGGGTATTCAGTTATTCCAATACCATTTGTTGAAAAGGTGATTCTTTTCCCATTGAGTTGTCTTGGCACCTTTGCTAACTCAATCGTCCATAAATGGATGCATTTATTTCTGGAACCTCAATTCTATTCTAGTGATCTCTGTCTATTGTTATGCTGGTAGCACTGTCTTGATAACTGTAGCTTTGTAGTGAGTTTTGAAATCAGGAAGTGTGTGTCTTCAGACTTTGTTCTTTTTCAAAGTTGTTTGGATGGTTTTTGTTCCCTCATACTTCCCTATAAAATCTAGGGTCATTTCTACAAAAAAGGCAGCTGAGAGTTTGATAAGGATTGTGTTGAATCTGCAGATCAACTTGAGGAGAACTGTCGTCATCTTAACAATCTTCTTTTTTTTTTTTTTTTGAGACGGAGTCTCACTCTGTCTCCCAGGCTGGAGGGCAATGGCGGGATCTCGGCTCACTGCAAGCTCCGCCTCCCAGGTACATGCCATTCTCCTGCCTCAGCCTCCTGAGTAGCTGGAACTACAGGCACCCACCACCACGCCCGGCTAATTTTTTTGTATTTTTAGTAGAGATGGGGTTTCACCGTGTTAGCCAGGATGGTCTCGATCTCCTGACCTCGTGATCCACCCGCCTTGGCCTCCCAAAGTGCTGGGATTACAGGCGTGAGCCATCACGCCTGGCCCGTCTTAACAATCTTCTAACCCATGAACACAGCATGTCCTTCCATTGATTTAGGTTGTCTTTATTTCCATGATGTTTTGCAGTTTTCAGTGTACAAGTCTTAACACTTCTTTTTAAAGTTTATTCCTAAGTATTTTGTTGTTTTTGACGCTATTGTAAACGAAATTATTTTGATGCTGTTGTAAATGGGAGTTGTTTTCTAAATTTCATGATCAGATTGTTCATTATGGGGACAATTGTTTTCTAAATTTCATCATCAGATTGTTCATAATATAATTACAGAGAAATATAATTAATTTTCAAATATCTTGTATACTGCAAACTTGCTGAATTCCTCTATTAGCTCTACAATTTTATGGATTTCTTGGGATTTTCTACATACAAGATCACCTTATTGTAAACAGAGATAATGTCTTCCTTTCCACTTTGGGAGGATTGCTTGAGGCCAGGAGTTTGAGACCAGCCTGGGCAACAGAGTGAGACCTCATCTCTACAAAAAGTACAAAAATTAGCCAGGTGTGGTGATGTGCGTCTGTTGTCCTAACTTCTCAGGAGGCTGAGGGGGGGGGATCACGTAAGCCCAGGAGTTTGAGGCTGCAGTGAGTTATGATTGTACCACTGCACTCCAGCCTGGGTAACAGAGCGCGACCCTGTCCCCCCTCCAACCTCCCCTCAAAATGATCATCTAAGAGCCTTTCCACTGTGGGGTGACGGTTGGTTCCTCATTTGCTGCGCTATCATTGGTTACTTGGGTCCCAAGGGGAAGGTTCTAGAAGCCCCAGGTACCGTGAGGAGACTCCCAGAAGTTATGTGGCAGTTGGAGCCCCTCGAGGGAAGGGAGCCATTTTCTTTCCTGGTTTGGGAAAGAGTTGCTCATCAGTTTGCGGGAGAAGCTGTTTGCCTTCAGCTGGTGAGCGGCCTTCAACCATGCTGGGGGAGTCGGAGGCCAAGGTGGAGGGAGCAGGGAGGCCTTCAGAGGATGGAGGTGGGACCTAGGCCCTGGCAGACAGCAGACCCTCCACTTACCCCAGAAGTGGCTCTGCTCGCCACCGGGAGCTGTTCATGGCTCTGGGACCCCGAGGCTGGCTGCCACGTACCAGCCTGACCCCTTCCAGGGCTCCAGACTCTTCCCTGCTCCTGGGAAGGCCTTGCCTCAGCCCCCTGGCTTCTCCTGGAAGCCCCTAGCCCCAGCTTCCTCCTGTGGAGTCCTGAAGGCCTGGGGCATGGGCCACCTCCCAGAGAAGCCGTCTCTGCCCCTCCGGAAGCATGGCCTGGGACAACCCTATTGTTAACTGGGACCTCCTGGCCTTCAGCCCAGGAAACGGCTGGGTGGGAGCCTGAGATGAGACCTCCCGATCGTGCAAGAAACTTGCGGGGTGTAGGGGCCCCTCAGCCCACACATGTTATGGCTTGGGAGGCAGCCCACCCCATGCCGTTCTTGGAAGAAAAGATGACTTTGTGAAAGCCCAAATCCACAAAATCAGTAAACCAGAGGATGTTTCCCTCCAGTCCAGTCGCCTGACCAGCTTGGCGAGACTTCCAATCAGGAACCTTCCAGGACTCGGGCTCCCCTGAGTTCCTGATCCCCCTAGGAAATGACGACGTGACGCGTCCCCGGGTCTCGGAGATCCTGGGTGGAGATTAATTCAGCAGCATGCTGAAAGCCCTGTGGGAACCTGGTGAACGAGTCATCTCCATAAATGCCACGCGGTGCTCCTCCTACTTGCCTGGTGGTGTCCCCTTTTTCTTTCACAGATGTGCCTGAATCGGGTGGCTTTGCTCGTGGACCGCCATGTTTCTGCCATTTGCTGGCCAAATATTCCCCAAGTCCTCTCTCAGAGATGTTTGGAGCCTTGAATAAATCTCAGACCATTTGAATAGCATCCAAATGCTATCCACTACTGCTTCCCATCATATAGTTGTTTTGCCGATATATAGTGGCCAGGGTGAAATAAACCTGTTCCGTGGTATTACGTGTCTTTTGGGGAACTGTAGGCTGTTACAAACTTAAAAGCAATAGCTTGGGTCAAACCAAAAGGCAGAATTTGTGAGTGCTTCCAACGTCATCTGTCCACCCTGATGCTTTTCAGCAGCTGCCAGGTCTGGAGCAGGCCAGCCCCAGCCCACGGACCCCCAGAGCAGCTGAATACCCCAGGGTTCCCCTTGAAATTCAGGAGCTGCATACCTCCCAGATTGTGATGAAAACACAGCATCAGGCGACCCTTTGCATTCAACCCTGCCCTTGCAGAACTCGCCTCCAAGGCCCCCACCTCAGGCCTCTTGCCAGAGCCTGTCTTTATTTGAAACTTTGGTATTTTGTTCATAAATTTGTTTGCATTCATTTTGATGTTTAAAAATATTGACATGCCTTTTCTCTTGATGACTGTTTGGGTGTGTCTTTAAATTCTGTAAGTACCTCACTTGCCTAAACTTTGGGACTTCAGGGTGTTCTTTAAGGGGATCCCTTCCCCCCAATTCTCTAGTTAACCCTACCCCCGAGCATCTGAGCAGCTTGTGAGGGGTCTGTCAGGAATTTGCAGCTCGATTCTTTTAGGGGTGCACGCTGGGGGCTGGAGGGAGAAAGGGTGCAGAGCAGAGTGAAAGTTAAGGTGCACCACGGCTGCGGCTAAGACTGAGCGCTGAGCCTCACGGCCTGCACGTGGGGTCTGCTTCCTTCTTGCGTTTCACACATACTCTGGGGCTGCGACGTCTTTTATTGCTTTCCCAGGACCTTTCAACCTGACCCCCCAGCCTCTTGTTCTGCCTTTTCCTACCCCATCCCCTTCACACTGTCTGGTTGCGGCCATTTCCTTTTCTCTCTTTCTCCAGCATTCATCTCTATCTTTCCCATCCTCTGAACTTTATGGTCACAGGATTGTAAGCACACACCACTTTTGGGCAGCCTCACTCCCGGGGCACCCCCCATGGCGGGGCCGGGGCAGGTGCCAGCACCTGCTAAAGCACCCCCACCCCAACCCAACCACAGCTAAAAACTGCACACTCTCGACCAACTGTTTTGTTCCTGCTCCGGTAGAAACAGAGATTTCCTGCGGTGCCAGGGATGGGTGGGAAATTGGGGAGCCCGGGAGACAGTTCGTACCTGTTTCTTGCACTCTTAACAGATACACAGTGTAAGGAAAGGCCAAGATGACAATGGCCCCGGACGTCAGACTAGAGTATCTGGAGGAAGTTGCCTCCATCGTCCTGAAGTTCAAGCCGGACAAGTGGAGCAAGCTGATAGGCGCCGAGGAGAACGTGGCCCTGTTCACAGAGTTCTTTGAAAAGCCCGACGTCCAGGTGCTGGTGCTGACGCTCAATGCAGCCGGCATGATCATACCCTGCCTGGGCTTCCCCCAGTCCCTCAAGTCCAAAGGGGTTTACTTCATCAAGACAAAGTCCGAGAACATCAACAAGGACAACTACAGGGCCCGGCTCCTTTACGGCGACATCAGCCCCACACCCGTGGACCAGCTGATCGCGGTGGTGGAGGAGGTGAGTGCGTCCAGGCTGCCATCCGGGGTGTCGAGCACGACCGACTTCTCGGGAGCGGCCTTGAGTCCTGCTGCTCAGCCTGGAGTCCCTGGGCCAGCAGCAGCTGCAGAGCCGGGGAGGGATTGGAAATGCAGGCGCTCGGGCCCCGTCCACCCTGACCTGCTGAGACAGACCTGCTTGCTTTTGGTTTTTAAATTTTTTTTTTTTTTTGAGACAGGGTCTCACTCTGCTTCCCAGGCTGGAGTGCAGTGGTGGGAGCACAGCTCACTGCAGCCTCAACCTCCTAAGCTCAACCAATCCTCCAGCCTCAGCCTCCTGAGTAGCTGGGACCACAGGCATGCACCACCACACCTGGCTAATTTTCGTATTTTTTGGTAAGAGATGAGGTCTCACCAAAAAATAGCCTGTTGCCCAGGCTGGTCTCAAGACTCCTGGGCTCAAGCGATCCTCCTGCCTCAACCTCCCAAACTGTTGGGATTATAGGCGTGAGCCATCATGCCCGGCCACAGACCTGCTGTCTAACAAGACCTCCAGGTGGTGCTCGTGCCCTTGAAGTCTGAGAAGCCCCGAGCATCCCCTTGTTCTCTCTGGACAGCATTGAGACTGCCATGCTGTGCCGGGTACGGTTGCTGCCCATGGCCTGGGAAGGTGGGGACTGAGTACTGGCAGATAGGTTTCTCCAATTTTGAGACTTTGACTTAAGAAAGGGGAAAAAATGGAGTGTCATTTTATGTGTCCCTCTGCTGTCCCCCTTGGCAGGTGCTGTGTAGGTGGGGGGGACACACTTTGGGGATTCGGACCTCCAGAATGGGGGTGCCTTATCCTTCCTGGTCATCACTCTTCTCATCTGCAGTACAGGGGCCTGTGTGCTTCGCTTGTACACCAGACATTTTCTCACAGTCCTGGAGGCTAGAGGTTGAAGTTGAAGGTGTCGGCGGGGTTGGTTTTCCCCAAGGCCTCTCTCCTTGACTTGCAGATGGACATCTTCTCCCTGGGTCCTCATGTGGTCGGCCTTCTGTGCATGTCTAATCTCCCCTCCTCGTAAGGACACCTGTCAGACTAGGGCCCACCCTAGTAATCTGATTTTAATTACTCACCTCTTTTTTTTTTTTTTTGACAGTATTTTTGCTCTGTTGTCCAGTCTGGAGGGCAATGGTGTGATCTCAGCTCACTGCAACCTCCACCTCCCAGGTTCAAATGATTCTCTTGCCTCAGCCTCCCAAATAGCTGGGATTATAGGCAGGTGCCACCATGCCTGGCTAATTTTTATATTTTCAGTAGAGACGAGGTTTCACCATGTTGGCCAGGCTGGTCTCAAACTCTTGACCTCAGGTGATGTACCTGCCTCGGCCTCCCTAAGTCCTAGGATTTACAGGTATGAGCTACCGCCCCCAGCCCTTACTCACCTCTTTAAAGACCCTATCTCCAAATAGTCACATTCTAAGGTGCTGGGAGTTAGGGCTTCAGCAGATGGATTTGGGGGACACAGTTTGACCCATCACAGTCCTCCTAGGCTTTTAGCAAGGAGTGTGTGCTATGGGTGCAAGAGCTTGGGGATGGCTTTGGTACCACCAGGACAGGGCAGCTGGTATAAACTCCATGACCGGCCACACCTCCTTCTGGAAGAAGGATCCAGTTTTCCCAGGGCTCCAGACACCAGGTCTTTGGAATCCCCCTGGGGACCTGGCTCTGTGCGGGACCCAGTTTTCCCAGGGCTCCAGACACCGGGTCTTTGGAACCCCCCGGGGACCTGGCTCTGTGCGGTTGCCGAGCTGGTGAAGGCACAGGGGGCGGAACCACAGAAGTGTTTCCTTTTAGGTCCTCTCTTCTCTGTTAAACCAAAGTGAGAACATGGCTGGATGGCCCCAGGTGGTCTCGGAAGACATCGTGAAGCAGGTCCACAGGCTGAAGAATGAAATGTTTGTGATGAGTGGCAAGATCAAAGGCAAAACCTTGCTGCCTATTCCGGAGCACCTGGGCAGCCTGGATGGCACGCTGGAGTCCATGGAGAGGTGTGTGGGCCCAGCTGCTTCCGGCTGCCGCTGGGTGGGGAAGAGGCACATGCTTGACCCCCACCCCCCACCCCACTCCACCCCACTCCGACCCGTTGTTTCCCTGCAGAGTGGCTTCACATGTTAAAGCCGGGGAAATGCAGGGCAAGGTGGTGCGTTAGGTGGTGCTGAGACTGAGGAAGTTGAAACCAGGGCAGGGAGGGAGCAGGCTCTGCAGCCCCTGGGGCTCTGGCACCTGCACCCCACACCCCCCGCTGGGTCACACATGTGTGCCGATCCAGTCACCACCCAGCAAGCAGAAGGTGTCCCACCTGTCAGCATGGCCAGGAAACAGGAGGCACAGCTTTAAGATGTGGGACAGGGTCAGTGAGTGGGAGTGGGAGGGACTCTCAGCAGGTACATGCAAGTCTGTGTAGAGGCTGCGGTGCCCCCAGAGGCCCTGGGAAGCCCAAGGGACTCCAAGGTGTCCCCTCGCACCTGCCTTGCCACAATTTGCAACCGCCCTGATATGTGAGACCCCCGTGACAATTAGTTCCGTATTTTGCCTCACGTGGGCAAGTCCTCCACTGATCATTCACAAAGCCCCAAGCACCATGTCCGGTGGTGACACCAGGGGAGCCATCTTGAATAGGGTTTAAATAGGGTTTACTTAATTCTCTCCCGCTTCCTTGGAGGTGAGCGCCTCCAGGCCCTGGTATCTCTGACCACGCCCATTATTTCCCTGGGCTCTCTTCCTAGCTGGGAGTCTTGGGAACTTCTTTAGCGTCCCCGAGGTGGCTGGAGGCACCAGGGACATGAGACCAGACGGTGCTGCTGCTGGTGGTTTGGGATTGGTGGGCAGAAGGATTCATGGGAGAGCTTGGTGGGACCCACGTGTGTGTCGCCATGAGAGCAATGCCCCAACCTTCCACTGGGCAGGATCCCCTCTTCACTGGACAACTTGCTCCTGCACGCCATTGAAACCACCATCATCGACTGGTCCCACCAGATCCGGGATGTGCTGAGCAAAGACTCAGCCCAGGCGCTGCTGGATGGGCTGCACCCCCTGCCCCAAGTGGAGTTCGAGTTCTGGGACACTCGGCTGCTGAACCTCAAGTGCATCCATGAACAGGTACGGCCTCCTCTCTCCTGTGGGGCTGCAGCCTCGTCCCAGCTGGGCGACCGGGCCGAGCTCTCCGCCTCCCAGTGCCAACCTCCCAGGAGTCCTGAGGGCTCTGATGACCTGCGTAAATTCTGCAGCTCCAGCCAGCCACAAGGTCAGGTTGGCCTCGCCTTAGGGTCTTCCAGGTCAATGAAAGGTGGATCTTCACTCCCCTTCTCAGCTAAACAGACCCAAAGTGAACAAGATTGTTGAGATCCTAGAGAAAGCCAAAAGCTGCTACTGGCCAGCCCTGCAAAACGTTTACACCAACGTCACTGAAGGTGAGCCTGTGACCCTGTCATGAGTTCTGCACGAAGCTGTTTGTGCCTCCTGGGAGGGCTGGGTCAGACTTGTCACCAACCCTAGGATGTTGGCCTCCCTCTGCGAGCAGCTTTCTCAGCCCCCTCCACTTGAGAAAGGCCCCATTTCCTGAAGGAGCAGGTCTCAGCACATGGAGCCGCACCCTCATCGTTTCTGAGCAATTTCTGCTCTCTTACCGGTGGGCACTTGTTCTTGTTCCGTGCAGGGCTGAAGGAAGCCAACGACATCGTGCTCTATTTGAAGCCCCTACGGATCCTGCTGGAGGAGATGGAACAAGCCGACTTCACGATGGTGCGCAGGCAAGGGAGAGCCGGCTTTGGTGGGGAGGGTCTTGTTTCTTTTCTTTTCTTTTCTTTTTTCTTTTTTTTTTTTTTTTTTTTTTGAGAGGGAGTCTCGCTCTGTCACCAGGCTAGAGTGCTGTGGCGCGATCTCGGCTCACTGCAACCTCCAACTCCCTGGTTCAAGGGATTCTCCTGCCTCTGCCTCCCGAGTAGCTGGGATTACAGGCATGTGCCACCATGCCCAGCTAATTTTTGTATTTTTAGTAGAGATGGGGTTTCATTATGTTGGCCAGGATGGTCTCGATCTCCTGACCTCATGATCCGCCCACCTCGGCCTCCCAAAGTGCTGGGATTACAGGCGTGAGCCACCACGCCCGGCCTGGGTCTTGTTTCTTCAAGGCATGTGGGGCCGTGGGTTTCTTGGCTGCCATCAGATGTGTGGGCCTAGGGAGTTGCCTCTCCCCTCCTCTTTGGGAACCCTCTGCTGGATACCCAGTGAGAGCCATGGGAAGGGAAGGGCTGGGACACCGGGATAAGGTGCAGCGGCCAGTCCCCTCCAGTGTGCCTGGGCCTGTCTCCCCCCAGCTCCCCACCTTCATTGCCAAGGTGCTGGACACCATCTGCTTCATCTGGGCCACCTCTGAGTACTATAACACACCTGCCAGGATCATCGTCATCCTGCAGGAGTTCTGCAACCAAATCATCGAGATGGTAACCCTCCCCTGGCCCCTGGGTCCCCTTCCTCCCCTCCTGGCTGGGTCCCCTCCCCGGTTCACTGTTTTCCTGCTGCCCATGTTCCCCAGCAGTTTGAAAGCAGGCCAAGATGTCAGCACAAGCCTTTTCAGGCCCCGAGCTGAGATGGAGCCCTCTTCAAGGCTACCTAGAGTTCTTCTAGGGGAGGGTACTGAGGGAAAAGAAAGGGAAGACGGGGACAGAGGAGGAGGTCTGCCCTGAGAGTCCCCGTACCCCGAGACCCATCTAGTGCTTTGTGGGCTTCTCTAATCGCACATCAAACCACCTTCCGTCTCCCTTAGCAGAGACTTCTTTTCCTTCTTCCCATTCATAAGCACCTGCTAGCCAGCCATGGCGTTCGAGCTGAAGGGCTGTATCCCTGGGCCACCTCTATATAATAAAACCATGCTGTGGCCCCGTCTGCAGGACCAGAAGGGCACCGGGGTCCCCTGTCCCTGGAGGGCCTCTCATCATCTGCGACCCCCACCCATTTATGCTGCAGCCTTGGCAAAGGATGAGGGGCCGAGGAGGGGAAGCAGCTCGGTCCCCTAAAAACGGCCCAGCAGTGGGCAGATAGGAGGGGTTATTTTCAGATATCCATATGTCAGAACAGATCACAGGTCCTGCAGGCGGCGTGCCTGGACGTCACCCCAAATGGCTTGTCGGAGCTTTAGATGTCTGTCTTCTCTTTTGCCCAGACACGAACCTTCCTGAGCCCGGAAGAGGTGCTGAAGGGCCTGCAAGGTGAAATCGAGGAAGTCCTGAGTGGCATCTCCCTGGCTGTAAATGTGCTGAAGGAGCTCTACCAGACGTACGACTTCTGCTGCGTGAACATGAAGCTTTTCTTTAAGGTACCCCTTCCTCGCAGGGCGAGGGCCAAGGCAGGACGAGTGAGTTCATATGAGCCCCGATATTTGATAAACTTGGGACATTTGAAGCAAACGTGGCCTCATCTCTCTTTCTCTCCTCTAAGGACAAAGAGCCCGTGCCTTGGGAATTCCCTTCTTCTCTTGCCTTTTCCAGGATAAATTCCTTCTTCCAGCGCATCCAGACCATTGAGGTAAAAACAGAACTCGGTGCATCTTGACCTCCACTTCCCAGACTGCTCCTACCCTAGGACACCTGCAGCGTCCATCCCTACCCCCCTTGCCAATAATCCCCCAGGCAGAAAATAAGTGAGGCCCAAATATCTGTTATGAGGAAACCAAGGCTTTGCGGCAGCATCTGCCGTGGCCAGAGCTGTTAGCCAAGAATAAAAATGACCCACTTCGGGTGCTTCTCCCCTTATCTCGTGCATCCTATCATGAGCGGGTTACTGATAAGTTAAACCCCCACGTTCAGGACGCCTGGGGGCCAACAGCAGTCACTTAGTGGGACTCAATTATTACAAATGGAGACTTATGAAGGCCCCCGTGCAAGCACCATGTGGATACACGGAGTGACGCACAGCAGATAAAAACTTAAAAATGGTGCATGGCCCAGCCCAGTGGCTCACACCTGTAATCCCAGAACTCTGGCAGGCCGAGGAGGGAGGATCACTTGAGCTCAGAAGTTTGAGGCTGTGGTGAGTCATGATTGCGCCACTGCAGTCCAGCCTGAGCGACAAAGTGAGACCCTGTTTCAAAAAAAAGCTTCAAGGCGGTTTTCTCTGGGGCTCTGGAGAGAAGAGATGAGAGGGATCAAGACGGGGTAGGGCAAGAAAGTTTTGCCTTTTGTATCTTCTGCATGGTGTAATTTTTAAAAACTTTGTGCACATATAACTGTATAACTCACATCCTTAAAAAAGGGGAAAATCATCCTGGAACTGTAAAGCATTGACTTAAGGGTGGACACCATTGTCAGAGGCTTGGGAGAGGCTTGTCCAGTTCTCTTCTACACCTCCTGGGGGGCAGGGGAGGGAGGCCCGCTCAGGAGTTCAAAATTGCAGTCACAGAGCGCGGACTAATGCCTGAAATCTCCCAGACCGAGAATGTGGAGGAGAGTCACAGTCACACTTTGGGCCAAGGAGCTCTGGTTCCCACATGACTGATTCTGAATCAGAAGGAAGATTCTGGGTAGGAAGGGACTTTGGAGGTGGAGGAAATGGCTTTGCTGTCCACCCCCTGACAACAGGCCATGCCAGCTTGTCTGTGTCCTCCGCGTCGGGTGGAAGAGCCAAGAGCTCCTGGTCCTCGGTGCCTGTCTCCTCGGGGTGGTGTTGGTGCGTGGCCTGATGCTTCGTGGACCTGGGAGAATAGCACCAACCTCAGCACCAGTTCAGGGGAGTGATGTCAAGTCCACAGGAAGATCTCCAGTCTAAACTCTGCCTGCACTGTGCCTGGTAGGTGCAGGGGCACAGAAGAGCATCCAGGGAGCCTTGGAGACCTCATTTGGGAAACAGGAACTGCACACACACAACCAGCTAACGGGATGGGCCTGAACGTGACTAAAGCAAACACAAGCGGCGCAGATGGGAGACCGGGCCCCTGGGAAGGAATGCATTGCTATGGGCCAAAATAGTCAGGGAGCGCTTCAGGGAGAGGGGGCATGAGCCACACCGGCGAGGAAGCAGAATTTTCTACACGTGTGTCCATCCAAGCATTCCAGCCGCTTTCTTCTTGGATCACCTTCGGGACACGGCACTCTGCATAGGATGGTCTTCCAGGTAGCGGGGAATTTAAAGCTTAGCAAGAGCATCAGAAATCTTCAGCACCATTCCAACCGCTTCCCACAGCGGAGAAAACGGAGGTCCCAGCAGAGTGTGATTTATTTAGAGATGCGGTTTGGCCAGTCTGGGGTCAGGACAGGATCCCAAACTTTATCCTCTCCAGCTCCTCCTCATTCACACCTCATAGATAATTCACAGAGCCCTTCCTTCCATCCCCTCTTTCTGCAGGGGATGGAATATTTGCTTAAAGAACAGCACAGACACAGAGGGTGTCCTCCCACCCCCATGGTTGGTGTCTCCTGGGGACATTTTGCTCCCCAGCTCCTCCTGCCTGGGGTCAGAGCTAGTTTTGTAACTGGACCCGTGAGTTGGGTTGTGAAGATGAATTGACTGTGTTTTTCTCCTCCACTAGGAACTCTATAAAACAGCAATTGAGTTTCTGAAGCTGGAGAAAATCGAGCTTGGGGGCGTGCGTGGGAACCTCCTCGGGAGCCTGGTGACCCGTATCTATGATGAGGTCTTTGAGCTGGTGAAGGTTTTTGCCGACTGCAAATATGATCCCTTGGACCCTGGAGACTCGGTAGGTCCTCGGGCAGGGTTGGATGAACTGGACTCGGTGAGAACAGCACCAGCCTCGGTACCAGCTTAGGGGTGTGATGGGAGGGCACACGGAGGAAGCAGGTGCCAGGTGATCCCAACACTTTGAAAACTGTGTAGAGCGGTCCCCGCAACAGCACATTCAGCTGCGCCTCAGTCCCGAGTCCTCTCAGCAGGGCAGGGGCTGGAGAGGGTGCCCTTGGCTTGCTTTGCACGCTGATTACAAGGTTGACATTTCCATTTGCTTTTAGAATTTTGACCGTGATTATGCTGATTTTGAGATCAAAATCCAAGACCTGGATAGGAGGCTGGCCACGATCTTTTGCCAAGGATTTGATGACTGCAGCTGTATCAAGTCCTCCGCAAAGGTAAGCATGCAGTGGAGACGCAGGCAGATCTGGAGCCTGGCACTGTGGTGGTGGATTCATGTCGAGAACGATCTTGGAGACCATTTCATCCTCTCCATGTAGAGCTGATGTCCAGGGAGGGAGGGCCCGTCTCCTGTGCCTCAGAGTCAGTCAGCCGTGAACACCCAGTGTAGCTCCTGATGGTTCTTACTGCCACATCCTAGAGGAAGAGGAGCAAGTGAGTGTGAGATGGCATTATTTTACTGATACTTCTTATGCTCACTAAGAAACAAGGGGACCATTTATTCTTGATTCAGTTTTCCCACTACTCAAAAGGAGTGAAAGTTAAAGAGGTAAAGTTGGTGTAAAAATAAAATTAATGCAGATTTTGGCCCACTGAGCTGAATTTATAGAGTGCCTTCGTCCATGCAGGCTACTATAACAAACTGCTGTAGACCGGGTGGCTTAAACAACAAACATTTCACTTCTCTCAGTTCTGGAGGCTGGGAGGTCCAGCAGACTCGGTGTCTGGTGAGGGTCTACTTCCGTTCCTAGAAGGCCATCTTTTCATTTGGTCCTTACATGGCAGAAGGGGCAAGGGAGGTCTCTGGGGTCTCTATTTTTAGTTTTAAGGGGTTTGTTTGTTTTTTGTTTTGTTTTGTTTTTGTTGTTTGTTTGTTTTTTGAGATGGAGTCTTGTTCTTGTTGCCCAGGCTGGAGTGTAGTGGCACAATCCCAGCACACTGCAACCTCCGCCTCCCGGGTTCAAACGATTCTCCTGCCTCAGCCTCCCTAGTAGCTGGAATTATAGGCATACGCCACCACACCTGGCTAATTTTTCTATTTTTGCTAGAGATGGGGTTTTGCCATGTTGGGCTGGTCTCGAACTCCTGACCTCAGGTGATCCGCCCACCTCAGCCTCCCAAAGTGCTGGGATTACAGGCGTGAGCTACCACGCCTGGCCTACTTTTTGTTTCTGTAGAGACAAGGTTTTGCTATGTTTCCCAGGCCCATGAGTTCTGGGCTTGACTGCTTCCAGGGCCCCTGATCTGAACAGTTTAGCCGGACCAGCTCCCATGACTGTGAAGGCAATTGGGTTGGCCTGGGCAGCCTGGGCTGGTGGTCATCTTTCAGGAGGATTTCAAGGCTGAGATTGCTAAGGACAAAGATCTCTCCCCGACAAACGTCAGGATGTTCCTTTGCCCTTTTGAATGCTCTTGCAAAAATGCAAATACATGAGAGTTTGAAGCTCCGCAAATTAAGGATCAAGTAAGTCTTGGATCGAGTTGGTGTTCCAGGCAAAATATCAATGAATGCAAATTAATACAGCACCTCCTTGCTGTGGTTGAAAAAATTATTCAGTTATACTTGCTAAAGCAAGATGAGGCTGACTTGATTCAGACCTTACTCACGATTTATACCATCTCAATAGATACAGGTGTAGGGAGAGCGATGGGAGCTCAGCTTTGAATACACTGCAGGTAAGTAGGAATTTCTAGCAAAGGAGCAGGGTGGGAGTCCATGGATAGAAAATTACTTAGAGGGGACATCAGGGGTTGGGGGATTCTAGCTAAACCAACTTCAAGATTCTAGCTGGAAGCAGGTTAGGGTAATCAGACATCCCCTGCGGGATGGTGGAGGATGGAGACCCTGATGAGAATCTTTGGCTAAGCAAAGAATCTGGCAACATTCCCTTTCTCAGAAGGCTCTTCCCCAGGTAGCTGCATCTAGTTGCAGGGTCCTCACTTCCTTCCTTCCACTCAAATGCCCCCAGGCTGGTCCCTTCTCAGCAATGGCCTTCCCTCATATTCATTTGTATACTAATGTCTGTGTGTTCGTTGTCTTCCTGACTAGAAGGTAAACTCCCTGAGGTCAGGCACTGGATTTGAGTTCCCTTAGAACTGAGCCTAGCACAGGGCAGGCGCTTCTGAGTATTTCCTGCAGTGCACAACTGGCTCTTGACAAGGGAGGCTGGTTGTTCTGAATGTTGTTGGGAGGTAGTTTCGCTCTAGCATAAGCCTTCCACGTGGAGCCCCTGAAGGATAACACAAAAGCGTCAGGACTGCCCCAGCGCAGAAGGGTCCCAATGGAGCCAATTCTTTCATTTGGAAACCTCACTTTTGGGTCTCCAAAATTAAAGATGGGGCACAGGCTTATGGGCTGGGCGGGCGGGCAGCTGGCTTCTGTGGCTCCTGCACCCCTAACACTGGCTCCACGGGGAGGTGCTGTGACTCCCTGCTGCTGTTCCGATGTGGAAAAATCTGAAAAATTAAGTAACTTGGTCACCCGGCCAGGGCCAGATGAGTCCCCAGAGTCTTGCTGTCCCCAACATGGAGATTGTGCCACCTGCATCTAGTTTGGCACAAGGGGAAGAGCAGATAAGGACCAGCGTACGGGTCTGGGCTGAACCTCCCCCAGGGTTCACTAGGGGATCCGGCAGTGGGGAGGGAGCTGGGTTGGCGAGTTCAACTTTGTGACCCCTCGGGAGCCCTAGGCCCCTACCCTGTGAGGAGCAGGAGGTCCTGGAAGAAACCCAACCCGACCTCTGCAGAATGGAGCTAGCGAGGAACAAATGCAGTCACCCCGCCCCAGGCTTTCCCCTGCATCCCTGGCACCTGTTAGGGTCAAGAGGGGCTTTTGGGCTCTAAAAGAAAGATCTCTTTTTAAAAATTTTCACGTATGTTTATGCTCAATTTAAAACAAAGAAAAGCGGAGGGGAGGGAGGCAGGGGGAGAAATAACTCTTGTAACCCATTTCCATCGCCATCTGTTCACGTTTCTCTTTGACCTAAGAACATTTTCCCCCTGGTTTGACAGCCCTGTGCTCTAAATAGGATAGGGCCCTGGGGTTTCTCTCCCTTGTTGTCCCTTCCAGCCCCTGCCTGTTCCGGAGTTAGTTCTCATTATCAGCAACTCGCACACAGCCAGGAACGTTCTAGAGCAATTTTCCACATGATCTCCTTTTGGCGGAAAATAGAATTCGCTTCCTTTCCAAAAGTCATTAAACTAAAAACTATATAAACATGAAAAGGAGGAGAGAGAAATGGGAAGACAGAGAAAAATAAAAATGCCTCCCGCCTCGGCCCCTCAAAGTGTTGGGATTACAGGTGTGTCGGTTGTCTGGATGATGGGTCTTCAGGTTTTTGGGGTTTTTTTCTATTTTTCTGACTTCCAAGTAAAACATCTACCCGCATTACAGGATAGTCATAAACCATTAAGAGGAACATTTTTTTTTTCCAACTGCCCCATGTCAATGCTTTGAACAAATGAAACTGGTGACCTCATACGTCAGCAGGCGACCGTGGAGGAAGGCGGTAGCTGGCAGGACACCAGCGTTTCCATGTCTGCCTGAGAGTCCACGGCTGCTCCATTTGTACAACTCACAATACAAATAGGTCCAAGGGTGACAATTTTTTTCTAAGCCCAGGAGAAATCAGAATTTGGGTAAGGAAGATTTGAACAATTTTGAAAAACACAATTAACTTAAAAATAGCCGCAATCTTGCATTTGGGAAATCTGTACTCTTGGGGGCCTGAAAAATCTCCCTCTCTTCGCAGTCATGTTTTGGTTTTTCCTCCTGTGGCCATTTCTAGGGACAGTGGTCACCTTTCTCAGACCCAAGTCTGGGGAAAGTCTGAGACTCAGGCTCACCGCAGCTGGTCTGGCCCCCATTGGGCGTGGGTTATGGCAGCCCCGGGAAACTCTCTTGGATTTCCCACTCACACCCAGCACTGGGGGACCCTGTTTCGTGTGAGGTTGTCTTCCCTCTCTCTGGTCCCCCTCCCACTTGGTCTGACCCCCAGAGCTTTCTCAGAGCGAAACACATTTCCTGATGGTGGTTTTCTTGCCTCAGCTGCCCTTGAGAGTGGCAGTGCTCTTCCTAAGAGGAACGCTTCCTGTGGATAAAATATTTCTTCATTTATCTGTATCAGAGTAGAAGCCCAGGTATATAAATGCAACGTTATGGCTATTTTAAAATTGTTTACTTGGAGTTGTTTTGGGTTTGTTTTTTCTGGAGACAGGGTCTTGCTCTGTTGCCCAGGCTGGGGTGCAGTGGTGCAATCTTGGCTCACTGCAGCCTTGACCTCTGGGGCTCAAGTAATCCTCCCATCTCAGCCTCCTGAGTAGCTGGAACTATAAGCGCACACCCAAAAGAATACAAAAACTGGACCCCGCTAGTTTCATGTATTCTTTGTATTTTTTATTTTTATTTTTTGTAGAAACAGGATTTTGCTGTGTTGCCCAGGCTGGTCTCAAACTCCTGGGCTCAAGTGACCCTCCCGCCTCGGCCCCTCAAAGTGTTGGAATAACAGGTGTGAGCCATGGTGCTCAGCCTATTTTTTAATTGTTTAAGTCTTCCTTACCAGAATTCTGATTTTTCCTAGGCTTAGAAAAAACTCTTGTAGCCCTTGGACTTATTTGTACTGTGGGATTATAAGCCAAGTATTTGGGGACTCGGCCTAAGTCAATGAGAAAAGCATAGAGGCTTCCACTGAGCCAGTTGACACACACAAAGGTTCCAGTGGATTGTTTTGTTTTGGCAAGGTACACATTCTCTCACTCCTGAAGATTGGCCCTGCCCGTTTTGTCCACAGCCACAGGCTGGGGAAGGGGAGGAGACTGTGGTGAAGAGGCCCCCTTCTCCTTTGTCCTCAGCTCCTGTACATGTGTGGGGGCCTCATGGAGCGGCCCCTGATTCTTGCCGAGGTGGCGCCCAGGTATTCAGTCATGCTGGAGCTGTTTGACGCTGAGCTAGACAATGCTAAGATCTTGTACGATGCCCAGATGGCGGCCTCCGAGGAGGGGAACATCCCCCTGATCCACAAAAACATGCCTCCCGTGGCCGGGCAGCTCAAATGGAGCCTGGAGCTGCAGGAGAGGCTAGAGGTGTCCATGAAACACCTGAAGCACGTCGAACACCCGTGAGTCACAGCCCTGGGCAGGGGCAGGCACCCCGCCTCCATGGTGCGGGAGAGCGAGAGGGACTGTCCCAACCCCGAGCGGGACCACCCCTCCTGTCGACCAGACTGTTACCTCCCAGAGCAAAAGCCCAGAAGAGACCCCTTCTGGTCCTCCCTCCTCCCCTGATCACCTTCTTGGTGGGAGTGCTCAGGAGAAATCTGGCTGGTCCCCACCCTTGCCCACCAGCCTGGTAGACATGAAGACCACCCAGGCAGGAACAGGAAGAGGCTGTGTATGCAGCTGACTGAGCCACTGTTGCGTGCACTTGGCCAAGTCTCCTGGACAGCCAGGGGCCGGGGAGGCTTCACGGTGGACGCAGGGACGGCTGCAGGGGAGCCCCGGCTTGGCCTGGGGAGGCCGGTGCAGCTGACTAGGAGGGGGGCCTTTTATGTGGTTGTTTGGGGGGCGTATTTGCTTTCATCTAGTTGGCCCCAGGTTGGAAGGGAGAAGGAAAGTTGGAGAGGGGCTGGCTGTCATTCATCCAGGCCTGGCGGTCGGGAGCCAGTTGCTGCGTGGGTTCTATTTTGGCCTCCTGGGCTGGTGGCTGCAGACTGCAGGTCGGAGTTCCATTTGAACATTTGGTCTGGCCACTGCTTGTTTGCATATTCAGTCTGTGAGCCTCGAGTAATTGGGTGGCCGGCCGCTTCGGCACCCCAGATCGGGCAGCAACGATGGGACGTGCCGAAGACACCCCACAGGAGATATCCAGTGGGGCCTCGCCTTCCCGCTCTGATTCCAGGGTCATGTCTGGAGCAGAGGCCAAGCTGACCTATCAGAAGTATGACGAGATGATGGAGCTGCTGAGGTGCCACCGCGAGAAGATCTACCAGCAGTGGGTGGCGGGCGTGGACCAGGACTGCCACTTTAACCTGGGGCAGCCGCTGATTCTGCGGGACGCCGCTAGCAACCTCATCCACGTCAACTTCAGCAAAGCGGTGGGTGCCAGGAGTGGGGACCGCGTCAAAGGCTCCTTGGGAGCGGGGGGAGGGCCTGCCAAGGTTCCCTCAGCACGGATTTATGGAGGTCGATGTTTATATCACAGTTCGCCTAAAGCTTTACTTCTTAAGTGTGTCCAGGGTATATTTAAGACATGAGGGAAAGCAGAAGCAACTTTGACAATAGCTTCAATGAGTATCTTCTTGAAAGCGTTCCTGTGATCCCAAGAAGAAATGACAATTTGAAACTGGGGGGGGGGAAAAAGTCTTTGCCGAATCTAGATAAATGCACTGGCTGGTCAAGGCAGGCACACTGGGGAGAATTCACACTTGTGGGCTCTGGGATGTGGGTTCTATGGCTAAAACCCGGAAAGTTCAGATGAGCAGAGGATGGAACCGAATTCCTACAAGCACAGCCCCAGAGCTGCCCAATCTGCACGTGGCAAGGCAGGGAAACCAGAGATGCGGCTCTTCCTTGGAAATCTTCCCACTCACTAACATTCATTCTTTCGTTCACCAAATACTTACTGAGCACCTACTACATGTATGTGCTTGGGATAAATTAGTGATCCAGACAGTCAGAGAGCTGTCTGTCCTGCCCTCCTAGAGCCTACCTCCAGGCAGGAGGGCGGGGAGGATGATCAGCTAGCATTCACGAGGGAGTCAAGTGTATGATATGGTAGAAGGTGCAACAGGTTCCGCGGAAGGAAGAGCAGGAAGGGCAGGTTAAGAAGATCAATAGAGCCGGTAGAAGGGGCAGGTGCAATTTTAGATGTGAGCAGAGACTTGTGGGAGGTCAGAGTGCCGCTGAGCAGAGATGGAGGGAACAGCTTTGCAGCACGGCATGCGGGTAAAGAAAAGGCCAGGTGGCGCCCGAGAGCCTGGTGCAGTCCAGGAGCAGCAAGGAGGCCAGTGGGGCGGGGGAATGGGCAAAGGGGAAGGTCGTAGGAGAAGAGATGAGAGGTGACGAGGAAGGGCCCCATGGACCACAGAGGGACTTGGAGTTTGGTTTGAGCAAGATGGCAGCCCCTGCAGGGTGTCAGACAGAGGTGTGCTGCGATTAGATTTCTAGTTGTAAAGGACCCTTCTCCACGCTGTGAGGTGCGTAGATTGAACGGAGCTGGGGCTGGAGGAAAGAGCAGGAAAATCAGTTGGGAGCCTGTTGGCACAGTCCAGGCAAGAGATGACAGCTGGGAGGTGGTGGCTGGAACCAGAGTGGCAGCAGTGAAGGTGGTGGTGAGCTTCTGGACTTGAATATAGTGCCATGGAGACTCCTAGTAGGTTGGAAATGGAGCGTGATTGGAAGAGGGGAGTCAGTCCCAATGTTTTAGGGTCAGGTGAGTAGACAGGTAGAATTGCCATTGGCCAAGAGGGCAGGTGGGGCAGAGGCCACAGGGGAGGATGGGCTGCTGTGCTTTAGCCTTGTTGGGTGTGAGATGTCACCTGGACATCCAAAGAGAGGAGCTGAGTAGGCGGGTGGATACAGAAGGCTGGAAGTCACGAGAGAGGCTGGGGTTGGAGACATAAACGTGGGAGCCACCCACACAGAGATGGTACTTGTAGCCACAACACTGGACATCTCATTACCTCATTCAGCGGAGATGACAAATGGGCTGGCTGGTCAAGGCAGCTATAACGTTGGATGACATCACACCTCATTCAACTGAGGGTAAATTGAGAAGGAACAAGGTCTGTGGCTCCCCATCATGGACATCTTGAGATTATCAAAAGAGACTAATAATGGTGACCAGGAATGTCTAGTGTCCTGGAAGCCAGGAGGACACTGTGTGCCCAGAAGGAAAGAGTGCCAGCGGCTGGGCGATCCCATGAGATGAGGCCCGTGATGTGACCAGTGGATTCAGCAATATGGAGGTTATCTCAACTTTGAGAATAGCTTTGTGGACAGAAGCACTGTTGGAAGGGATGTCCCTGTTGTTGATCTCGGGTCATAACCGGGTGAAAGCAGAGAGAAAACAGAAGGTTAGATTCCAGCGAGGAAACAAGTGAAGACCCGAAGTCTTACTCCAAACCACTTGTGGGTAGTAGGTAGGAGAGGACAGAGATAAGAAAATTAGGATGATGTCAGCCACCCATGGTGATGATGATATCATCCACCTACAATGATGACATCATCCACCCATAAGGATAATGTCACCCACCCGTGGTGATGACAATGATGTCATACACATGCAATGATGATGTCATCCACCCATGAGGGTGATGTCATCCACCCATGAGGGTGATGTCATCCACCCATGAGGGTGATGTCATCCACCCATGAGGGTGATGTCAGTGCTTTCCGGCTCAGGATCAGCCAACAGGGTGAAAACGTCCTGGTCCTGCCAACAAATACTGCCTCCCACCAACTTTGAGATCCCCCCCGGCTGTCAAAACATCCCAGGGCAGATGCTCATTTCTGTTGCTTGAACACTGCACTGTTGACCTGACCTGCTGACATGTTCTTTGATCTTCGTTTGTCATTTAGTTGGTGGCAGTTCTGAGAGAAGTCAAGTATTTGAATTTCCAGCAACAGAAAGAGATTCCAGACAGTGCGGAGAGTCTGTTCTCAGAGAACGAAACTTTCCGGAAGTTTGTGGGCAACCTGGAGCTCATCGTTGGCTGGTATAATGAGGTGAGTTGGTGAGTCGGTACTATTCCTGATGCAGCTTTGTATTGTTTTGGTTTTTTGTCAAGTTTGTTTGTGTGTTTCAGAGATGTGGCTCTTCCTGGGAAATCTTCCCATTCACTCAAATTCATTCTTCCATTCACTGCATACTTACTGAGTACCTGCTATGTGTATGTGCTTGGGATAAATTCCTGAGCCAGGGAGTCAGAGATCTCTGTCCTGCCGTCCTGTTCTGTTCCACTTGGAGATCTTACACCAGCATTTGTTGTCACCCAACAACTTCTGGTGTAAGATCTCCAAGCAGAACAGAATTAAATTAGTGTGTATTTTAATATTTAGACATGGTTCAAGCCAGTCTTCATTATTCATGCAAATAGCAGCAAAGATAGTGATGACTCAGAACAGCTGGTGATGAATATCTTATTCCCACTGGGCTTTGGCTTACGTTACTTTTTTTTTTTTTTTTTTTTTTTTTTTGAGACAGTCTCACTCTGTCACCCAGGCTGGAGTGCAGTGGCACAATCTAGGCTCACTGTAACCTCTGCCTCCCAAGTTCAAGCGATTCTCCTGGCTCAGCCTCCTGAGTAGCTGGGACTACAGGCGTGTACCACCAAGCCCAGCTGGTGGTAGTAAAAATACAAATAAT
Source organism: Homo sapiens (assembly GCF_000001405.40). NCBI lineage: Eukaryota > Metazoa > Chordata > Mammalia > Primates > Hominidae > Homo > Homo sapiens. The sequence continues at coordinate 78,557,467 of NC_000017.11, read as the reverse complement.
TTTTGTATTTTTAGTAGAGACACAGTTTCACCACATTGGCCAGGCTGGTCTCGAACTCTTGACCTTAGGTGATTTGCCCGCCTCTGCCTCCCAAAGTGTTGGGATTACAGGCATAAGGCCCCAAGCCTGGCCAATTACATGATTCTTTATAGATCTATTTACCCTCCTGAACAAATTTTGGATAATATTAAAGTCATTCAACATTGCTTCCATTACTTCTGTTAATGTGGGGAGGACTGGATGGGCATTTCCTGGAACCCAGAGTAGGATTATCATGAGGAAGCTGTGTGTGAGGGGCTAGGAGGTGGCGGTCCCTGCTCAGCTCTTTGGTTCAAGAACTCCTTTTTGGCCTTGATTCCTGGCACCATCTGATCTAGGGACCTGACGCAGTAATCAAGAGGTTGACTTTGGAAAAACTTCCCAGTAATTGTTGGAGGTGGGGGGCGGTCCCGTCCAGCAACACAGGGCTTGTTGAGGGCACCTCCTTCCTGGCACGAGGCCCTGGAAGCCGAGTCGGGAACCGGAGGGCAATGGTATCATACGTGTTCTGTTTTCTCTGTCTGCTTTCACTCGGTTAATTATTTTGAGTTAATCTATGTTGTTGCATGTAGCACCATTCTTCTTCTTTTTAAACGTGAGTCAATTTTATTGCTGAGTGGCAATGTGTCGCATGGATATAGCACTATTATCCATTCCTCTGTTGATGGGCATTCGGGTTGTTTTCAGTTTTCGCTTTTACAAATAAAGCTGCTACAAACATCCCTGTACAATCAGGAGGGGCCCGGAGAGCGTGGCTGTGGGGCTCAGCGGGCAGTCACTGTGCTTGTCCTCCTTCTAGACACCATTTCTTATGGATTCCACTCATATACCCTGGGAAAGGCGACCATTTGTACCATACAACTTTGACCCCACCCCAAGCCACAGTACAACAGGGCCAGTCTGGACACTGTTCATTTCCTGTTGCTGCTGTAACAAATCACCACAAACTGAGTGACTTTAAACGGCACGTATTTCCTACCTTCTAGTTCTGGAGGTCAGAAGTCCTGGATCTGTTTCATTCTGCTGGAGTCAAGGCATCCGCTGGGCTGCCTCCTTCTGGAGGCTCAAGGGGATGGTCTGTCTCCTTGTCTTTTCCAGCGTCTAGAGGCTGCACCTTCCTGGGCTCATGGCCATTGTATTAGTTAGAGTTCTCCAGAGAAACAGAACCAATGGGATAGACAGATGGGAGGATGGAGGGATGGATGGATAGATAGATCGGTAGCTAGAGAGATAGGAAAGCAGGTAGATGGATGGATAGATTATATAGGTGGATGAATGGATAGATAGCTATAGATGGGGGGGATAGATACAGATGGATGGATGGAGATGGATGGACAGACAGAGATATAGACATGTATATATGGAGATTTATTGTGAGGAATTGCCTCACGCAATTACAGAGGGTAAGAAGTCTTACAGCCTGCTGTCTGCAAGTTGGAAACTCAGGAAAGCAGGTGGTGTTACTCTGAGTCCAAAGCCTGACAACTAGGGGAACAGATGGTGTAAATCCCAGTCCAAAGGCTGAAGATGATGAGATGGCCCAGCTCAGGCCATGAGGCAGAAACAAGGGGTGAATTCCTCCTTCCTCCGCCTTTTGTGCTATTCAGGCCCTCAACGGTTGGATGAGACCCACCCACACTGGGGAGGGCTATCTGCTTTCCTGAGCCCACCCATTCCAATGCTTATCTCATCCAGAAACAACCTCACGCACCTCAGAAACCATGTTTAATCTGGGCACCCTGTGGCACAGTCCTGTTGACAAATTAACCCTCGCGGCCACATTATTTCATGTTCGAAGCACATCACTCCAACTTGTGCTTCCGTCATCACACTGATGCCTTCTCTTTTGACCTTCTTGCCTCTTTTTTTTTTTTTTTTTTTTTTTGTGACGGAATCTTGCTCCTCTCCCCGGCAGCCGTGGCAGGGCTCCCCAGATTCTGATCACCAGGGGCCGTAATATCTTTGTCCATGGTCCATTCATTAGAAACACAGCACCTTTCTCCAGCTGGTTAGATTCTGTCTAAAGAGCTCCCGCCTTGGACTCCAGGTATGGTAGGAGCACCATGATTTAGTCACGAGCACACTAAAGAGGTGTGTTCTGAGATTCTCTCACGTAGGGTGTAGTCTCAGAGCAGGGTTCCTCGACTGGGAAGAGACCACTGTCCTTGTCATTGTTTAACAACCCAACCCTGATGGACGGAATCCTGCTACACATCGTCTTGCTTTGTAATCCTGTAGATGCATCCTTTACTTCTGTCTGGTTTTCAGCCGGTAACAGCTCTTATACTCTATTTCTCTTTCCTAAGCACCTATCCTACGAGTTAATGGTCAGAAAACATTCGAAGGCATGGGTGGAAGTACACTATTTAAAGCACTAAAATGGGCTGGGCGCAGTGGCTCATGCCTGTAATCTCAGCACTTTGGGAGGCCGAGGTGGGTGGATCACTTGAGGTCAGGAGTTCGAGGCCAGCCTGGCCAACGTGCTAATACCCTATCCCTACAAAAAATAAAAAAATTACCTGGGCTTGGTGGTGGGCGCCTGTAGTTCCAGCTACTCAGGAAGCTGAGACAGGAGAATCGCTTGAACCTGGCAGGCGGAGGTTGCAGTGAGCCAAGATCACGCCACTGCACTCCAGCCTGGGTGGCAGAGCGAGACTCCGTCTCAAAAAATAAAGTACCAAAATGTATGTAAAGAATTATTCTGAAAGGCAAATCAGCATCTAGTGTGTATTTTTAACTCTGTGATTCCATACTTCATGTAGAAGGGTCCTAGAGAAGTCATGAAACAAGATGTTGCTTGGTACGATGAGATTCCTAGGCCTAAATGGTGCTTATTATTTAAGGGAATCATGAAAACTTCTCCCTTGTTTGTTCTGTTTTGTAAATTCAGGATTTCAAGCATTAAATTAATTTCTTAGAGTAGGGCAAACTAGAACAAAACTATATAGAACCTATCCTTTTTTTTTTTTTTTTTTTTTTTTTTTTTTTTTTTGAGACAGAGTCTCATTCTATTGTCCAGGCTGGAGTGCAGTGGTGCGATCTTGGCTCACTGCAACCTTCACCTCCTGGGTTCAAGCGATTCTCGCACCTTGGCCTCCCAAGTAGGGATTACAGGTGCACACCACCACACCGGGCTAATTTTTGTATTTTTAGTAGAGACAAGATTTCACCATGTTGGCCAGGCTGGTCTTGAACTCCTGACCTTAAGTGATCTGCCTGCCTCGGCCTCCCAAAGTGAGAAACTATACTATTGTTAACACTGATCCATTAACAACTTGAATAGTTTCTCTGCAGATCCTGGGTTTTCTGTTGTATAACTGAACTTCAGGCTTTAGGCTGGGCACCATGACTCACACCTGTAATCCCAGCACTTTGGGAGACTGAAGTGGGAAGATGGCTGGAGCTCAGGAGTTTGAGACCAGCCTGGGCAACATAGCAAGATCCCATCTCTATATTAAAAAAAAGATTTTGAGCTTTAGATTGACCAGGGAAAGGGTCTGAGCCAAGAAATGCTCAGTGATCCACATGTATTTCTTTGGCTTAGAATCACAAAAAGAAATCAAGTACAAACCTTTGTGATTATATACTGAGGATTTATGTATTAAAAGTAACGGAAAAGATGGCAATTACTTTTACACCAACCTATACACAGTTAATTCTTAATTAGTCATGGTATGGGCTAGAAAGAGATAGGAATACTATAACATAAAACAGTAACCGTACATAAATCCTCAGTGATAAAAGTCATTCTAAAAATTGTGGAGTGTCCTGAAATACGATTTCCAAATAAAAAACAATCATCATTGGCTTTGTTGGTGTATTAGGCTGTTACATTGCTATAAAGAAATACTTGACACCTGGGACTTTGAGAGGCCAAGGTGGGTGGATCATTTGAGGTCAGGAGTTCAAGACCAGCCTGGCCAACATAGTGAAACCCTGCGTCTACTAAAAATACAAAAATTAGCTGGGCATGGTGGCGCATGCCTATAGTCCCAGCTACTGGGGAGGCTGAGGCAGGAGAATTGCTTGAACCCGGGAGGCAGAGATTGCAGTGAGCCAAGATCACGCCACTGTACTCCAGCCTGGGTGACAGAGTGAGACTCCATCTTAAAAAAAAAAAAAAAAAAAAAAAAAAAAAAAAAAAACACAAAAACCTGGGACTGGGTAATTTATAAAGAAAAGAGGTTTAATTAGCTCATGGCTCTGCAGGCTGTACAGGAAGCATAGTGGTTTCTGTTTCTGGGGGGACCTCAGGAAACTTGGAATCATGGTGGAAGGTGAAGGGGAAGCAGGCACATCACTTGGCACAAGCCAGGATCGAGAGAGAAGTGGGGGAGGTGCTACACCTGTTTAAAAAGGAGATTGCACGAGAATTCATTCACTATCCCAAGAACGGCATCGGGGGGTGATGCTACACCATTCATGAGATCATTGTCCCCATGATCCAGTCACCTCCCACCAGGCCCCACCTCCAACACTGGGGATTACAATTCAACATGAGACCTGAGTGGGGACACAGATCCAAACCGTATTAGTTGGTGTTGAGGAATAAAAGGTCCTTACCAGAGAACAATTTAAAATCTGGTTGGACTCGGAACAAAACCTGTCACCTCTGTTTTTCAGATAAAGACTATAGTGAAGGCAGTAGAATTTCTACTAATAAAGTCAGAACTGGAAGCAATTGATGTCAAGTTATTGAGCGCTGAAACGACATTATTCTGGAATGGCGAAGGTACGGAGGCCACATTCCTCCCACATTGGATTAAACTTGGGAGTCCAACCTGCCCAGCATCTGTCCTCAAACACCACTAGAGTGGTCACTTCTGCCTCCTGGCTGTGTGGATCTGCTTTAACTTCAAGGGGGCTAAAGGATAGTTACTTCCACCTGCCTGCCCAGGCAAAAAAAAAAAAAAAAAGCCCATCTGTGTCACTTAGAAACGGAATCCGGCAAAGACTCCCTGGGAACTGCCAAGAGGTTTCCAAGTTTCCCAAACTGGGCTTGCTGGAGGCCCAGTTTCCACTGTTGGTTTATCAAGCATGCACAGAGCATGCACAGCTGGTGAGCAGAGCTGGTGCACATCTTGGCTAACTCAGGGCAGACGTCAGCAAAGTAGGAAGAAGTGTAGTCACGAGTCCCTGTCTTCCCTTCATTCCACCACTGGACGAGGCAGAAGGCCCCCGACCCCCTGGCCCCATCTCTGATGCTCCCAGAGGTGGAACCCTTTAACGTGAGGAGTCTGGGGCTCCTACGTGGGGTGAAGGGTCCACACATTCTCCAAACCCTATGTCCAAAGGGACACTATATTTGTGATTCCTTGGCATTTCATTTCAGAGAACGCCCAGCGATTTCTTCTGGGAATCATGTTCCAGAATAGGAGTATTTTCCCAGGGCTGTCTCATAGTGATGAGTGTTAAGCCAACCCAAGAAAAGTTTTCATCCTGCTGAATTTTTTTTTTTTTTTTCCTGAGATAGAGTCTCACTCTGTTGCCTGGGCTGGAGTACAATGGCACAATCTCGGCTCACTGCAACCTCTGCCTCCCGGGTTCAAGCTATTCTACTGCCTCAGCCTCCCGAGTAGCTGGGATTACAGGTGCCCACTGCTATGCCCAGCTAATTTTTTGTATTTTTAGTAGAGATGGGGTTTCACCATGTTGCCCAGGCTGGTCTCGAACTCCCGACCTCGTGATTCGCCTGCCCTGACCTCCCAAAGGGCTGAGATTACAAGCTTGAGCCACCGCGCCCAGCCTGAATTGTTCATTTTGTAAGATTCCTCTACATTTCCATTTTAGGTGTGTTTCAGTACATTCAAGAGGTGCGAGAAATTCTGCACAACTTGCAGAACAGGATGCAAAAGGCAAAACAAAATATAGAAGGAATTTCCCAGGCTATGAAGGTAAGCAAGGGGCAGAGCACAGAGTGGGGCTTTGTGGGGGCCTGGGGCTGCCCTGGGGCAAACCAGGCTACGTAGAGGCCCATGGAAAGTGCTGCGATGTGTGGGGTGCAGTGGGAGCTGCCGTGCAGTGCTCTCCACCGGTAGGATGATATCAGAGTGGTCCCAGGGCAGAAAGAGCCCAGTTGCTCTGTGAAATTCAGTTCTGCTCCATTCTGCTGAGCTCCACAAGGCCCCCTCTGTGCCAGGCCAGTGCCAGTAGCAAGGGGTGGAAAGAGATCTGCCAAGACTCACCCCCACTGGGAACGAGCCCGTTGCTCAGTACAGAAGCAGTACAGTTCTAACTCAAGCTCCTTCCGGAGCACTGGGGGAATCCTTCATTAGCCTTCTAGGTGGTCTGGTCTGTCACTGATGCTCTAATGTGCAAAAACACTTGCAGCAATATATCCAAAAGGAATTTTGTTTTTGTTTTTGTTTTTTTAGTGGAGATGAGGTTTCACCATGTTGCCCAGGCTGGTCTTGAACTCCTGACCTCAAATGATCCGCCTGTCTCAGCTTCCCAAAGTGCTGGGATTACAGGCGTGAGCCACCGCATCTGGCTCTGATTCAATTTTCAATTGACGGGAATAATTTCTCACGCAATTTCCTCAGAAAGGGCTCATTGATAGCATACTTTGAGTCCTCCCTTGTCCAAAATATCTTTCTTTTGACCTCATCTACAATGATCTTGTCCAGGTCAGGGGTTTCTTGATACGGTCCTTTTCTTTCACTGCTCCAGAAACGGCCCTGTGTGTGTTTGCTAGGGCGGCCATCACAAACTGCCACAGTCTGGGCGACTTCAACAACAGACGTTTCTCTTCTCACAGTTCTGGAGGCTGGAAGGCCAAGGTTAAGGTGTCGGCAGGGTTGGCTCCCCCAGGACTCTCTGGTTAGTTATAGATGCTGTCTTCTCCCTGTGGCTTCACAGGGTCCTCCCTCTGTGTGTCTGTGTCCTCATCTCCTTGTCTCATAAGGACACTGGTCATGCTGGATGAGGGCCCACACTAATGACCTCATATTAACTTAAGCACCTCTTTAAAGCTCTCATCTCCAAATGCCATTGCATTCTGAGGTATGGGTGTCAGGGCCCCTACACACGGATTTGGGGGGCACAGTTCAGCCCCTACCAGCCCTGCCTCAGTTTCAGTGCTGGGCAGGCTGGCAGTGCTCTGCCTCCTTCCTGCATGAGCCTGTCCTCTCTGTCTGGGGCGTGCAGAGTTCTTCGTTATCTTTAGGGTCAGAAAATGTCACCAAAGTGTCCAGACGTGTGCCTCCTTGTGTTAATGTCCGCTGGACGTCGTAACATTCTTCTAGCCTGTTGATGGCGTTGTCTCGCCAGCTAGTGGGCATGACGTCGCTCCTCCTCCTCCCCACGCCTCCCCACACCTCCCTGTCTGCTCTGGCACACAGGCCATTTCCCCAGTGTCTCAGGTCTGGGGGCCAGGTCTCTTGTCTGTCTCTGCACGTGTGGCTTCTCGATCTCTTCACTTTGTTTCATGCCAAGGGGTCTCTGTCCTTTCTGTTACCTGCAATGCTCACCCAGCCTCCTCTGTGGCTGTTCTCTCTCTCTCCTCTACTGAACTGTTAAATCCAGAAACCAGGCCGTTCAAACCCCACGGGCTTCTGAATCTTCAGCAGGGGCCGCAGCAGGTGCAGGGTCTCAGAGGGTTGGCTGCAGGCTCTGGGCGGTGGGGAGCGAGCAGGAGACGGGAGGAGGCCCACTCTGGAGGCAGATCCTGCAGAGATTCCTGCTGCCCCTGAGGCCCCAGCTTGACCACTGCCCACCACCCGCTACAGAGGACCAGGGCAGCACTTTCTCTCTGTCTCTGAGACCCACTGTCTTACATAAACCCCCCTTTACCTGAGCTAGCTTGTTTGCACCAGAAGTTTTTAACTAAACCACAAAGTATTTGCTTTCTCCTGGTGCTGAGCTGAGATGCTGAAGCCCGGTAGTTGGGTCTCTGGGCACCAAGGAAGGAATGATCTGTTTGCCAATTCTGAGGTTGTTGGGTTCAGGGGTGAGTTTTGAAGAAGTTCACCTCTGCATCAGAAAAGCAAAGGTGACCTCCGAGGAGGGAAGGCAAACACTTGGGCCCACTGTCCTGGTCATTTCAGGAGGCTACAAGAAAATACTGCAGACTGAGTTCCTGGTGAGGGCCCTCTTCCTGGTGTGCAGACGGCTGCCTTCTCGATGTGCCTCACGTAGTAGAGAGAGGTTGCTCTGGTGTCTCTTTCTCTGCTTAAAGGACACTAACCTCATCAGGGGTGGGCCCTACTCTCATGATCTCATTATCTCATCTAAACCCAAGCACTTGCCAAGGTCCCTGCCTCCTATTACAACCACACAGGAGCTAGGACTCGAATATGTGAATTTTGGGAGATGAGAGAACACAGACGTGCAGTTCATAACACTCACCCAATAGGGGCTCTGCTAACCCCCATTATAAGGAGAATAATCACTAAACTGGTCACAGAATCAGCTGACCTCCTGTGTCTCCATCCCCATCACTTTCCTCATCACGTCCATTCTGAAGCTGCAGCAGCTGCACAGTGACCAGGCTGAAAGCCAAGGGGCTTGGTGGAGGGGACCAGCATGCTCTGCACTTAGGTGCGGAAGCAGAGCCGGGGAGAACACTGGCTCCCAGGCACATGCCCTCAGATGCCGTCTCAAAACTAGCAAAAACAGACATGACAGCCAGCAGCATCTAGCTCCCCAGCTTAGTGAGAAAACCAAGCAATAGGAAAAGAAAATGGCTCAAACTCAGTCCATCAGGCCTGGAATCAACAATTCCTGTTTGGAGTTTGTACATTCTCAGGCTGTGCCCTTAGCCCTCAGGTGTGAACAGCAAAGGGGTTAGGACCAAAAGGAGGCTGTTCAAAGATTGTGCAGCATTTGAGAGTAACAAGTCGTTTAGATATCTCAGAAAAACACAGACCGACTGAAGCTCTTTATTTAGTAAACCTAAGACATTTTTTCTTAAATTAAAAAGGCCGTGGCCGGGTGCAGTGGCTCATGCGTGTAATCCCAGCACTTTGGGAGGCCGAGGCGGGTGGATCACGAGGTCAGGAGATCGAGACCATCCTGGCTAACACGGTGAAACTCCGTCTCTACTAAAAATACAAAAAATTAGCCAGGTGTAGTGGCGGGCGCCTGTAGTTCCAGCTACTTGGGAGGCTGAGGCAGGAGAATGTTGTGAACCCAGGAGGCGGAGCTTGCAGTGAGCCGAGATCGTGCCACTGCACTCCAGCCTGGGTGACAGAGCAAGACTCTGTCTCCAAAAAAAAAAAAAAAAAAAGGCCATGACATCTACGAAATAACAACAGAATGAGAACTAAGAACAGAATGAGAGGAAAGCAGAGAAGGGAAAGGACATGGCTAAGAAAGTCAAAACTGCAAAAGCAGAATTAAAATATACTGAAGCACCAGTTAGACTAGAACTAGTGCTGTGTAACAGTGGATATATTAAACGGAGGACAATTTTAGGAAATTGCTAATATGCAAAGGGAAATAACAATAGATAATGTGTAAGATGAGGGAGACGAACAACATAAAAATCATAGTTGTTACTAAAGAAGTAATAGGCTGGGCATGGTGGCTCACACCTGTAATCCCAGCACTTTGGGAGGCCAAGGCAGGCCGATCACTTGAGGTCAGGAGTTCAAGACCAGCCTGGCCCACATGGCGAAACCCTGTCTCTACTAAAAATACAAAAAGGAGCCAGGTGTGGTGGCACACACCTATGATCCCAGCTACTAGAGAGGCTGAGGCAGGAGAATTGCTTGAACCTGGGAGGTGGAGGTTGCAGTGAGCTGAGGTCACACCACTGCACTCCAGCCTGGGAGACAGAGTGAGACTCCATCTCAAAAAAAAAAAAAAAAAATAGTAATGAACAAAGATGTAATAGAAGAAAATTTTCTCAAGCTGGGGAGACAAAAATTAAAGGAAGGCCTGAGTGTGGTGGTCAAAGTGGGTAACTGATTTCCAGGCCAGATGACACATGTAGACATATTCTGACCAAAGTTTACAATCCCAAGGATACAGAACAATATTCTGCATGTTTCTACCAAGCAGGTAGCCCACACAGAAACAAAAATCAGGCAGCCTTTTGACTTTACACAGATCTCCAGAACATGATAAAAATGGCCAGTCTTGAGAAAGACTCCTGACAATTATCTGTGAATGCAGCAGTAAAGTCATCCTCACACATGCAGGGGCTTGGAAAAATACCATTTGGATACCCTTCCTGAGAAACCTATTCCAGGATGTATTCCAGGATACCAAGAGGTCAACCACATTCTAGAGTACCAAGGAGAGCATTAACATTTAAAAAGACTAGCAATGAGCTTGGAACCAATTAAATATAAAGAGGTAAGTATATAAAGAGATAAATACGGTTGTAAAAGGTTACATTCCAAAGTCAAAAGCAATACTTGTAGAAAAATATAAATGGTAGAAACCATATCCATGGTGATAAACATGATTGATAATTGGTAGTTAGGAGGAGGAAAAAAGTTGGGGCAGGGAAGTTAACCATATCCTGAATTCCTAAACGTGGATAATGAGAATCAAAAGCAATTTTTTTTTTTCTTTCTTGAGATGGAGTCTTACTCTGTCACCCAGGCTGGAGTACAATGGCACAATCTCGGCTTGCTGCAACCTCCGCCTCTGGGTTCAAGCGATTCTCCTGCTTCAGCCTCCCAAATAGCTGGGATTACAGGCATGGGCCACCATGCCTGGTAAATTTTTGTATTTTTAGTAGAGATGGGGTTTCACCATGTTGTTCAGGCAGGTCTCAAATTCCTGGCCTCAGGTGATCCATCAGCCTTGGCCTGCCAAAGTTCTGAGATTACGGGCATGAATCACCATGCCCAGCTGCAATTTTTATTTCCAAAATTAGAGAAACATTTAAAAGACTTAATAAACTTAATGGCAAGTTCTAGTGGAATTAGAAACAGGATTTCTCCTATCCAAATCAGTAAAGAATATAAAAGCAAATAAGCTATAGTTTTTAAAGCAAAATACCACAACAAAGGGAAACGGTGAGAAAGCAGAAAGGATAAAACGTGATAACAAAGGGCAAACATTAGTTACAGTATATATAAAGTATTTAAAAGCAAAATAGATTGTTTAAAAATGTAGTTATATGCTACTTCCAAGAGATATCTAAAACAAAATGGAAAGGTTGAAGATAAAATGATTGACAAGTAGGTGAAACCATATGAAACTTCCAATAATTGACCATTTTTGACCTTTAAAAGATGGCAGTTCTCACAGCCGAGCTCAATGGCTCATGCCTGTAGTCCAAACACTTTGGGAAGCCCAAGCAGGAGTATTGCTTGAGCCTAGGGCCTTCCTATGTTGCTCAGGCTGGACAACACCTGTGGTCCCAGCTATTCTGGAGGCTGACGTGGGAGGATCACTTTTGAGCCTGGGAGGTCGAGGCTGCAGTGACCTGAGATTGTGCCACTGCCCTCCAGCCTGAGTGACAAAGCACGACCCTGTTTCAAAGGAAAAAAAAAAAAATTTCAAATGGTAGTCTTATTCACAGACATATATACATCCTTGCATACATACATACACATAAAATATTAATCAGCAAAGAACAACTAGAGGCAAAAATATATATTTAGCTAACCATACAAAATCAAGTAAAATCTATATAAAAATTATAGTTGTCCTAAAATGTTGTGTTCCCAATGAGAATATTGTTAATATAGCTATATAAATAAAAGCAAAAGCTATTAGAAGAGTTGAAAAATGGGCAGAACGCAAATGTAATGGGAAGGCTAACACAGCATTATTATACTGCCATGGACTGTACGTTTGTGACTCTCAAACACTCCTTTGTGGAAGCCGTGATCCCTGCTGTGATGGGTCTTGGAGACGTGGCCCTGGGGAGGCAATCAGAACATGAGAATAGAGCCATCACGAAGGAGATTCGTGCCCTTATAGCAACAGACATGAGAGAGCTCACTCTGCCCCTCCGCCATGTGAGGTCACAACAAGAAGGCGGCCATCATCATCTGCCCACCAGGAAGAGAGCCCTCACCTGGAACCAAACATGCCGGCACCTTGATCTCAGATTTCTAACCTCTAAACCTGTGAGAAATGTCTGTTGCTTAAGCCCCCTAGTATATGGTATTTTGCTTATAGTAATCTAAGCTGACTAAGACATATACAGAACGCGTTTTTCTGACCATGAAGCAATAAAACTGCTAATAAAAAAAGGAAATCCTTCTAACAAGGTAAACACAGGCTTAATCATATCGTTTATGTTCACACAAAAGCATCAGTAGAAAAACTATAAGTACTCACGTAAATATCAAACACTGGCCAGAGGAGGGAGGCGGGTGATCTAAGTCTTCATCGTTCACCCCAGAGTCACAGAGGCAGCTGAGAAACAGCTGAATTGATGATGTAGAGTCCGTAAATGATAAGAGTGACAGAGGCAGCCGTGAGGAGGAGGAAAGGTGAGGTTCCCTCATGTTTCCAGTGGGGGATGGGATGGAGGATAGGGAGATATGGCCAAAGACTGTTTTTTGACAAAAAAAACTTATTAGGTGTTTTGTTACCATATATGTATCACTTTAATGGAGATGTGTAGGGAAAAAAAATCTAATGACAGATAACAGTAAAGTCCAAATCATAATTAAAAGTGGCCACCACCCCCACCTTTTTTTTTTTTTTTTTTTTTTTTGAGACTGAGTCTCGCTCTGTGCCCCAGGCTGGAGTGGAGTGGCGTGATCTCGGCTCACTGCAAGCTCTGCCTCCCGGGTTCACGCCATTCTCCTGCCTCAGCCTCCTGGTAGCTGGGACTACAGGTGCCCGCCACCATGCGCGGCTAATTTTTTGTATTTTTAGTAGAGACAGGGTTTCACCGTGTTAGCCAGGATGGTCTCGATCTCCTGACCTCGTGATCCGCCTGCCTCAGCCTCCCAAAGTGCTGGGATTACAGGCATGGGCCACCGCGCCCGGCCAAGTGGCCACCACCCTTGTGGTAGAACTCCCACTTGCAGGGGAGCCAGGGTCCTGACCCTACTCTCTACCCTTTCCCACCCTTGTCGGCAGATCAGTGGCCCCCACAAAAGGGACTTACTCCCACGTGGCCCTCCGTTTGCAGCTATGGACGATCCACCCAGTATTGACCACACACTCCTCGACGCTCGGGTCCTTCCGTCCCCCTAAAGAGAGAATTAGATGCTCCTTTCCTGAGAGTGACCCCATTCTGGCCCAGTTGAGTGAAACATCTCAATGGTCTTTCTGTGGTTCCCCTAGGCCCTGGTTTTGGTTTTGAGCTAAATTATTTAAGGTTCTCTGGTCAACAGTCAATTAGGCACAGGTCCTTAGTAGCCCCTGATGGGCATGGATCGTGGAGAACTAGACTCCAATCCAAGATCAGGCAGCAGTGACGAAACTCACATCAAAAGCACACAGCAAAGGACTGCGACTGAAAGCAGTTTCTCCAGAACACCTTTTCTCACTCCTGTGCTTTCCTTCCAGGACTGGTCGGCCAACCCGCTGTTTGAAAGAAAGGACAATAAGAAAGAGGCCCTGTTAGACTTGGATGGAAGAATTGCCAACCTCAACAAGCGCTACGCAGCAGTCAGGGATGCTGGAGTGAAGATCCAAGCCATGGTTGCAGTAAGGAAACACCCAGGAGGTTTTTTGAGAACCCACTTGCTTTTAGCAGGGAGGAGAGAGTAAACCCAGGGCTGGAGATTTCATAAAAATGATTAGTGACACATTTCTTGTAGTCATAGAAGTCTGTGACCTGGCTGGATGCAGTGGCTCTCACCTGTAATCCCAGCACTCTGGGAGGCTGAGTCGGGCGGATCACCTAATGTCAGGAGATCGAGACCAGCTTGACCAACGTGGTGAAACCCTGCCTTTACTAAAAATACAAAAATTGGCCGGGCGCGGTGGCTCACGCCTGTAATCCCAGCACTTTGGGAGGCCGAGGCGGGTGGATCATGAGGTCAGGAGATCGAGACCATCCTGGCTAACAAGGTGAAACCCCGTCTCTACTAAAAATACAAAAAATTAGCCGGGCGCGGTGGCGGGCGCTTGTAGTCCCAGCTACTTGGGAGGCTGAGGCAGGAGAATGGCGTGAACCCGGGAAGCGGAGCTTGCAGTGAGCCAAGATTGCGCCACTGCAATCCGCAGTCCGGCTTGGGCGACAGAGCGAGACTCCGTCTCAAAAAAAAAAAAAACAAAAATTAACCGGGCACGTTGGCACATGCCTGTAATCCCAGCTACTCGGGAGGCTGAGGCAGGAGAATCGCTTGACCCTGGGAGGCGGAGGTGGCAGTGAACCAAGATCGCACCACTGCACCCCAGCCTGGGTGAAAGAGTGAGACTATCTCAAAACAAAACAAAACAAAACCTATGATCTTTAATCCAAGCGAGCCTTATCTTTAAGTAGTAGACCACCCTTGCTGTACACTTCCAAGCCTGGTTCCTCTTATGATGGGCCTGCCCTCTGCTAAGGGTACCAGAGCCCTCGCCCAGCACAATGTGGGTATGGCCAAGTAACGTCTTCATACTAGGTCAACAAATCTTGTCTTCCCAGGATGAGCTGCCGAGGGTGGGCACCGTGTGTTTATCGGTATCCCCCGTGGATTTCCCATCCATGAGTGTGGGTAGGGAACAGTAACATGGGAAGAGCGAGGACCATTTGAACGTGCACAGGGTGTATCACTACCTGCATATGTGAATGGGTAGAATGTGATAATGCACGCCTGCTTTGCTACCTAGGATGCCAGCTGGTCCTTCTTGCCAGTAGTCCCAACAGCATATGACTCTATGTCCCTACCAGCCTCCTGGGAGCCCCCATGGTTGGCACATTCAGTGGGAGAATGCAGAACAGTAGACTGGCATTCCTGGGTGCTTTGTCTGGAGTCCTGACATTGTATTGTAGGGGTTTTCATATCCTCCTCACTTGGTAGTAATTTCACCCAGCTTGCATTTTAGTTTGTCTCTGAGGAGAATGTGAAAGGTGGAGCTTTGCATTGGCTTGTAAAAGAGAATATTCTCCCTTGAGCTCAAATAACGGCTGGGCGTAGTGGCTCACGCTGGTAGTCCCAGCACTTTGGGAGGCCGAGGTGGGTGGATCACTTGACGTCAGGAGTTTGAGACCAGCCTGGCCAACATGGTGAAACCCTGTCTCTACTAAAAATACAAAAATTAGCCAGGTATAGTGGTAGGAACCTGTAATCCTAGCTACTTGGGAGGCTGAGGCAGGAGAATTGCTTGAACCTGGGAGGCGGAGGTTGCAGTGAACCAAGATTGCACCACTGCATTCCAGCCTGGGCGACAAGAGTGAGACTCCACCTCAGAAAAAAAAAAAAAAAAAAGTATTTTAGGGCAGTTTTTGGGGGGGGCGGTTTCCAGTGGGTGGTGCAAATCAGTGGTGTGGACTTTAATGATGAGTCACATCATCTAGACAGACCAGCAGGCCACACCCGGGGGATGGGCCATTATTGGCTGTTCCTATTGTCACATCATTGCTCTAAAGATCGTCACCCCAGGAAGTGACTTGACTGAACCAGAGTCTGTTGTGCCTCATTCCCAGTTCCCATCCCTCCCCTCCCTGCCACGGTGCCAGTAGCTCCCTCTGAATTAAAATGCTAAACTGCAAAAATGTTACTTGGAAGAGTTAACTGATTAGCTTGTTAACACTCTCAGAAGGGTTGGAAACAGAGCACAGGAGAGAGATTTGACTTAGGGTTAGTAAAGTTTCAGAGGGCAGGAGCATAGCAAGAGGGCAGGCGAGGAGGCAGGACTGGGCTGAGGTTGAAGCCAAGCAGCAGGGACAGGAGCCTAAGAGGGGCAGAGGCAACAAGCCAGCCTATTCTGTTCCCCAACTGTGATGAGATGGTGTTGTCTCTTGTGCACAACTCTGTCACCACGTATGGCTACTCTCATGACAGTCATTAGAGCCATTTCTTTTTATCTTATGCTGAAGTTATTTGAGCCCAAGTCTTCTCTCCCTTATTAGAATAGACCTGCCTGAGGGTATAGACTGAGTGAAATTAATCTTTGAGTTTCCCTATAGCACTTAGTATCCTAGAGATTCATCCATCCATCCAACCATCCACCCATCCATCCATCCATCCATCCACTTACACATCTACCCACCACATTCATCTGTCCACTCATCCACCCACCCTACCCACCCATCCACTCACTCACCCACCCACCCCACCCACCCATCTGCTTGCTTACCCCCCACCCCCCCACCCATCTGCTCACCCCCCCACCCACCCATCCGCTCACCCCCCCACCCACCCATCCGCTCACCCCCCCACCCCGCTCACCCACCCATCTGCTCATCCCCCCACCCCGCTCACCCCCCCACCCCGCTCACCCCCCCACCCCGCTCACCCCCCCACCCCGCTCACCCACCCATCCGCTCACCCACCCATCCGCTCACCCACCCACGCCACCCACCCATCCGCTCACCCACCCACGCCACCCACCCATCTGCTCACCCACCCATCCGCTCACCCACCCACGCCACCCACCCATCCACCCATCCACTCATCCACCGATCCACCCACCCACCCACCCACCCACCCATCCACCCACCCACCCACCCACCCACCCATCCATCCACCCATCCACCCACCCATCCACCCACCCATCCACCTACTTACACATCTACCCACCCCATTCATCTGTCCACTCATCCACCCACCCCACCCACCCATCCACCCACCCCACCCACCCATCCACTCACCCCACCCACCCACCCACTCACCCATCTACTCACACATCTGCCCACCCCATTCATCTCTCCACCCATCCACCCATCCATCTGTCCATCTACTCATACATCTACCCACCCCGTTCATCCATCCATGGACTCACACACCTACCCACTCTATTCATCTATTCATTCACCCACCCCACTTATCCAGCCACGTACCCATCCATCCACTCGGCCACCCACCCACCCATCCACCCATCCACTCACCCACCCACCCAGTCACCCACCCACCCATCCACCCACCCACTCACACATCCACATACCCACCCACCCACCCACCCATCCATCCATCCATCCATCCATCCACCCACTCACCCATCTACCAACCCCATCCATCCATCCAGCTATCCGTCCACCCCATTCATCTGTCCATCCACCCACCCCACCCACCCACCAGCCCCTGCTCTGTGCTAGGCCTACTGCTGAGTGCTGGGGGTACAGTGGTGGAGAGGATGGTCAACCTTCACCTTCATGAATTTGGGCATCAAAAGGGCATGCAGACCAAAGACAAAGACAAATAAAATAATTCTGAGTGGCCCTCTGAGCCATGGTAGGCATAAATAACAGTTTGCTAGAGGAAACCCAACTAGAGATGGAGGATTCCTTTGGGAGGAAGGGACATTTGAGCTGAAATCAAAAAGATTGGAAGCCAGACCCAGCAAGAAAGTGAGGGAGCAGCCGTGCAAAGCCTCGAGTAGGAAGGCGGCCAGCACCAGCAAGATGCTCAAAGCAGCCCCGTGTGTCCGGCGTGTGAACATGGACGGGCGGTCCAGAGAGGCACTAAACAGTGTGATCAAAGAGCAAGCACAGCCAGTGAAGTGAGGCCCAACTGTGCGCTTCTGTTTGCAGGAAAACGCAGAACTATTCAGGGCAGACACACTGAGCCTGCCCTGGAAGGATTATGTCATCTACATTGACGACATGGTCTTAGATGAATTTGACCAGTTCATTCGCAAATCTCTGAGTTTCCTAATGGACAACATGGTTATAGATGTAAGTTATCAACATAAGGTAATATATTTATGTATATGTATTCTTATCTGTTAGAATCTATAGTTTCTAGTTTCTTGATGAACAGGCTATCATTTTATAAATAGACTTATTAAAATATATCTTATGCAATCTACTTGACCTGGTTTTAAACCTGGAAGTCCTGCATTCCAGAATCCCCTCAGTCCCAGGCACTCAGGACCACTGGTCACTTTAAATCTGCCATAACATAAATTGGCTGCAGAAAACCTCAAGAGACCTAAGAGGCTGGTCCTGCCTCACTGCCAGGTGAAGGAAAGTGGACACCACTGCCCCCTACTCATGTGGATTGGGGGGAGGGTCTCCTGTCAGCAACAACAGCCACTCACCTACTTGATTATATACGGCTGAGTAGAAGGTAAACCAGTCAGCAAAGAGGTTGTGCTGGTTAATCCCATGGAGGCATGCTTTCCATGGCAATGGCCCCTTTCCTACCTGTATCTTCTTTTTATTTTATTTTTTTATTTTTTTGAGACAGAGTCCCGCTCTGTTGCCCAGGCTGGAGTGCAGTAGCATGATCTCAGCTCACTGCAAACTCCACCTCCTGGGTTCAAGCAGTTCTCTACCTCAGCCTCCCAAGTAGCTGGGATTATAGGTGCCCGCCACCACGCCTGGCTAATTTTTGTATTTTTAGTAGAGGCAAGGGTTCACCATCTTAGCCAGGCTGGTCTTGAATTCCTGACCTCATGATCGACCAACCTCGGCCTCCCAAAGTGCTGGGATTACAGGCGTGAACCACTGTGCCCAGCCCTGCATCTTTTTTGTTGAGATGGTTTCTAAATGATTTTGAGTACCGCCAGGAGGCCAAGATCAAAGGCTCCCCCAGGCTACCAACAACAAAGGAACGTGGCAGTGTCGTGCCCTTGTACCGACCAGGGAGGGTGGATGGTGTTTGAGTCTGGCATATGGGTCTCAGATGCCAGCTGGTAACCAGTCACAGACCCAAAATTCAGTTGACGAAAGTACTCGTCACTACAGACTGTCCCAGTGAAAGCGTCTCAACAAAAACCATAAAGAAGTCCCAGTAACAAAGGGTTCTCCTCAAAGAGTTCCAGGGAGTCCTCCTACTTTGTGAGTAGCCTGGGGGCAGGAGCCGACCTGAGTCTTTAGAGAAGTCTGGTCACACAATTGACCGTTTGTCCCAATTAGCACCTCACTCAGATACTGATACAGCCCCCTCCTGCTCATAGACAAATTGGGGGGCTCAAAAGCTCATAACCCACAGGTCCAATGGGGACTCATTCAGGGGGAGATCAGTGGCCACAGTGTGATCTCACAGCCTGGTGGATCCTGGCCCACATTTTGAGAATCGTTAGTTTGGCAGGAAGAGCACTTGGGTTCTCAATCCCATCACTGTAAACCAGAGCAGCACCTGCAGCCCTGCAGCCTCACAGGGGCCTCCAGAACTCTGTAAACGGGGACTTCCAAGGGAGAGGGACAGGCAGGCTTGGCCAGCCCCTGCAGTACCTGCTTTGTGTGTCAGTGATTCATTTAGCCCCTGTAGTAACCCAGAACAATGGAAACAATGTCTCCATTCTTTTTTTTTTTTTTTTTTTTTTTTTGGAGACAGAGTTTTGCTCTTGCCCAGGCTGGAGTGCAATGGCACAATCTCAGCTCATTGCAACCTCCGCCTCTTGGGTTCAAGCGATTTCCTGCCTCAGCCTCCCGAGTAGCTGGGGTTCCAGACACCCACCACCAGGCCCAGCTAATTATTTTGTATTTTTAGTAGAGACGGGGCTTCGCCATGTGGGCCAGGCTGGTCTCAAACTCCTGACCTCAGGTGATCCACCCGCCTTGGCCTCCCAAAGTGCTGGGATTACAGGCATGAGCCACTGCGCCTAGCCAACAATGTCTCCATTCTATAAAATATTTAGCCTCATTTTATATATTTGGGGAAACTGGGAGTTAAGTGACTCCCCAAGGCCTCAGAGCTGGCAAGTAGCAGGTGTGGGCTTTGAACCGAGGTCTGAGTTCTACCTGATCCTGCCCCTCCCCTTGCCCCAACCTGCCCCTGCCTGCTTTTGGCCTTGTGGCTGTACATTTGGCTCTGTAGCGATTGCTCAAGGAGCGGGGTGCGCTGAGACACGAGCTCTCAGAAGCTTCCCAGATAAGTGGAAGGCAGTGACACATTGATGGTACGGAGTGGATGATCAGGGCACTGAGAATCATCCGATGGAGGACAGAGGTGTTGACCACTGCCAACCCCACCCCTCTTTCAGGAGAGTATCGCTCCCCTGTTTGAGATCCGCATGGAGCTGGACGAGGATGGGCTGACCTTCAACCCGACCCTGGAGGTGGGCTCAGATCGCGGCTTCCTGGCACTGATCGAGGGCCTGGTCAACGACATCTACAACGTAGCCAGGCTCATCCCTCGGCTGGCCAAGGACAGGATGAACTACAAGGTCAGTCCTGGCCTCTTCTGGCCGTACACAGGGTCATCCATTGCTTTCCCCATTTGGTGTTGCCGCCCTAACTCGGCAAGGCTTCGCCGTTTACCTTTTCTTTTTTTCTTTTTTTTTTTTTGAGACGGAATCTCACTCTGTCGCCCAGGCTGGAGTGCAGTGGCGCGATCTTGGCTCACTGCAACCTCCGCCTCCTGGGTTCAAGCCATTCTCCTGCCTCAGCGTCCCGAGTAGCTGGGATTACAGGCACCCGCCACCACACCCGGCTAATTTTTTTATTTTTTTTTAGTAGAGACTGGGTTTAACCGTGTTAGCCAGGATGGTCTGGATCTCCTGAACTCATGATCCACCCGCCTCGGCCTCCCAAAGTGCTGGGATTATAGGCGTGAGCCACCGCGCCCGGCCCTGCTTACCTTTTAAATGACATCGTGTGACCTCTAGGATGACATGGCCACTTCTCTCCCCACTCCCACATCTGTCGTCCTTCCCAAAGCAGCTTCTTCTCAGTCAACCTGCCTGGGTTTCATTCCCTCATCATCCTTCCAACCCCCCGACACGATGCCAAGAGGGTAACCTTTCCCAACTTCCTGACTGTTCACTCAGTCCTGTAATTTTTTTGAGACAAGGTCTCACTCTGTCACCCAGGCTGGAGTGCAGTGGTTCAATCTCGGCTGACTGCAGCCTCTGCCTCCCGGGCCCAATTGATCCTCCCGCCTCAGTCTCCCAAGTAGCTGGGATTACGAGCATGCATCACCAAGCCCAGCTTGGTGATGTATTTTTTTGTAGAGATGGGGTTTTGCCATGTTGTTGCCCAGAGTGGTCTTAAACTTCTTAATTTTTTTATTTTTTGAGACAGAGTCTTGCTCTGTTGCCCAGGCTGGAGTGCAGTAGCATAATCTCAGCTGACTGCAACCTCCGCCTCCTGGGTTCAAGCGATTCTCCTGCCTCAGCCTCCTGAGTAGCTGGGACTACAGGTGCATGCCACCATGCCTGGCTAATTTTTCTTTTTTTTTATATATTTTTAGTAGAGACGGGGTTTCACCATGTTGGCCAGGATGGTCTCAATCTCCCGACCTTGTGATCCACCCGCCTTGGCCTCCCAAAGTGCTGGGATTACAGGTGTGAGCCACCGTGCCCGGCCTCAGTCCTGTAATGTAAACACTGATTCTCCCAGTACTCAGGCAATTTGACAAATGTGCCTCCCACTGCCTTCTGAAATCATCTCGTCTAAACGCATCAAACAAGACACACGGAGAGCCTGGCCAGGCTCTGGGGTAGGAAGGACAACAAAAGTCATGGGAAATTCAGCTCCCCGCTTAAGGGAGGTTTGAGGTGGTGTGTTTGTCAAAGCACCTATTTGTATAGCAATAAAAAAAAATCTGAAAAGACTTAAGTGACCTAAATGTTTGTGGAAGAGGGGAGTGGCTTGACCAATTCTGGCCCAAACCCAGATTCTGTGAATTGTCACAATGAGCCAAGGATGGAAAGGTGTTGTGACAGGTTATTAGACATTTATCAAGTTACAGAACAATGTTTAGAATATGGTTTCATTTGCTTAAACAAGCAAAAATCTGGGTGAGTGCTTACCAGGAAGGGAGGAAGGAGGGGAGGGGAGAGGGATGTGGCTGCAGGCGTTTCCTCTCATGCATTTCTGCGTTGTTTGAATTGTAAAATAATGGACACGTATGATTTGTCATAACATATATTTACAGCGAGATGAGCTGTCCTGTCCAGGAGGGAGGGATGTGCGTGTGCTCGTGTGTGTACGCGTGTGCTTGGATGCATATGTGCCCGTGTGCGTATTTGCATGTGTGGTGGGGAGGCATGCTTGTACAGAGGTGACATGAGGACACGAGGGAACAGCTAATGACCTGAGAAGGTCAAGGACAGCTCCTGAGAGGAGTGGGCGTGTGAGCGGATTCTGGAAGGGTGGGAGGAGGTTTCCATGCTGAGAAGATGGCTGTGATTTTAGGCCCAAGTGCAAGCAGCAAGCTGTTCCAGAGTTGAGAATAGAATTTGCCCCAGTTATGCAGACGCTAGGTTAGCACATGTCCTCAGAATCAGTGTGTCCCGGGTGTGCCCCTCCCACTGTCCCCAAAGCAGGCTGCTCTTGGGCACCCACGGTTGCTGCAGACAGAGCTGCTCCACCCCTGGGCTCTGCCAGCACAAACACTCAGGCTGCCTTGCAGACACCCTGGGACGCTCAGGCAGAACATTCCAGAGCTGAAGGGCCTGTTGCCCAGGAGAAGGGTCCCTCGAAAGCCTGCTGGTCTAGCAGAGTCTTACCTGGTGCCAAGCTGTGGAAGACAATGAGAGAGTCAGGCATCTAGACTGCTGGGTCCCAGGGCCACTTCCCAGAGACCCAAGTACCCTAGCTTGGTGGCAGAGAGTACCCAAGGGATGCTTCCCATGGGTACCAGGGTGGCCAACCCAGAGGAGTTGGGTCAGGACAAGGAGGAGATAGAATGTGGGCCCCAGGCTGCCACAGGGATTTAGAGAGCTGAGCTGCCCACAGGGGACACCAGCAAGGGGCAGAGACCCCAGGCAGCAGGTCTCACCTGCCTCTGGTATGCCAGGCTGCCACCAGCCCAGCCCAACTGGAACTTGGATCCCACCTGGGGAGATCCAAAGGACTGCAGGGGACAATCTCAGCTGGAGCAGGTAGATGCCTGGAAGTTACAACACTGAAATCCAGAAGCACCTGCCTGTGCTCTGAACACTGCACTCCCAACCCTGAGCAGAAAGAGGGGCCATGAGGAGGGGTGGGAGCCAAATGTCAGGCACAGGCGAGCCCATGGCTGAATTCTGAAGCACACACCAAATGCTTTCCTGCAGCCACGAGGAGCTTCAGGTTTCTCTCCCCTGTGGCTTCTTTCCATCCACAACTTACATGCAGGGTGGCCCGGCCCAGCCCTAGGGCCAACCTTCCCCTTCCATCCCAGCCCCACTGACTTCACCTCCTCAATTACACCGTTTCCTCGTGCCACCCCTTACCAACGAGGTCCCCTGCACAGACAAGATCTCCATGCACATCTGGGTCCCGATGGGGCCTCTCTGCAGCTGTCATGTGGGCTCTGGGCTATAGGCTGTCTTCAGTTGTCTGGTACCTGACCCTGGGTGATTTAGGGCAGGGGAAATACTGGCTTGGTGTGAGAGTTGGGTAAAGGGGAGTGGTTGAGGGTCGGCTGGTTTGCATATGCATGCCCCCAGATGAGCCTTTTGCTATCTCAAAGAATTGCCTAGCCCTGGGAAAGGCCGGCTCTTCCTGGCCCATAAGGTTTTTTTATTTTATTTTTTTAAGATGTCAAAATTGGGCTGGGCGCATTGGCTCACGCCTGTAATCCCAACACTTTGGGAGGCTGAGGCAGGTGGATCACCTGAGGTCAGGAGTTTGAGACCAGCCTGACCAACACGGTGAAACCCCGCCTCTAATAAAAATGCAAAAAATTAGCCAGGCATGGTGGTGGGAGCCTGTAATCCCAGCTATTTGGGAGGCTGAGGCAGGAGAATCACTTGAACCTGGGAGGCAGAGGGTGTAGTGAGCTGAGATCGGGCCACTGCACTCCGGCCTGGGTGACAGACCGAAACTCTGTCTCAAAAAGAAATAAGATGTCAAAATTTCATAAGATGCAGACAATAAAAATGTGATTAATACACACACCGACCACCTTGGGATTCTCCAGTCCTGTATATAAGCCAACGAGTTCTCTCTTTGCTTAACCAGTTTGGGTTGGGTTTTCTGTCACTGGCAACTAAAAAGATCCGTATAGCACTGGCCTCTCGTGCTCTCTGCTCTAGCCACCGACAGTAGACTTCCTTTAGTTCCCCTAACACGCTGCCTCCTCCCACCACGGGGCCTTTGCACGTGCTTTGCTGTTGCCAGGAAAGCCGCTTCTCTTGCTCCTTGTCTACCCATCCATCAGCTCTCAGACCAATGGCCATTTCCTCGGGGCCATTCCCTGACCTGCTCCCCATTTCACCTGAAGCAAGGGGGAGGGTGGAGATGCTTTTTTCTGTGATTCTTTGATGAATGTCAGACCCCATTCCTGGGCTGTACACTCCCTGCCTGTGCCCCAGTATCTATCCCAGCATGTGGTACGCAGTGAGAGCGAGCTATCGAATGAATGAATCAATGTGTGAGTCATCTCGGGGTTCCCCAGACAAACGTCACACTTGGCATACCTTCCCATGGCAGAATATTGCAAATCGGCAAAGGTTCCTATTTCCCGTGGTGAGAGCTTGGGCCAGGCACAGTGGCACGTGCCTGTGGTCCCAGCTACTTGGGAGGCTGAGGCAGGAGGATCGCTTGAGCCCAGGAGTTCTGGGCTGTAGTGTGCTATCCACTAAGTTTGGCATCAGTATGGTGACCTCCCAGGAGTGGGGGACCACCAGGTTGCCTAAAGAGGGGTGATCGGCCCAGGCTGGAAAAAGAGCAGGTCATCATGAGAGATTGGAAGCCCTTTCGCCAACAGAGAACCACTTCTCAAGGCCGAGAGGACAACACCTAAATTATGAACCAGGCAACATACCTCCCCTTTTTGCTTCTCCCCTGCCCCTTTCAGATGGACCTGGAAGATAACACAGACCTCATAGAGATGAGGGAGGAGGTGTCCAGCCTGGTCATCAATGCCATGAAGGAGGCCGAGGAGTACCAGGATTCCTTTGAGAGGTACTCCTACCTCTGGACGGACAACCTGCAGGAGTTTATGAAGAATTTCCTGATATATGGGTGTGCAGTCACTGCGGAGGACTTGGACACCTGGACAGATGACACCATCCCCAAGACACCGCCCACCCTGGCTCAGTTCCAGGAGCAGGTGCGTGCAGACCTCACCCACCAGCCTCCTTGTCTCCAGAGTCTTCCAGGAGAGGATCACCAGGCTTGCTTTAAAACTTGGGTGAATTGTTTTAAGATGCAGGTTTCCAGGTAGGGCAAGGCAAACATCAGGAGGTGACCACCATTAGAAAGGCAGTTTGTTACTTACAGTTCCCAAGAAGGGGGCATAGCACACCACACAGGCCTGCACGGGGTAGCATCAGGGTCAGTCAGGAGGCAGAGGGAGCTGGGGAAAATGTGGGGAAAATAAAGAGCCTTTATTGTGGCTTCCAGGGAAGGAATGGGCAGAGGTCACAGGCTTAGGGTTGGCAAGTTTGAATAATTTCAGCAGGCTCTAGGCTATAGGGGCTGTCTGGTACCTGACCTCAGGGAGATGAGGGCTGAGGGCTAGTGGGTAGCAGCCCAGAAGGTAAAACCCTGTGAGAGCCCCATCAAGGGGATGGTCGGAGGTGTGGGCTCCGGGTTGGCTCATTTGCATATGAAACCACACCCCCAGGTGAATTGTTTGTTGTCTCTCAAAATTGACTAGGCCTGGGAGGGGTCGTCCATGGGCAAGGCCCCAGATGTCAGAGCATGAAGAACACAGAAAATCACACCTGTCAGTGTAATAACCTCAAATGTAAATGGATTCAATTCCCCACTTAAAAGATATAGATTGTCTGAATGGATGAAGGTAACCCCAATATATGCTGCTTAGAAGAAACTCACTTCACCTGTAAAGACAGATTGAATGCAAAAGAATAGAAAAAGAGATTCCACACAAACAGAAACCAAGAACAAGTAGGAATAACTATAGTTACATCAGATAAGACAGACTTTATGTCGGCCGGGCGTGGTGGCTCACGCCTGTGATACCAGCACTTTGGGAGGCCGAGGCGGTTGGATCGTGAGGTCAGGAGATCGAGACCATCCTGGCTAACACGGTGAAACCCCATCTGTACTGAAAATACAAAAAATTAGCTGGGCGTGGTGGCAGGCGCCTGTAGTTCCAGCTACTCGGGAGGCTGAGGCAAGAGAATGGTGTGAACCCAGGAGGCGGAGCTTGCAGTGAGTCAAGATCACGCCACTGCACTCCAGCCTGGTGACAGAGCAAGACTCCATCTCAAAAAAAAAAAAAAAAAAAAGACAGACTTTATGTCACAAACAGTAAAACGAGACCAAGAAGGTCACTATGTAATGACAAAAGGATCAACTCAGCGAGAGGATTTAACAATTCTACATATCTATGCGCCCAGCACCAGAGCACCCAGATATATAAAGCAAACAGTGGTAGATCTAAAGGGAGAGACCCCAGTACAGTAACAGTTAGGGTTTTCAACACCCTGCTCTCAGCGTCAGACAGATCATCTAGACAGAAAATCAGCAAAGAAACATTGGAGTTAAACTGCACTTTAGATCACAGGGACCAACAGACAGCTACAGAACACTTTACCCAACAGCTGCAGAAAGAATGCATAAAATAAGAAAACATAGTTAACGCACAAACCTCTAGCTCTGTTCCCAATGCACAGTGAGAAAGAGGGCCCCGTGGGCAAGGGTGACCCATGCCCAGGGGTACATTCTGTAGCACAGGGTTGGGGCAGCAGGAGGAGTGACAGAGGCCTCAGGTAGAAGGATGAGCTAGGGATGCCCTTTAGGAGCCTGTGACCTGGTTCACCTCTTGAAGCTTCTGTCCTACCCAGCTTCAGAAGTCCTGCTGCCATGACCCCTTCTGCCCCTTTCTGATGGACTGGCACCTTCTGGGGCTAGACTCTGGGGCTGGAAGGAACAATAACTTGGAATGAGGGCCCCCATGTGTCCCGTACTGCCCTTTGCTGACCCTGGCCCCAGAGTGGCCGGCAGGTGAGCAGCGCAGGTGCAGTGCAGGAAGGCCCTGGACTGAGGCCCTGTGCTGACGCCCCCCCTAGGCTTGCAGGCTATGACAGGCCGCCGGTGGCCGTGTTTTCCAGATCGACTCCTACGAGAAGCTGTATGAGGAGGTGTCCAAGTGCGAGAACACCAAGGTGTTCCACGGCTGGCTGCAGTGCGACTGCCGCCCCTTCAAGCAGGCCCTGCTCAGCACAATCCGGCGCTGGGGCTTCATGTTCAAGCGGCACCTGAGCAACCACGTCACCAACAGGTGGGTCCCCAGCCATGTACTCGGGGAGCCCAAGGAATGTGCAGAGCACCAGGGAGTGGCCTTCCACTTGAGTGGGTGGCATTTGTCAGGTGCCTCCTCTGGGGTAGCAGGGGGTGGAGGCTGGGCTTCAAGGCCAACTACCCCACCAAGCGTGAGCAGAAAGGTGTCACCGGGCTGCGAGCAAACATTATCCCTTCTCCAAACCCGGTGTACCGAGCACCTGCTCTGTCCGGGTGCCAGATGCGGAGGAAACCAGAAGTCTGTCAGGGAAGGCTGGCGCTGAACAAACAGACTGGCAGCTGTGGGATTATAGGCGGCCATCAGGGCCATGATGGGCACAGTGCCAGGAGAGAGCATTGCCTGGCTGAATTCCATCCGGGAGGCTAGTGAAGGCCTCTGGGATGTGGCCGTAGCTTGGGACTTGAGGATGGGCTTGAGCTAAGTTGCTGAGGCTTGGGGTGATGTCTGGGCAGGGGCTGAGTGAGCTGGAGGGATCCAAGGTGGGCAGGGGCGCTCCCTCCCCACCTGGGGCCTTCAGTGATGGCCAGTTGACCTCACCGCGGTCGTCCCCCTCTCATGGGGCTCCGTACCATCAAGGGTGGGCCTAAGGGGGGCTGGGGCCACACAAATGGTCCCCTTGTCCCTTAGCCTGGCTGACCTGGAAGCCTTCATGAAAGTCGCCAGAATGGGCTTGACCAAGCCCCTCAAGGAGGGGGACTATGATGGGCTTGTGGAGGTGATGGGGCACCTGATGAAAGTCAAGGAGAGGCAAGCAGCCACCGACAACATGTTTGAGCCCCTGAAGCAAACCATCGAGCTGCTCAAGACCTACGGGGAGGAGATGCCAGAGGAGATCCACTTGAAGCTGCAGGTACGTGGTGGGTGGGTGTGGCTGCGTCCAGGTGAGCAGGGAGAGCCATCCCGGCCGCGACCATGGACCAGCCCATCAAACGCAACCATGGGGGATGCTGTGGGCTAGATCCTCTCTGGACATCAGATCCCCATGGAACAGGGAGGTGCAGGGAGGAGGTTTCTGGGGGACAGGAGACCCTGGGGACTGCCTCCACGGTGAGGCCAGTGCTCCCTCCGTTCCATTGGTGTTTTGTTGGATTAAAAATGTCTTCATTGTAATCCCAGCACTTTGGGAGGCCAAGGTGGGCAGATTGCCTGAGCTCGAGTTTGAGACCAGCCTGAGCAACGTGGGAGAAAGCCCATCTCTACAAAAATATAGAAAATTAGCCAGCTGTGGCTGGCTAGTGTAGTCTCAGCTACTCAGGAGGCTGAGGCAGGAGAATTGCTTGAACCAGGGAGGCAGATGTTGCAGTGAGCTGAGATCGCACCACTGCACTCCAGCCTGGGCGACAGAGATTCTGTCTTAAAAAAAAAAAAAAATACAAAATGCCTTTATGTCCCATGTCTCCTCCTGAGTGTCTGGTGGGAGTGCTGGTGGAGGTGGGTGCCAGGATGGTGGAGAGAGAACAAGGTCAGGGGGACCCTGGGGAGGGATTAGGCAGCTGAAGGGGGCGGGGCTGGCAGCTGCGTTTGCACAGCACTTGATAGCGAATTCAAAGAACCTCAGCTGTCAGCGTGGAGGGGTGTGTGCAGGCTGGGCGAGGGTGGGAGGATGGAGAGGGTGTGTCCTAGAGCTGCCTCCCAGCCACGTCTAGGTGTGGCCACCGAGGAGACCCCGCTCCCTCATCTCTTGAGTCTGGCCTGGAGTTTCCAACTCCTCCCAGCCCGTCCACCCCTCCTCCCGCCCTCTCCCCTTCTCTGTGTCCAGCCACAGACAGGGCCCACCCTCCTGTCTTATGCACCGACTCCAGACAGTGCCCAAGACCCCACAGCCCTGGGGGTGACAAGAGGGAGGGGCCCCGGCCTGGGCAGCACAGGAAAACCCTGTCTCTACAAAAAATTTAAAAAATTAGCCAGGCATGGTGGCGCACACCTGTAGTCCCAGCTGCTCAGGAGGTGGGAGGATCAGTTGAGCCCAGGAAGTCAAGGCTGCAGTGATGTATGATTGTACCACTGGACTCTAGCCTGGGTGACAGAGCCAAGACCCTGTGTCAAAAGAAAGAAAATAAAAGGACTGAGCAGGTTCTCAGCCGTCCCACCCTGAGGTGCTCCAAGCCACACACGAGGCAACTGGGGTAGTAAAAATGCAGACAGAAACCATACAGCCAGCAACCATAGAAGAACTAGAGAAGTCTCCACTGCAGGCAAAAAGTTCATGGGCTGGGATTTTTTTTTTCTTTAAAATATTTTATGGCCCGGTGTGGTGGCTCATGCCTGTAATTTCAGCACTTTGGGAGGCCGAGGCGGGCAGATTACTTGAGCCAAGGAGTTCAAGACCAGTCTGGGCAACATGGCAAAATCCCATCTCTACTAAAAATTTAAAAATTAGCCAGGCGTGGTGGCAGGCGCCTGTAATCCTAGCTGCTCGGGAGGTTGAGGCATGAGAATCACTTGAACCCAGAAGGCAGCGGTTGTGGTGAGCCAAGATCGCACCACTGCACTCCAGCCTCAGCAGTAGAGTGAGACTCTGTCTCAAAAATGAATAAATAATAATTAAATATTTACAACTATAGTATTTACCCAAGTGTGGGGAACTTGGGAAATACCAAAATTCATCTGATTGTTGCAGCCATTCTGGAAATGACAACATTATAGAGCTGGAGAAGAGCTTAGCGGTCCCCAGGGGCAGGATTGTGGTGGAGGGATAGAAAGGGAATTCCTCTGTTGTAATGGACAATCCATATCTTGATTGTGGCGGTGTTTGCACAAATCCATACGTGGGATAAAATTGCATGGGAGACCACACCCACACCCACACCCACAAATGGATTCAGGTTTAAAAACATGATGAAAGGTGAGTACATTCTCTGGTCTAGTTAACAGAGACACCAATGTCAATGTCCTAGTTCGCCATTAAGGAGGCTGGTTTTTGTTTTTGTTTTTTTGAGACAGGGTCCCACTCTGTCACCCAGGCTGGAGTGCAGTGGTACAATCTTGCTCACAGTAGCCTCTGCCTTCCTAGTCCAAGTGATCATCCCAGCTCAGCCTCCTGAGTAGCTGGGACTACAGGCCCATATCATCACGCCCAGCTAAAAAGAATTTGTATTTTTTGTAGAGATGGGGTCTCACTTTGTTGCCCAGGCTGGTCTCGAACTCCTGGGCTCAAGTGATCCTTCCATCTCAGCCTCCCAAAGTGCTGAGATTACAGGTGTGAGCCACCGCGCCGGCCCCTGCACTGTTTTTGCAGCTTCTTACCAGTCTCTAATTATTTCACAATAGAAGGTTTAAGAAAAGAAATGAGAAAGGAGCCCTCCTCTGCCTTTGCTTCCCGCAGGAGCTGCCGGAGCACTGGGCAAATACCAAGAAACTGGCCATTCAGGTGAAGCTGACCGTGGCACCACTCCAGGCCAACGAGGTCAGCATCCTGCGGCGGAAATGCCAGCAATTCGAGGTATTATACCTGGGGCAGGGTGGCGGGATTTCCGGGGAGCAGCGTGGGGCTCACCCAGGGCCCTGCGGCATACAGGGTGGGGCCACCCTTGGGGCAGGTGGCCGCCCCGTGACTCTCTGTACTTTGCACTCTTCTCTCGCAGCTCAAGCAACATGAGTTCAGGGAGAGGTTCAGGCGCGAGGCCCCGTTCTCCTTCAGCGACCCCAACCCCTACAAGTCCCTGAATAAGGTATTTTTGCTCAAGGGTGAGATCAGGGGGTAAGTCTGGGAACCCCACTGCTTTCTTTTCTCAAGTAGTTATCCTTTCAAGTCCAGAAACGTGGTCTCCGCCGGACTGACCTTGGGGCCGTGCACGAGTGCTCTTATGTGTATGCATGCACATACGTGTGCGAGCACATGCATGGGTGTGTACGTGAACATGCAAACCGAGCAGCCCCCCAGACCACATGGTGTCCCCTCTGTGTCTCGCAGCTCAGAGCATGGCTCCAGGCCCACGGCTCAGGCCCCTTAACACCCTGTGTGACCCATAGTCCCTTAGCCTGACTCCGCCCCCTAATCTCCACTCTGTTCACATTCAGCAGCTTCCTGTCCCCTGGGCTTAATACTCACCTGCCATCTCTCCCTGCCTCCTGCCTCTCCTGACCCACCACATCGGGCAGCAGCCAGGCTTCACTCGTGTTCCCACTCTGTTCCCACTGTCCAAGTTCATGGTCACGTCCAGTGCACAAATTCACACAGCCCTGGACCTGGCAGCCCACTCAAGCTCAGGCCCAAAAGGCCCTTGTGGGCAGGAGCATGTGGGGTGCTCAGGGCCCAGGGGGGCCTCTTGGGGCCCAGTGGGGCCCTTGTCAGTTCCTCTTTGCTCCCAGTACGGTGCCCAGGTACTGCTGGGTCGGCCCCACCTGCACCTCCGCCTCACAGGCTCTAGCAAATGTGAACCCCAGGGTCCTCAGGGTTGCCTCACTCTTCCCCTCCCTGAGCTTCGGCTCTTTGGCCTCCAGCTCCAATCCGACCTTTCCTCATGGCCGTTTCCTCATGTCGCATTCCTCAAGCCACGATGGAGATGCAGCCATTCTCTCCCTAGGGCCCCGGGCTGGATTTTCTGGAAAGATTTGGGGTGAGGGGTGCCCCATGCCCATCCAAGGGGAGCTGTGGAGCTCCAGCTGGTGACCAGAGCAGGCAGTCCCTGCGTGTCCATGTGTGTGCACACGCTCCGAGCCCACCTTTGCCACAGCCTGCCTGTTACGTGTCCACGCAAACACACCCACTATCACCAGGTGCTACGACGGCCAACTCTTAGTCATGGGATTTGAGAGGACACTACGGATTTTTCCTCTTTGCTTATCTGAATTATCTCATTTTCAAAGCATTACTTAAGTCATTTTTAATAAGATAAAAATATAATATGAAAGTTGAAGAAATGCTGGGAAATCAGAAACTCTCAGGAGGAAATGAGGCATTTACCATGCCCATTGGGAGTCAGTCCCCACGCTGGTGTGGGTAGAGGTCACCCGCCCTCCCCTGCAGGCAGGACCCAGGAGGCCTTGGGGGATGGAGGGCTCTGTCCTCCCTCCAGGTGGGACACCGTTGTATGGACACCTCCTCCCAGAAGGTTTATCAGGGAGGGCACACTGGAGAGACGGGCAGAACGTCGGGGAGTGGGGTGGGGCACCGCTGAGGGTAGGTAGCCCTACTGACGGCCCCCTCGCCGCCCCTAGCAACAAAAGAGCATCTCCGCCATGGAAGGCATCATGGAGGCGCTGTCCAAGTCCGGGGGCCTGTTCGAGGTCCCCGTCCCAGACTACAAGCAGCTCAAGGCCTGCCACCGGGAGGTCCGCCTACTGAAGGAGCTCTGGGACATGGTTGTTGTGGTGAGTGCAGGGCACGCCGCGTGGGTGGGGCCCGGGATTCTGCAGGGAGCTGCCCCCGGCAACAAGAGGGCAGGCTCTGGGCACCCTTTGGTTGTAAGAATGTGACAAGAAGGTTTCTGGTGTTGGGTGGAGGCATCCGAAGGGCCCTGAGATCGCGAGGTGGGGTCCCTCCGCTAAAGCAGGATATGTTCACCTCTCTCTGTATGTGGGTGGGGGCTCGCCTTTGACTGCCCCCCTTTCTTTTTTCCCCTCCCTTCGTCTTTTTCCTCCTCCTCTCATTCTCTCTCACATCTCACCTTTTTTAAAGAAATTTTTTTAAGTAAGGAATACCACTTAGTCTGTTCAAGGTGCTCTAACAAAATCCCATAAACTCAGTGGCTCATAAACAACATTTTATTCCTCACCGTTCTGGAGGCTGGGAAGTCCACAGTCAAGGCAGATGTAATGTCTGGTGAGGACGCACTTTGTGGCTCATAGACAGTCCCCTCTCACTGCATCCTCATGTGGTGGAAGTGGAGCAGGCCGGGGCTGAGAAATCGCTCCAGGGTCCCTTTTATAAGAGCATGAATCAGGCCCGGTGTGGTGGCTCATGCCTGTAATCTCAGCACTTTGGGAGGCCGAGGCAGGTGGATCACCTGAGGTCAGAAGTTTGAGAACAGCCTAGCCAACATGATGAAACCCCGTCTCTACGAAAAATACGAAAATTAACTGGGCGTGGTGGTGTGCACCTGTAATCCCAGCTACTCGGGAAGCTGAGGTAGAAGAATTGCTTGAACCTGGGAGGCAGAGGTTGCAGTGAGCCAAGATCGTGCCACTGTACTCCAGCCTGGGCGATAGAGTGAGACTCCATCTCAAAAAATAAACACATAAATAAGAGCACAAATCACATTCCTGAGGGCCACGCCCCGATGACCTCATCACCTCCCAAAGGCCCTGCCTCCTAATACGAGGTAAGGATTTCAACAGAGAAATTTTGGGGGGAATATTCAGACCATCAGAGGCTCAATCTATGAGAAAGATTTTGTGGTTTCATTTGTATTTCCTACTGACTAACGATGCCAGCATATTTTCTTTTTTAAAAAGTATTTTTATTTATTTTTGAGACAAGGTCCTGCTCTGTTGCCCAGGCTGGGGTGCAGTGGCACGATCTCAGCTGACTGCAACCTCTGCCTCCTGGGCTCGAGCAATCCTCCTGCCTCTCAGCCTCGCAAGTAACTGGGACTACAGGCTTGCGCCACTACGTCTAGCTAATTTTTACATTTCTATGTAGAGATGGAATCTTGCTGTGTTGCCCAGGCTGGTCTTGAACTTCTGGGCTCAAGCGATCCATCCGTCTCAGCCTTCTAAAGTGCTGGTATTACAGGCATCAGCCTCCAGTATCTTCTCATGGGCTTATTTGACATCTATATATCCTCCTTGGTGAACTGCATATTCATGTCTTTTATCCATTTTCTAGTTGACTTTTTTTTTCCAATTGACTTTTTTTAAGTTTTTTTAATCCAGTTATTCATATACAGTCCCTTGTAAAAATAAAATACAATAAAAACAAACTGAAAAGGAGAGGCAGGGTAAAATTGAAAAAGGAGGCCAGGCGGGGTGGCTCACGCCTGTAATCCCAGCACTTTGGGAGGCCAAGGCAGGTGGATCACCTGAAGCCAGGAGTTCAAGAGCAGCCTGGCCAACATGGTGAAACCCCGTCTCTACTAAAAATACAAAAATTAGTTGGGCATGGTGGCAGGTGCCTGTAATCTCAGCTACTCGGGAGGCGGAGGTTGCAGTGAGCCAAGATCTCGCCATCACACTCCAGCCTGGGGGACAGAGTGAGACTCCATCTCAAATAAATAGAAAAAGGAGGCTAGGTGTAGTGGCTCATGCCTATAATCCCAGCACTTTGGGAGGCCGAGGCAGGTGGATCACTTGAGTTCAGGAGTTCAAGACCAGACTAGGCAACATAGCAAGACCCCTGTTTCTACTAAAAATACAAAAAATTAGCTGGGCGTGGTGGTGTGCACTTGTGATCCCAGCTACTCAGGAGGCTGAGGTGAGAGGATCACTTGAGCCCAGGAGGTGGAGGCTACAGTGAGCTATGATGGAGCCACTGCACTCCAGCCTGGGCTATAAGAGTGAAACCACATCTCAAAAAAAAAAAAGAAAGAAAAAGGAAAGAAAGGAAGAATTTAATGCTTTTCCTCAGTGTCTTCCTTGGTCTCCTCTTTACCAAAAGAGCTTCTAGCTTTTCCACCACTTTTTCGGCATTATTGTTTTTGCCTGGTCCTTTCTTTTGTCTCTCTTTGATGTCTTTTTTGCATTCTCTGAACTTTGGAATTTCCGTGCATGCTCAGCATTCAGGAAGCAGCCGGCCAGCAGCTCTGGCCTGGGCACTCATGGGTGAAGTCGGCGTGGGTGTTGCAGACCCAGGCCCAGTGGCTGCCTGCGTTGGGCTTCAGCTCCAACATGGGTGTGACTTAGGGGCTGGCAGATCTTCAGGGTCTTGTCCCTCCTCGTGAGGCCCCTTTCTCCTTGTGCTTCAGGAGCTTGATGTTGCCAGTGCCTCCACCCTTCCATTCCAGAAGATTGTTCCCTGAAACAAATCAGAATAGTTGCACTCACATATTAAAAAGTCCCTCTTCCTCTTCCTCTAGCATTTTAATTTCTTGCTCAGGAGTAGAAACTATTGGCTCATACTGAGGGTCCTGGTTGGACTTGTCTGCATTCTCAGTGGAGGTACTGTGGTTCTCGTGAGCGTCCTCGGTAGCCGCCATGGTGGCCGTGGCTCGGCTCAGCTGGGCTGGGTTCTCCACAGCCACTGGGAGCTCCTTCCCTCTGCAGCCAGCACCTTCCTCCTGCCCGGCAACCAAAACTAAGTTTTTTACTGTTAAATTTTGAGCGTTCTTTATATGTTCTAGAATCTAGCTATTTGTCAGGTTGTGATTGCGAGTAATTTCTCCTAGTCTGTAACTTGTCTTTTCATTCTCTTAACAGGGTATTTCGCTGAGCAAGAGTTTTAGTATAATTTTGGTTTTGAGGCGGAGTCTCACTCTGTCGCCCAGGCTGGAGTACAGTGGCACGATCTCAACTCACTGCAACCTCTGTCTCCTGGGTTCAAGGATTCTCTCGCCTCAGCCTCCCGAGCAGCTGGGATTACAGGCGCACGCCACCACACTTGGCTAATTTTTGTATTTTTAGGAGAGATGGGGTTTCATCATGTTGACCAGGCTGGTCTCTAATTCCTAAGCTCAGGCAATGCGCCCGCCTTGGCCTCCCAAAGTGCTAGGATTACAGGTGTGAGCCACCATGCCCGGCCAGTTTTAGTATAATCTTTAAAGTTTTTAATATGAAACTTGGGTATAATCCATTTTATCAATTTTTCCTTTCATAGATTATGAACTCTTTTCCTAGATCCTAAAGATTTTCTCCTATGCTTTTATAGTTTTCTGCTTTCTGTTTGTCTATGAGCCATTTTGAGTTAATTTTTGTATAAGGAGTGAGGTTTATTGGGTTAAGGTTCATTTATTATTTTTGTTTGTTTATGGATGTCTAATTGCTCCAGCATGTTTGTAGACAAGTCGGTCCCTCCATTAAAAAAAATTCTTTTTTTCTTTGAGATGGAGTGTCGCTCTTGTCACCCAGGCTGGAGTGCTGTGGTGCGATCTTGGCTCACTGCAACCTCCACCTCCCCGGTTCAAGCGATTCTCCTGCCTCAGCCTCCTGAGTAGCTGGGATTACAGACACACACCACTCCACCCAGCTAATTTTTGTATTTTCAGTAGAGATGGGGTTTCGCCATGTTGGCCAGGCTGGTCTTGAACTCATGACCTCAAGCGATCCACCTGCCTCAGCCTCCCAAAGTACTGGGATTACAGGCGTGAGCCACAGCGCCTGGCCCCGCTCCATTTAATTTATTTTGCATCTTTATCAAAAGTCAGTTGGGCACCTTAGACTGCTGCTGTTGATGGGTTCTGTGCTCTGTTCCATTGGTCTTCGTGTCTGTCCCTCCATGATACTGCACAGTCTTGATTCCTAGAGCAATCTAGTAAGGTTTGTTATCAGAGCGATTCCTCCCACTTTATCCTTTTTTGTCAAGATTGGTTTGCTCTTCTAGGACTTGTACTTTTCCATATAAATTTTAGAATAAGCTTGTTATGCTTATAAAAAAATAAAACCTTATTGGGGTTTTTATAGGAATTGCGTTAAAACTATTAATCAATTTGGAGAGAACTGACATGTTGACTCTGTCTCCCAGTCCATAACATAATGTATCTCTCCATTTATTTGGCTCTTCTTTGATTTTTTTGTGATTTCATTTTGTTATAGCATTTAAGATCCTATACATGTTTTGTTACATTTATACCTCATGTGTCTTTCCTTTTCTTTTTAGAAGTGATTGTATTAATAAGTGGCGTTGCATCTTAAATTTTGGTTTGCACATGTTTGTTTGGGTATATACAAATGTGAATAATTTTTATGTGTTTGTTTTTCTCTTGTGGCCTTGCTAAACTCACTTACTAGTTCTAGGATGGCTTTTTTAGACTCCTTAGGGATTTTGTACATAGACAATAATGTCATCTGCAAATAGGAACAGTTTTATTTTTCCTTTCCATTCTGTATGTCTTTTACTTCTCTTTCTTGCCTTATTGCAGTGGCCTGAACTTCCAGTACTCTGTTGAATAAGAGTGGTGAGTTCACACATCCTTGCATTGTTCCCAATCTAAGAGGAAAACCACTTTGCCATTATGTATATTAGCTGTAAGTTTTCAAATTGAGGAAATTCTATTCCTTTTCTTTTTATTCATCATGAACAGGTGTTAGATCTTGTCAAATTTTTTTGTGTTTACTGATATGATTGATTTTTGTTTAGTCTGCTAAGATAATTGATTACACTGACTTTTTTTTTCTTGAAACAGAGTTTCGTTCTATCGCCCAGGCCTGGAGTGCAGTGGTGTGATTTTGGCTCACTGCAACCTCTGCCTCCTGGGTTCAAGCGATTCTCCCACCTCAGCCTCCTGAGTAGCTGGGATTACAGGTGCCCACCACCACACCCAGCTAATTTTTTGTATTTTTAATAGAGACAGGGTTTCACTATGTTGGTCAGGCTGGTCTCAAACTCCTGACCGCAGGTGATCCACCCACCTCAGCCTCCCAAAGTGCTGGGATTACAGGCGTGAGCCACCATGCCCGGCCATTTCCATGAGATTTTTAGTTACAAATTCAATTTCTTTAATGGCCATACAGGCTTGTTCACGTTGGTCTGTTTCAAATTTGTGAAAATCTTGGTAGTGAATTTTGGTAGCTTGTGGTTTTTGAGGAATTGGTTTATTTCTTCTAAATTGTTTAATTCAAGCAAGCATAAAGTTGTTTATACTAGTTCCATACTATCCTCTAGATGGCTGCAAGCTCAGCAGTGGTATCTTCTATTTCATTCCTAGTGTTGGTGACTTATGTCTTCACTCTTCATCTTTGTCGGTCATAATAGAGGTTTATAAACTTTATTGATTTTTCAAAGAAAAAGATTTTTGTTTAACTTTTGTGCTGTTTTATTTTAAACTTCATCAGTTTCTGGTCTTTATTATTTTGTTCCTTCCTTTGCTTTGGGTTTATCTTGCTCATTTTCTAGTTTATTGAGGTAGAAACTTGGATTATTGATTTGAGACCTTTTCTCTTTTCTAAAGGAAACACTTCGTGCTATAAAATTTCCCTCTCTACATTAGCTGCGTCCCACGTATTTTGATATTACATTCAGTTCTGTGTGTTTTTTAATTTCTTTTGAGGCTTCCTCTTTGACCCATGGATGATTTAGAAGTATATTTTACATTTCTTTTTTTTTTTTTTTTTTTTTTTTTTGAGACGGAGTCTCGCTCTTTCACCCAGGCCAGACTGCAGTGGCGCTATCTTGGCTCACTGTAAGCTCCACCTCCTGGGTTCACGCCATTCTCCTGCCTCAGCCTCCCGAGTATCTGGGACTACAGGTGCCCGCCACCACGCCCGGCTAATTTTTTGTATTTTTAGTAGAGACGGGGTTTCACCATGTTAGCCAGAATGGTCTCGATCTCCTGACCTTGTGATCAGCCCACTTCGGCTTCCCAAAGTGCTGGGATTACAGGCGTGAGCCACCACGCCTGGCCTGTATTTTAAATTTCTAAGCGTTTAGAGATTTTCCTGTTTCCTTTCTATTATTGATTTCTAGTTTGATTCCATTATGGTCAAAGAACACACTGTATATAACTTTCATTATTTTAAATGTATTAAGCTTTATTTTATGGATCAGGATATAGTCTGTCTGGGGGAATGTCCCATGGGCACTTGAACAGAATGCGTATTCTGCTTCTGTTGGGCGGAGTGTTTTATACGTGTCAATTAGATCCTGTCAGTTGGTTGTGTTGTTCTGTCCTTTTATAGTCTTGCTAATTTTCTGTCTAGCAGTTCCATAAACTGCTGAGAGTGGGGTGCTGAAATCTCTCCAACTATAATTATAGATGTGTTTATTTCTCCTTTCAGCTCCATCAGTTTTTGCTTTGTGTATTTTGAGGCTCTGTTGCTTGGTGTGTACAGATTTGGGATTATTGTCTTCTTATAGGTTGACCCTTTTTCCCATTATGTAATGTTCCTTTTGTCTCTAGGAATTTTCTTTGCTCTAAGGTTGGCTTGATCTGATACTAGTATAGCTACTTCTGTTTTTTCTATTGTTTTTGACTAGTGTTCGTCCTGATCTTTCTCCATTTTTAAATTTTCAAGCTACCTATATTTTTGTGTTTGAACTGAGTTTCTTATATACAGCATATGATTGGGTCATGTTTTTTCGTCCACTCTGCCAGTCTCTGGCTTTTAATTGATCTGTTTAGACCATTTTGCATTTAAGGTAATTATTGTCATGTTACAGCCTATGTCTGCCATTTTGTTTTCTGTTTGTTCCCTTTGTTTCTTATTCCTCTGACTCTCTTTTATTTTAACATTTTTAGGATCCATCCTGATTTATTTAGAGTGATTCTGAACATAGCGCTTTATATAGTTTTCTTAGTGGCTGTTTGACAGTCACTGATATCAACATTTTGTCACTTTTGTGTGTAGAAACCTCACTTCCATTTAGATCTCTTTGCCCTCACCTCTGCCCCTCTTAACTATAACATAACTGTCTTATGTATTTCCTCAATATATGAGTAATCTTCCATGGTCTTGTTTGTTGTGATATGTCCAAGGTTTTTCAGTTGTAAGAGAGAGAAGCTGGAAGTAACAGGGCTGCTCCATCTTGGCAGAACTGAAAGAACTGACAACTTTTTAAAGAATGCCAGCAGGCTTTTTGTTTGGGTCAGATGCTAAGACAGCCCTGAGGAAATGGGAATTTGGGTAGGTTGTGGAGAGGGTGATATTCAGGGAGAAGAGGAGGCAATTCGGGAGCCTGGGAATTTGCCAAACGAGGGCAGTCTGGATCATGTCTCTGTAGGCTGCCATGTGGCCTCCTAGGCAGCAGAAAGATAAGGACAGGCCAAGTCTCAGTGTGTGAAGGGAGGCTGGACTCCAAGCACAGGGCCTCTTTTTCCCAAGTATTTCTTCTTCTGTGTGTGTGCATATGTTGGTTTCTGCCTTTCTGTCTCCTCGTCACTCATCTGTTTTCAAAAATAGTTGAACTCTTTCCTCTTTTACTTTTTTGAATGAACTTTTTTCAAATCCGGCCTGGTGCGGTGGCTCACGCCTGTAATCCCAGCACTTTGGGAGGCCAAGGTGGGCGGATCACTTGAGGCCGGGAGTTTGAGACCGGTCTGGCCAACATGGCAAAACCCCATCTCTACTAAAAATATAAAAATTAGCTGGGTGAGGTTGACATGTGCCTGTAGTCCCAGCTACTGGGGAGGCTGAGGCAGGAGGATCACTTGAACCCAGGAGGTGGAGGTTGCAGTGAGCTGAGATCACGTCACTGTACTCCAGCCTGGGCGACAGAGTGAGTGAGACTCTGTCTCAAAAACAAAAGAATCATTTGTCAAATCTTCCTCCCCTCCAAAAGGAAGCTATTATGACTTTAAATGGAATTGAATTAACTCATTTGAGGAAAATTAATCTCTTGGCAGTATTCCATGTTCCCATACAAGAGCGTGCTCTGTCTCTTCTTTTATTTAATTTTTAAAATACATTATAGTAAATGTCTTCATGCTGACCATACCAAGTCTACATATTTCTTACACAGGGGGAGAAACATGTTTGGAGACACAGGCTTTATTACAGCCAGGCCTTAACAGAAGGTACAAATTGAAGGCCTCTTGATACTTTTTCAACAATTAACTGATTTTGAGTCTGTCTCTCTCTCTTTTTTTTTTTTTTTTTTTTTCTGAGATGGAGTCTTGCTCTGTGGCCCAGGCTGGAGTGCAGTGATGTGATGTCCACTCGCTGCAACCTCTGCCTCCCAGGTTCAAGCGATTCTCCTGCCTCAGCCTCCCCAGTAGCTGGGATTACAGGCACCTGCCATCACGCCCGGCTAATTTTTGTATTTTTTTTAGTAGAGATGGGGTTTCACCATGTTGGTCAGGCTGGTATCGAACTCCTGACCTCAGGTGATCCACCCGCCTCGGCCTCCCAAAGTGCTGGGATTGCAGGCGTGAGCCGCCGCACCCGGCCTCAAGTTTCTTTTACATGAGTGGCATTACAGAACATAGCAGGCATCTGAGAGAATGGGATATACGCTTTCCCATGACAAAAAATTGTTTGTGTAGACAGGAGAATAAAGTCCACATTTCCCAGGAGATGACAGCATTTGCAGTCAGGATAATTCAAGAAAAACTCTCCAAAACACACTAGCCAAGACATTTTATGATAATAGGATGCAGGGTAATCTCGAACCTGCCAGAAAAAGCCATCAACTCCTGTGTAGATTAAGGTTTCAAATCATCGTATCTTCAAGGCAAACATCTTGTGAACACTCCCAGTTTTTACGTTCTCAAGCTCAGATGTTTCTCAAGTCCAGATCTTCTCACTGTAAGTGCCCATGTCAACAATCTCTCATTCCCTCAATGACTAGCAGTTTCCAGCTTCACAGCCATTTTCATGTTTATACTGTTGGTGGGGTTATTCCTGGGTAGTTTGTATATTTTGTTTCATATTGTTGTGAGTGAAGTTTCTTCTGTTGTCTTTTTACCAGTCAGTGGAAGCTGCGTTACTGTGCGGTAACAACCCCACACATCTCTGTGTACTGAACAAAAGTGTATTTCTCATTCATGCAAAGTGCATGCTGTAGTTCCAAGCAGTTGTTTCCTGGGAAGCTACCTGCCAAGGACTGGTTCCAC
Source organism: Homo sapiens (assembly GCF_000001405.40). NCBI lineage: Eukaryota > Metazoa > Chordata > Mammalia > Primates > Hominidae > Homo > Homo sapiens. The sequence goes on along the minus strand of NC_000017.11, from coordinate 78,515,739 downwards.
AGTGCAGGCTGTATTTCGGCGATGCCCCTTTGTGATTGCCAAGGCAGGCAAGGGGAATGCCAAGCTGGGTATTGTCAGGCATCACTCACCTTTCCTTGGCCAAGACAAGCTACATGGACATACTGAGAAGTGAGAGAAAACTGGGTCCTGGCCAGCAACAGCAGGGCCCTAACACAGCCTTTTGCTAAAATGCCTTTTAACTGCTAACTTTTATTTTTATTTATTTTTTTTGAGATGGAGTCTCACTCTGTCACCCAGGCCGAAGTGCAGTGGCATGATCTCGGCTCACTGCAGCCCTTGTCTCCCAGGATCAAGTGATTCTCCTGTCTCAGCCTCCCAAGTAGCTGGGATTACAGGTGTGCACCACCACACCCAGCTAATTTTTGTATTTTTAGTACAGACGGGGTTTCACCATGTTGGTCAGGCTGGTCTCGAACTCCTGACCTCAGGTAATCTGCTCACCTCGGCCTCCCAAAGTAGTGGGGTTATAGACGTGGGCCACCGTGCCCGGCCAACTGTTAACTTTTAAATCTTACCTTTTGTGACGCCACGGTTGTTTTTTCTTGTATCTAATCACTTTACTGATCTCGGGTATTAGTTCTAAATATTCCTCACTGGGCTTTGCTCCCTGCGAGTAAGTGCAGAAAGGTAAGAGGGTTTTCTTCCTGAATTCTCCTTGATGAGAGTGGAAGGAGAAACGGGATGTTTTCGTTTCAGGTAAATACCAGCATCGAGGACTGGAAGACCACCAAGTGGAAAGATATCAACGTTGAGCAGATGGACATAGATTGTAAGAAGTTTGCCAAGGACATGAGGTCTTTGGACAAGGAGATGAAAACCTGGGATGCCTTCGTGGGGCTCGACAACACCGTGAAAAACGTGATCACGTCCCTGCGTGCCGTGAGCGAGCTGCAGAACCCTGCCATTCGGGAACGCCACTGGCAGCAGCTCATGCAGGCCACCCAGGTACCATGCACCATGGTGGGCGGAGGGGACCGCCCCTGGCGGCCAGCTCTGCTGCAGGATGGGCTGGCCTGAGCTGCCTAGCCAAGGTGTTCAGGGCCCGATGCTGGTAAAGCCAATGTGGGCAGGGCTGGCTTCGTGCACAAGTGACCTGCGCAGTCACACTGGGCTCCACGCTGGTTGGGGGTGGTGGGGCAGGCTCCGTTTACCATCTCAACTTCACCATCTCAAAATTCTTAGTAATTTTCTTTTTCTTTTTTTTTTTTTTTTTTTGAGACGGAGTCTAGTTCTGTCACCAGGTTGGAGTGCAGTGGCGCGATCTTGGCTCACTGCAACCTCCGCCTCCCAGGTTCAAGCAGTTCTTCTGCCTTAGCCTCCCAAGTAGCTGGGACCACAGGCACCCACCACCACACCCAGCTAATTTTTGTATTTTTAGTACAGACGGGGTTTCACCATATTGGCCAGGCTGGTCTCGAACTCCTGACCTCATGATCCGCCTGCCTCAGCCTCCCAAAGTGCTGGCATTACAGGCATGAGCCACTGCGCCAGCCAATTCTTAGTAATTTTTGAACAGGAGTTCCCGCATTTCCATTTTGCACTGGGCTCTGCAAATTAGGTAGGCCGTTCTGGTTGTAGGTTGCATGTTCATAAGGCTCAGGAAGTTTGGGGCAAATGAACAGCTTCGCTAGGGTCCTCATGACCCCAGGAACTCAGAGTCTTAGCACCTGAATCTTTCCAGGAATATCCCACAGTACTGGCAGGCACTGGCCTTGACACCTCCAGAAGGCTAACAGGAACGCTCCCCTCTCTCAGCCAACACTGAACAAAATGACTTTAAGCAGCTACTCTGCAGAGGCCCCACCTAGCTGCAAAGGATACAGAGAGACAGGAGACATGGCCCCTGCTCTCAAGGAAGCAGAGAAATAATAGTACTGACAATTACAGCAGAGGAAAAAAATTATTTTTCCATCTATCCATCTTAGGTTCCCTGGCTGGGGCTCCTGTAAATTAGACTGATGAGAGACAGATTAAATAGAGGAAAGCCGGGTGCGGTGGCTCATGCCTGTAATCCCAGCACCTTGGGAGGCCGAGGTGGGTGGATCACTTGAGGCCAGGAGTTTGAGACCAGCCTGGCCAACATGGTGAAACCCCATCCCTGCTAAAAATACAAAAATCAGCCGAGCGTGGTAGCGCACACCTGTAGTCCCAGCTACTTGCGTGGCTGAGGCAGGAGAATCGCTTGAACCTGGGAGGTGGAGGTTGCAGTGAGCCGAGATCATGCCACTGTACTCTAGCCTGGGTGACAGAGTGAAACTGTGTCTCTAACAAAATAGGAAAAGACCAGGAAAGAGAAGGGGATTCTCTACAGAATGCAGATTTCCCCTACAAGAGACAGCTTTGCAGGACTATTTCAAACTATGTCAAAGAAACATATTTTGGGGTAAAATACTGCGATTTCTTTCAGGGCCTGCTATCTGTCATGTGTTGTATCATGTTGCTACAAACATTCTGTTTGGTCAGTCTTAGGTTCTCTGTGTTGATGTTAATGCTGGTCAGCTGTGCCTGAATCCCAAAGGGAGGGGGGTATAATGAGGCCTGTCCCCCAGCCTCCTTCCCGTCATGGCCTGAACTCATTTTTCCGGTTTACTTTGGAATGCCCCTAGCAGAGGGGGGGTTCATTCAATTTGTTCGGGGGCTTAGGATTTTATTTTTGCTTTACAGCAGGATGAGGTGAGCTTCAGTAAGGTGCATTGTGTAGATTCCTCCCCTTCCTCTGGGCTGATAAGGGGCTGAAGCTGTCTCCATTAATTCTTTTTTTTTTTTTTTTTTTTTTTTGAGTTAGAGTCTCTCTCTGTTGCCCAGGCTGGAGTTCAGTGACACAATCTCAGCTCACTGCAACCTCCACCTCCCAGGTTCAAGTGATTCTCCTGATTCAGCCTCCTGAGTAGCTGGGATTATAGGCACATGCCATCACGCCTGGCTGATTTGTTTGTATTTTTAGTAGAGACAGGGTTTCACCTTGGCCAAGCTGGTCTCAAACTCCTGACCTCAGGTGATCCACCAGCCTTGGCCTCCCAAAGTGCTGGGATTACAGGTGTGAGCCACCGCACCTGGCCTCCATTGATTAACTTCTATCATTCTTGGTAGAGGGGGCGGTGGGACTCCTTGGCAAATTTATTTCCTGCTTGTAGGCAAATAGGGGGAGGACAGAGAGCTTCTCTTGTATCTGCTTCTTCTCAAGTGCCTTCAGCTCAAAATAAACCTTAAGCCAAAGTGGCGTATTTTGGTGGCAAATTCTGCCAACCTCCATAATCAGGTTTGAATGCCAAGTGCAGGAGATATTTAGTGATGATCCTGAGACCTAGAGGAGGGTGCCACCTTCAAGCGGTGGGAAGGGAAGGAAAAGCTCTGAGTGAGTGTGAAATTTGGCTTGGGCCTTGGGAGTGAGAACTGTGAAGACAAGCAGAAAGGCTGGGACAGGTCTTGGCATGAAAGAATGCAAGAACAACGGTGAGAACATACCCCAAGGACCAAGGGCAGCATGGCCCAAAGCCTGCACAGCGGCAATGCTTAGCCCACGGCTTCCCAAGAGATCCGTACCTATGCAGGAAGTAGGAGAATGGGGACAAATGGTTCCCTCCATCTCTCATTAAGTCCCAGCCAGCCCAGGAGGGTGCCCACCTAGGAGGAGTGTTAGAGGCTCCTGCTCCGCCCCCACCACACTGTCCAGGGCCCTTCTGCTCCCTAGGCCCAAGGAAGGAAAAGCAAACCCAGCTATGCAGGCCACCCTGAGGGCACAGGGGCACCCACTTGCTCCCCAGGGATCTGGGTGTCTGGGAGCCAGCCCCTGGGGGTGCCTTTCGAGTGTTGAGACAAAAAATTTCCCGGATGCCTGGTAACAGGTTCATGTGCCCCTTCCGGGTGCCCTGGGAGAGACGCTTGGGCGGTGATAAACAACCAGCTAAATATCTCCATGAAAGGAGCTGGGCACAGCTGAGGTCTTGGTGAGCCTCGGGCACATATGTCCCCAAATGTGATTAGAGATGCAAGGTTCCATCTGTTGGTTAAAATTCCACAGTGGGCTCAGAATCAATGCTCAGAAACATCTGACTATGTGACACCAAAAAGAATATTAGACAAGGGACGTGGAAGCGATTTGGGAAGTGGGTGGCACTAGGCAAGTACCTGGTATGTTCGTACTAGACTAACGGTGATCTGGTACTAGAGTAACAGTACCTGTGATTCGGCCACTGCCACAGAGCGCTTTGCCTATTGTGAATGCGGCAGCTGCCAAAGGTGGTGGATTCACTTCCTGGGGCTGCCATGACAAAGGACCACAAACCAGGAGGCTTAAAACAGCAGATCTAGCCGGGGGTGCGGTGGCTCATGCCTGTAATCCCAGCACTTTGGGAGGCTGAGGCAGGCGGATCATCTGAGTTCAGGAGTTTGAGACCAGCCTGTCTGACTTGGTGAAACCCCGTCTCTACTAAAAATACAAAAATTAGCTGCACGTGGTGGTACGTGCCTGTAGTCCCAGCTACTTGGGAGGCTGAGGCAGGAGAATCGCTTGAACCCGGGAGGTGGAGGTTCCAGTGAGCCAAGATGCACTCCAGCCCAGGTGACAAAGCGAGACTCTGTCTCAAAAGAAAGAAAGAAAACAGACCTGTGTTTTCTCACAGTGCTGGAGGCCAGGACTCTGAAATCAGGGTGTCAGCAGGCTGCACTCCTTCTAGAGGCTCCGGGGGAGGGTCCTTCCTGCCTCCTCCAGCTTCTGGGGGCTCCAGGCATTCCTTGGCCTGTGGCCGCATCATGCCTGTCTCTGCCTTGGTCTCCACAAGGCCCTCTTTCCTGTGTGCCTCAGATGTCCCTCTCCTTCCTGTCACGAGGACACTTGGCCCTGGATTTATGTCTCACCGGAAAATCCAGGATGAACTCACCTCAAGATCCTTAGTATCTGCAAAGACCCTATTTCCAAATAAGGTGACACGTGAAGGTTCTGGGCGGATGTGAATTTTGCGGGGGGGCCGCAATTCCGCCCAGTGCAGGTGCGTTCTGCTCTTATGCGGTTTTACAGGGAAGGAAGGTGAGGCTTGGAGAAGTCACTTCCTCAAGTCTCAGAGCTGAAAATGGCAGAGCAGAGCTCGCCTCCCTCCCTCCAGCAGCCCGGGATCGTGCCCCGGCAATGGCTCTCCATGAAGGATCATGACGTCTGCCCACTGCAGAGTGCACATGACCTGAAATGAATCCTGCCTGGATTTTTTTCCCTTAGGTGAAATTTAAAATGTCAGAAGAGACGACCCTGGCAGATTTACTGCAGCTGAACCTCCACAGTTACGAGGATGAGGTCCGCAACATCGTGGACAAGGCCGTGAAGGAGTCGGGCATGGAAAAGGTAGGCCGTGCTGGCGGTGCTGTCTGTGCAACGTGGGATCAGCCTGAAACTGCCCCCTCCAACCACTGAGAGCGCCCAGAGGGGTCCTGCAGCCCCAAGGCTCTCACGGGAAGTCTGGCGGGCCTTTCTTACCCAACCTGTGACAAATCTTAAAAAATAATTCTGGAATCTATTTGTTTGTTTATTATTTTTTATTGTTTTTGAGACAGAGTCTCTCTCTGTTGCCCAGGCTGGAGTGCAGTGGCACGATCTTGGCTCACTGCAACCTCCACCTCCTGGGTTCAAGAGATTCTCCTGCCTCAGCCTCCCAAGTAGCTGGGATTACAGGTGTGCACCACCACGCCCAGCTAATTTTCATACTTTTAGTAGAGGCGGGGTTTCACCATGTTGGCCAGTCTGGTCTCGAGCTCCTGACTTCAACTGACCCGCTCGCCTCAGCCTCCCAAAGGGCTAGGATTACAGGCGTGAGCCACTGCGCCAGCCTACTTCTGGAATTTTTCTTAGAAAACCCAATTTGCGGCTATAGCTCTGCCCGCCCCGTACATGCAATAGTTTGGAACATTTTGTAAATAACCAGAACTCGCATTTCCTTTGCCTCAAGCGTCTTTGTCTGTGGTCCCGTCTGACTCCTCCATGGACGTCAGTTGTTTCTTCTGACTCCGCAGCTGACGGGAGGGTTGGGGATGGGTGGGGGATGGCCCCCAGCTGGTACCTGAACTTGTTAATGCGCCACTGGCTACCGGCAGTTCCAGTATCCAGGAAAACTCCTTTTGCGGTTCAAATCTCTCTCCTCAGCCTGTTTTGTGAGTTTGAATTGTCACATTTTGACTTGCTTTAAAAACAAAAATAAAAACAACAACAAAAAAACTTTATTAGATATAATTCACATACCATACAGTTCGCCTGTTTAAAGTGTGCAGTGGCTTTTAGCATAGTTACAAGTGTGTAATCAGCACATATTCAACAGCAGAGGGTGGGGGCTCCTGCCTATAATCCCAGCACTTTGGGAGGCAGGAGGAGCGCTTGAGCCCAGGAGTTCAAGAGAAGGCCAGCCTGGGCAACATAGGCAGACCCCATCTCTACAAAAAAAATAAATAAATTTAAAAAAATTAGCGGGGGACCGGGCACGGTGGCTCACGCCTGTAATCCCAACGCTTTGGGGAGGCCAAGGTGGGTGGATCACAAGATCAGGAGATTGAGACCAGCCTGGCCAACATGGTGAAAACCCATCTTTGCTAAAAATACAAAAATTAGCCAGGCGTGGTGGCGCATGCCTGTAATCCCAGCGCTTTGGGAGGCTGAGGCAGGAGAATCGCTTGAACCTGGGAGGGAGAAGTTGCAGTGAGCTGAGATCGCGCCACTGCAGTCCAGCCTGGGTGACAAAGTGAGACTCCATCTCAAAAAAAAAAAAAAACAGCTGGGCACATGATGACACACACCTGTAGTCCCAGCTACTTGGGAGGCTGAAGTGGGAGGATGAATTGAGCTCAGGAGATGGAGGCTGCGGTGAGCTGTGATCATGCTGCTGCACTCCAGCCTGGGCTGGACCCTGTCCCTAAAAAAAATTATAATTTTTAAAAAAATAAAAATAAAAAATAGAATTAACAAATTTTAGAATATTTTCATCACCTCAAAAAGAAACCCATATCCTTTAGCCATCATCCCCTACCCCTTTCCTCTCACATGTCCCCATCTCCAGCTCTAGGCAACCACTAATCCACTTTCCCCCTCTATAGATCCCCCTCTTCCACACTTTCATAGGAATGGCATCATAGGTAGAGGAGGCAACATTTTCACTATGCTTTTAGGGTTTTTTCCAGCTGGGTCTGAGAATTCCATTGACGTAAGATAGATCAAGAGGAGAAAAGTATGCAAATTATTTAAATCCAAGTTTTCTGTGGTATGGGAGGAAAGGAAGACTCCAAAACACAGTTAGAGTTGAACACTTAAGTACTGAGTTGCAGAAAGCGTAAGTTGTAGAAAAGTAATCTGTGTAAGAGGCTGGAAGGTGAGAGCTGTTCTAAAAGGGTCTGAGCAGACAGGATTCTTTCCGCCTCCACTTCCCATCCTAGTGATGAGAATGATCGTTTCATTCTGGTATCAGAAGAGCATCATTCACCTGGGAATTGCATCTCCTGCTTCCCAGGAACAGCATGAGGCTCAGAGAGAGAGTCCTGCATCTGCTGCCCTTCAAGTGCCTCTGACTCAAAATTGTCAATTGCAGGATGGCATATTTTGGGGTGGCACGTTCTGATCTCCTTTGCGTGCACTATGTGGTCTGAGCGTGTGGCTTCTTTCACTCAGCCTAGGGTCTTCAGGTTTATCCGCGTTGTGGCAGGTGTCTGTACTTCATTCCTTTAGTGGCTTATGTTCCATTATATGGACAGAGATCGCATGCATCCATCATTGGGGGATGAAGGTTCGGGTTGGATCTGCCTTTGGCTCCTGTGAATACGTTGGTTTGAGCCTTTTTGCTTTCTGATCATGGAGCTTCAGTCTATGTCCTGGAAACTCTGGGTCCTGCCTGAGCTTTGCATGCCAAATGCTCAGTGACCTTATTTTTCTGTTCCCCCAAAAGGTGCTGAAAGCCCTGGACAGTACCTGGAGCATGATGGAATTCCAGCACGAGCCGCACCCGCGGACAGGCACCATGATGCTCAAGTCCAGCGAGGTGCTGGTGGAGACGCTGGAGGACAACCAGGTGCAGCTGCAGAACCTGATGATGTCCAAGTACCTGGCCCACTTCCTGAAGGAGGTGACAAGCTGGCAGCAGAAGCTGTCCACGGCGGACTCCGTCATCTCCATCTGGTTTGAGGTCCAGCGAACCTGGAGCCACCTGGAGAGCATCTTCATCGGCTCCGAAGACATCCGCACCCAGCTCCCGGGGGACTCCCAGCGCTTTGACGACATCAACCAGGAATTCAAGGTGAGCACAGCCCGGTGGTTCCCACGCACTTCAGAAATGACTGTGTGTGGCGATCCCTAATGCCTTGGCGATCCCCTTCTCTTCCCAGGCCTTGATGGAAGATGCAGTGAAAACACCCAACGTGGTGGAAGCCACCAGCAAACCCGGCCTCTACAATAAACTGGAGGCCCTGAAGAAGAGGTGCGGCTCACACCTATCCAGACCAGGGGAGTCAGTGGTGCAGATTCCCTAAGTCTTAAGTCTGACGGAACTTAAGTCTTGTGCAGCCTGCTGGCCAGGACAGGGCAAAACCATGGGTCCTGGGTTAATCAATTGCCTTTCCCTGGGGAGCACACACTCCCCGGCCTCATCCCACCACGTGATGCCTTGGCCTTGAAGGAAGCAATGACCCGGAGAATAAATGATGCTCCCTCTTGCCTAGGAGTGCCCACAAGGTCAGGGGATGGCAAAGAAACGAGAGCCTCCGGTAGGAGATTCTGAATTAAACCAGGCCTGTGAACAGCAGTCCAGGCATCTCCAGGATGATCAGTTTCCTTCGCCGACAGGGTGGGTGGCAGACATCCCTACAGAGTAGGGTCACCGGCCTCCTCTACTTCCTTCCTTCCTCCCAGCTTGGCCATCTGTGAAAAGGCTTTGGCAGAGTATTTAGAGACGAAAAGACTGGCTTTCCCCCGGTTCTATTTTGTCTCCTCGGCTGACCTCCTGGACATTCTCTCCAATGGCAATGACCCCGTGGAGGTAGGCGGGGCCCCTTGCATTCCGGTGTTTAAGCCAACATCATGCCAGACCCCAGGTGGGCACCTCTACCTCAACCGCCCTAGGGTGGGGTAAGTGTCCTTGGACGTGCCCCATCATCTCCAGGAGGCCCTCTGCACCAGAAGCTGCCCTGGGGTCCCCAGCCATGGCAGAAACGTGGCAGGACTCGCCTCACATCCTGCTCTGCACTTGGCCTGGCTTTTGAGAAGTTAATTTGCCTCTCTGTGCCTCATTTTCCCCTTCTAGAAAATGGGTCGTATGCCAGAGGCTTAGTAAGACACTGTTTCTGAAAGACACACCTCTCAGTGGGTCTTGCTCTGGTCAGCTGGTTAAATCTCAGGGTCCCAAGAGCAAGGAACAGGTGCCTCCTTGGGGCTATTCTAAAAGAGAAAAGAGGTCAGGCACAGTGGCTCACACCTGTAATCCCAGCTACTCAGGAGGCTGTGGCATGATAATTGCTTGAACCCGAGAGGCAGAGGGTTGCCGTGAGCCAAGATCGCACCACTGCACTCCAGCCTGGGCGACAGAGTGAGACTCTGTCTCAAAAAAAAAAAAAAAAAATTAACTAGGTGAAGGGAAAGCGCTTGCATTTTATTTTGACCGTAAGGTTAGAGGTTACACAAGAAGAAGGGATATGCAAGAATAGACTGAGTGTGTGGCTTGGGATCTGGGACAGAACCTTCTCAAAAAGAAGAAATCTTATTTATTAATTTTTTTTATTTTGAGATGGAGTTTCGCTCTTGTTGCCCAGGCTGGAGTGCAATGGCGCGATCTCGGCTCACCACAACCTCTGCCTCCTGGGTTCAGGTGATTCTCCTGCCTCAGCCTCCCAAGTAGCTGGGATTACAGGCATGCACCACCACGTCTGGCTAAGTTTGTATTTTTAGTAGAGATGGGGTTTCTCCACATTGGTCAGGCTGGTCTCGAACTCCTGACCTCGGGTGATCCACCTGCCTCGGCCTCCCAAAGTGCTGGGATTACAGGTGTGAGCCACCATGCCCCACCAAAAAGAAATCTTCCAGAATGGATGTTTGGCTTAGAAGGGCTGCGGTTCCTGGCCTGGTTTCTGTGTCCTGACTCAGAGCAGTCTTCGCTGGTTCCTTTTGTTGACTTAGTCATGTTTAGTCAACGTTGATCAAAGATGGGGAGTATATTCCAAAAAGAACGATGCCTAAAACCACCCACGGAAAGCCCAAGCCACGCACATGCCTTTCAAATCCCCCGTTGCATAATTCCCGCTTCTTGCCTCCTCCCAGGTGAGCCGCCACCTGTCCAAACTCTTCGATAGCCTGTGTAAACTGAAGTTCCGGCTCGATGCCAGTGACAAACCTCTCAAGGTGGGCCTGGGAATGTACAGCAAGGAGGACGAGTACATGGTTTTTGATCAGGAATGCGACCTCTCGGGGCAGGTGAGTGTGTGCGCACACCACACAGGGAACCCAGGACAAGGGTGCAGCACGCGTGTGGGCCACACGCCCTCAGATGGCGATGTCCGGAGAACCAGCACCCTGTGCAGCTGCCAGCCCGCCCCTGCTCCTCTCCTCTCCCTCTCTAGAAAACACTTAAGGGATGGGCCTCTTTATAGAATTTCCAGCCCAGCCTTACCCATATAGCACCAGTGTATCCTTAGGGAGAAAGGGGAGGGGAAAGGACGGGAGAAAAGCCCTGTTCGGGAGGCTGAGGCAGGAGAATCGCTTGAACCCGGGAGGCAGAGGTTGCCGTGAGCCAAGATCGCGCCACTGCACTCCAGCCTGGGTGACAGAGTGAGACTCCGTCTCAAAAAAAAAAAAAAAAAAAAAAAAAAAAAGCCCTGTTAATATCATTGAATCCTTTCCATGGCTTTTGCCAAAGGGACTGCTTTAAAAGGGGTTGCACATCTCTGAACTGCCAATTCCCATCACCTGTCTGAAATAATCGGCTGCACAGCCCACCACTCAGAGTGGTCTCCACAGCCTCTTCCTTCCCCAGCAAGCGCGTCCCCCGGCTCAGGGCGGGCTCCTTCTGCCGTCAGAAAACTTCCGGGCTGCCCCCTCCCCTGTCTCATTACCCAACTATTGATCAAGCAATAGAAACCATTTTAACATCAGCCTGAGGAAAATACAATGCAGAGGTAAATCAGTTGTAGGAAGAAGAAAAAAAAATCTCGAGAAAACCTGAGGTTCAAAGAGTTGAACACAGCACACACGTGGCCTGCTCTACGTGGATGGGGTGGGTGGGGTGGGTGGGGTGGTGACAGCATCTGTCTAGATTCGCTTCCTGGGCTTACCCCTTACAAACAGAACTGCAGACCACAGCGAGGCCTGCCTGCACTGTGTTTCCAGTTAAAAGGAAAAATCTGGCCGGGCGCGGTAGCTCATGCCAATAATCCCAGCACTTTGGGAGGTCGAGGTGGGCGGATCATCTGAGGTCGGGAGTTCAAGACCAGCCTGGCTAACACGGCGAAACTGGTCTCTACTAAAAATACAAAAATTAACCAGGTGTGGTGGCAGACACCTGTAGTCCCAGCTACTCGGGAGGTTGAGGCATGAGAGTCACTTGAACCTAGGAGACAGAGGTTGCAGTGAGCCGAGATCACGCCACTACACTCCAGTCTGGGTAATAGAGTGAGACTTCATCTCCAAAAAAAAAAATCTACCCTCATGTCCACTTGAGGGTTTTTTTCTCCCAGTGGCAGTTACTTTTGTGAGTATGGTTTTTTTTTTGTTCATTTGTTTTTTGTTTGTTTGTTTGTTTTTGAGATGGAGTCTCACTCTTGTCGCCCAGGCTGGAGTGCAATGGCACGATCTTGGCTCACTGCAACCTCCACTTCTCGGGTTCAAGTGATTCTCCTGTCTAAGCCTCCAGAGTACCTAGGATTACAGGTGCCTGCCACCGTGCCCGGCTAATTTTTGTATTTTTAGTAGAGACGGGTTTTCACCATGTTGGCCAGGCTGGTTTTGAACTCCTGACCTCAGGTGATCCACCCGCCTCAGCCTCCCAAAGTGCTGGGATTACAGACATGAGCCACTGCGCCTGGACCCCAGCCACATTTTTTAGGTGAGTCTTTGATTAGCCGGGTGTGGTGGTGCACACCTGTAGTCCCAGTTGCTTGAGAGGCTGAGGTGGAAGCATCGCTTGAGCCCACAGGTGGAGGCTGCAGTGAGCCAGGACTGCAGTTACTGCACAGCAGCCGGGGCAGCAGAGCGAGATCCTATCTCAATTTAAGAAGAAAATATGTGGCCGAGCGTGGTGGCTCATGCCTGTAATCCCAGCACTTTAGGAGGCCGAGGTGGGCGGATCATGAGGTCAGGAGATCGAGACCATCCTGGCTAACATGGTGAAACCCCACCTCTAGTAAAAATACAAAAAAAAAAAAAATGCCGGGAGTGGGGGCGGGCGCCTGTAGTCCCAGCTACTCGGGAGGCTGAGGCAGGAGAATGGCGTGAACCCGGGAGGTGGAGCTTGCAATGAGCCGAGATCATGCCACTGCACTCCAGCCTGGGTGACAGAGCAAGACTCCATCTTAAAAAAAAAAAAAAAAAAAAAAAAAAAAGGTGTGTCACTGTTACTGCTCTGTAAAATCCTTGACCTGTCTGCCCCTGGGATGAGGATGATGAGAAATGTTTTTCTTTACAACAAATACAAACAAAATTATTGGAACTAGAGGCAGGCACACATGGCTGTATTGGTCACCGTGGCTCCCGTCCCCAGGTGGAAGTGTGGCTGAATCGAGTGCTGGACCGAATGTGCTCTACCCTCCGGCACGAAATCCCAGAGGCCGTGGTGACCTACGAAGAGAAGCCGAGGGAGCAGTGGATCCTGGACTACCCAGCCCAGGTCTGAGGCGGGTGGGGGCTCGGCGGCGCCTCGTGGCTGAGATAAGGGGCGAGTTTCTTTGCGTTCATGGGCTCCGCTGTTAACTGTGGTCCCCTGGAAAACCATCTAAGCTTTCAGCAGGAATGTCTGCGTTAGCAGGCGCCAGCGATCGCTCACTGCGTGGGCAATGGGGGGTATGTACTTTCAGGTGGCCCTGACTTGCACCCAGATCTGGTGGACGACCGAGGTGGGCCTGGCATTTGCCAGGCTGGAGGAAGGCTATGAAAACGCTATCAGAGATTATAACAAAAAGCAGGTGTGTTACTAGTGTGTAGTTAGTTACGTTTTTAAAACTTGTTTAAAAAGCAGGTGCATGGGCCCGTGTATCCTTCTGAAACCTGCCGGGCGAGTACCTGGAGCGGCTTCTTCTCGGAGGCTGAGCCCCGCAAAACCGTCGTTTCCACAGGCCAAATAACAGCCACGCACCACAGCCCCAGGCACCTCTCCCCACGAGTAACAGACACCTTCAGAAATATGTACTTTGATTTCTCGCCTGAAAATTGGCAGATGCTACTGAGAGTCTTTAAAAAAAAAATGTCCTTGGTTAGAAATATGGAAACAAAAGATCATCTTGAAAAGAAGGAGAATTTACCTGTAATTCCACAACCCAAGCATGACACTGCAGGGCCCTTATGCAACCTGTTACTCTGTGTGTGTATAATTGATTTATATGTAAAAATATACAGACTCTGGATGGCGTTAAAGTCAGCTGTTTTTGCTTCTCATCCACCCTCTCTCGTGGCCTTGAATTTCCTTCTACTACGTCCATGCTAGCCACTGCCAGGTGTCCCATCAGGGCCGCACCCTGGTGAAACCAGTGCCTGGCTGGGGCCTACCGAGGGCGCTCTTGTTTTTCATTACTGTAAACAAAAGCATGGTGGTGTTCCCTATGCAGCTGTGGGCACCCAGCCACAAGACCCCCCAGTGCATGTGGGCACCCGTGGTGTCTCATCGAAGGCACTCTCCCCCGCAGATTAGCCAGCTGAACGTACTCATCACGCTGCTCATGGGGAACCTCAACGCTGGCGACAGGATGAAGATCATGACCATCTGCACCATCGATGTGCACGCACGGGACGTGGTGGCCAAAATGATCGTGGCCAAGGCATGAGCGCCCCTGTCCCAGGGGCCAGGGGAAGGGCAAGGGGACACCGGGTTCAGGGCAGTGCATTCAGGGACTTCAGACCCTGCCACTTCCTCTTCCTGGGGCACTGACTCTGTTGCTGGCTGCAGCTGCCTCCTAACCTCCTTGCCCGGACTCACCCCTGGTGAGCAACACACAGCAGTCAGATGAGCGGTGCCCGCCCATTGGAAGTGCCATTCTGTAGCGAGATTCCACTGAGGGTGGCCATACAGTTGGATGTGGGTGCTGGAGGGGGAAAGAGGGCCAGGGAGGGTTCCCTGGGCAGCAGGGGACCGGCCTTGGAGGCATGCTGGCCTTCCTTAGGCAGCCCTAGCTCTTGTATTCCACCTGGCAACAAGAGCTCCGGCTCATCCTGCAGGTGGAGAGTTCTCAGGCCTTCACCTGGCAGGCCCAGCTCCGGCATCGCTGGGACGAAGAGAAGCGACACTGCTTTGCCAACATCTGCGATGCCCAAATCCAGTATTCCTATGAGTATCTGGGCAACACGCCGCGGCTGGTCATCACCCCACTCACTGACAGGTGAGGCCCGTCCCTGAGTAACTCACATGTGCTCTTGGTGGGTCCCTTCCGCATGATTCTTGGAACTGTCCGACTTGGAGGTCAGCTGTGGAGGCTGGAAGGACTGGGCATTTGCGTCAGGTGGACCTGTGTTCACATTCAGTTCTACCACTGTGTCCTTGTTCTAGCACCGGCTGTGTGGCCTTGGGAGAGTTCCTGCACCCCTCTGTGGGCCTGCTGAGTTGGGGTCATGTTTTATGGACCCTCATGAGCAGACTCTGGTTGTCGTAGCAGTGCCCACCTCCCTGAATGCCACAGGTGGGAAAGGCACCTGGGCTGCCTCTGCTCCACGGTTGTGGTTCCTCCTTCACACCTGAAGGTTTTCTGCCCTCTCCCATGTGTCTCCTGGGGCTCATGCCTGTAATCCCAGCACTTTGGGAGGCCGAGGTGGGTGGATCACCTGACGTCAGGAGTTCGAGACCAGCCTGGCCAACATAGCAAAACCTCATCTCTACTGAAAATACAAAAATTAGCCGGGCATGGTGGCGGGCGCCTATAGTCCCAGCTACTTGGGAGGCTGAGGCATGAGAATCATTTGAACCCAGGAGGCAGAGGTTGCAGTGAGCCAAGATTGTACCACTGCACTCCAGCCTGGGTGACAGAGTGAGACTCTGTCTCAAAAAAATAAAAGCAGGGAGGCCATGGGGTCGCTGGCACACACGCTTACCTGTGGTCACTTGCAGGTGCTATATCACCCTGACCCAGTCCCTCCATCTCATCATGGGTGGAGCCCCTGCCGGCCCCGCTGGGACCGGCAAGACTGAGACGACCAAGGACCTGGGCAGAGCCCTGGGCACCATGGTCTACGTCTTCAACTGCTCCGAGCAGATGGACTACAAGGTACGCGGCCGGGGTCCGGAGGAGGGACCCAGAGTCTTCTTTTATAGAAGCAGATCCTAGCACCCTGTCCTCCGAGGCCCCACAGTAAACTCCAGATCTCTGGATACCTGTGAATGGCACTGGAGAGGAGGTGCCAGGGCCCCCACTTGCTGGTAGCATCCCCCTCAGGTGGTCCCTCTGGAAAGACTTCCAGGGTGGACAGACGCAGCCCCAAATGTCCTGCCCCAGCCCCTGCCCTGGAGGTGACCCTCTCTCAATTTCAGTTGTTAAGATTGCCCCGAACTGGGGACTCCGCACAGGGGTGAGCACCTCCCTCATGGTTCAGCATGGGGTGGGGTACAAGCAGTGTCCAGGTGGGTTTGGGAGGGGAGCAGGGGATTGGCCCGGTCCCATCAGTCATTAGAGCCTGCACAGGACATCGTCGGCTCACAGGAGGCCAGGGAGGGGAAGGGGATACCTCGGAGCTCCAGGCTGCAGCAGCCTCTTGCAAGACGGGAAGGCAAGGGGGATGGAACCCTGAGTTTTGGACCCTAGGCCTGCAGAGGGTCTCCCCTCCCCAGCTTGGATCTGAGCCCCACAATCTGGGGGCCCCCTCCTGAGGCTGAGGATGGGACCAGCAGCCCATGTTCACTGTCAGGGCCACGCAGTCCACATCCGCCTCCTGGATTTTAGAAAAGTGAAATCTGAAGTTGGATCTCCCTGGAAGGGACTTAACATCCACCTGGAATCCCAGGTGTAGATGGGACGAGTCCTTCTGATTGGCCCAGGTGGGGCCTAGAGAGACACAGATGTCTTGAGGGAAAGCCTCCGGCCTGCTAGACGTGCCCCCATCCCGCCTTAGAGGACTCCCTCTCCTCTCCACGCAAGAAAGAAAAGGGCTGAGAAAACATGCAAGGTTTAGAACTTAAATGTGCTTGTCTGAGCCCCTTATTAGGGACTCCAGGAAGTCCCCATCCTGGGGTCTGGGAGGCAAGGGTGAAAGGATGGCTCTTCCTCGTGTCCAGCCCTCCACGGTGTTACCCTGGGCAGTAAGCTGACCTGCCTGCTGGCCTGCGGAAGGCTCCAATGCACCGGGGCCTGAGCAAGCTTTGGGAAGAGAAAACACAGCCGAAGAGGCAGGGGGAGGCCCCTGCAGCGCCCGCCCTCCCTGTCACCCTCCCAGCTCTTCCTTTCTCCATCTCGCCCTTTCCAGTCCTGTGGAAATATCTACAAGGGCCTGGCCCAGACGGGAGCCTGGGGCTGCTTTGACGAGTTTAATCGCATCTCAGTGGAAGTCTTGTCTGTGATTGCCGTGCAGGTAAAGTCCCCTGCCTGCGGCCTCGGGGTCACGTCGGGTGACTGGCTCGTCAGCTTTCCTGTGACCTCACACGCCAGATAGACCCTCCTTGCCTCTCTGCAACGTTCCAAGCACCGAAGGGTGGTGTGGTGCCATTGAGCTCTTGCCCTCCAGGGTCCCAAAGCCTGGTTAGGCAAACACATTGAAAACAGAATCAGATTACAGGTTACATGTATGGTAGCAAACGTGTAACAAAATACAGGTGGGAGAATAATTAATTTTGCTTAGGAAAGAAAGACAAAGTGCTTTGTTATTGGTATCAGCGGAGCTGGGCATAGGAGGTGCTGAAAGGGAATGGCAGGAAAGAAAGAAAGGAGGGGGAGAGGGAGGAAGAGGAGGAGGGAGGAAATGCGCCCGTGTGTTTTGGGAACAACCATGCCGGGGCACAGAGCGTGCAGCGGAGTGGCTGGGGCGACCTGGGTGCAGGGACTTCGGATTGGGGAGCAGCCTGGGCCAGCGCCCCACCCCCACTGATGCTTGTTAAAATCTCCAGCGTGGGCCCCACTTGTTAGGAGGAGCATTTCTGCATTTTAAACAAATGCCTCAGGTGATCCTGACGCATGCTGGGGGTTGAGAAGCACTGGGCTGTCTAAGGTAAGTGGAGGCCGACCTAGCGGCCTGGGACAATTGTGCTCTTCCAAAAGGAAATGCAAGTCAGGGCGTTGGCGGTGTCAAGGTCCTCCCACCACAGGATAGACCAGGAGCATGTGGGGTGTGGACGTGCAAATGCCTCCTGGGCTGCTTAAGCCCCACAACCTGGGTGGAGAGCCTGCTTTATTTATTTATTTATTTATTTATTTATTTATTTATTTATGTTTTGTTTTTTTGAGACGGAGTTTTACTCTTGTTGCCCAGGCTGGAGTGCAATGGCACAGTCTCGGTTCACTGAACCTCCGCCTCCCGGGTTTAAGCAATTCTCCTGCCTCAGCCTCCCGAGTAGCTGGGATTGCAGGCGTGCACCACCACGCCCGGCTAATTTTGTATTTTTAGTAGAGATGGGGTTTCTCCGTGTTGGTCAGGTTGGTCTTGAACTCCTGACCTCAGGTGATCCACCCACCTCGGCCTCCCAAACTGCTGGGATTACAGGCGTGAGCCGTTGTGCCCGGCTGAGAGCCTGCTTTATACACCAACTTAACCCCTGACTCTCGGCTTGGCAGTGATGTGGACTCCCTCTGCCTCCACCTTCTAACCTGTAAGGCGGTGTTGGTGACACAGGTCTGCCAGCAGGATTAGAGGTGCCTGGGGTGGCTGCTTCCTCCTCTCCTTATGCTCCCTCTGCCTCAGTCATTCCCCAGCCCCAGGGCTGGAGGCCCCATGACCAAGAGAATGGGGACCCCAAACCATGGGCAGTGCTGGCTGTTACCGTGGGGACCCTCTCCCTTGCCCCCAGCACAGGAGCAGAGCTGCTGAGCACCTCCGACGTCCATGAACAAACCCCAGAATATTTATATAGCCCCTACTCTGGGCACTGAATGTTCACGGGCTCCAATGGAGACCACAGGAGAGGCTTGGCCTAGCTGGAAGCGGTGCTGTTCCGAAAGGCCCCAGTCCTGCCAGGGGACAAGCTGCACGCTCAGCAGACTGGGCATGGGGGTGTCTGGGATCACCAGGGCACCAGGACTTGGCTGTCCTGGGGAAGACAGGGAAAGGCAGGTGCTGGGAGCAGCTTTACCGCGAGTATTGGGCCCCCTCAAGTGGTGACTTGGAGAGACACAGCTGTCTTCTGCAGGTTTCCAGAGGAGACCTCAAGCAGGCAACGGCCCCTGATGCTCTAGGTTTAACCTCGTAGCTGACAGTTGGCCTTCAAGACTGTCTGATACGGAGGTGGCCGCTAACCAGTCCTCTGACAGGTCATTGCCAGAGTAGTAACAGGACAGAAAAGGGCTGGGAGTGGAACCCAACTCAGCAGGGACAAGGTGTTGAAATACTTACTGGTTCCTGCAACAGCCTGGGTGCATCTCCAGAGAATTCTGCTGAGTGATAAAAGTCCATCTGGGGGCCGGGCGTGGTGGCTCACGCCTGTAATCCCAGTACTTTGGGAGGCCGAGGCGGGCGGATCACGAGGTCAGGAGATCGAGACCATCCTTGCTAGCATGGTGAAACCCTGTCTCTACTAAAAAATACAAAAAATTAGCCGGGCGTGGTGGCGGGCGCCTGTAGTCCCAGCTACTCGGGAGGCTGAGGCAGGAGAATGGGGCGAACCCAGGAGGTGGAGGTTGTAGTGAGCCGAGACCACACCACTGCACTCCAGCCTGGGCAACAGAGTGACACTCAGTCTTAAAAAAAAAAAAAAAAAAAAAAAGTCCATCTGGGAAGATCGTGTATGATACAATTCCACTTATATAACATCCATGAAATGACCAAATCACAGAAAAAAAGGACATGGTTGCCAGGGGTCAAACGGAGGGAAGGGGGCAAGAGGGAAGGGGTGTGGCTATAAGAGGGCTGTCACCCCATGGTGACAGCAATGCTGGCCTCAGTGTCGCGCCCACCCTCCCCCCGCCCACCACCCCCGCTGTGACTGGTACTGTTATTAGGCAAGATGTTCCCATCAGGCTACATGGGGCAGAGAGTACACAGAATTGCCTTTGTATTTTTTTTTCTTCCCCCCAATCACTGTCTTTTGTATTTTTTATTGAGACAGGGTCTTGCTATGTTGCCTAGGCTGGGCTCAAATCATCCTCCAGCCTCAGCCTCCCAAAGTGCTGGGATTACAGGTGTGAGCCACTGTGCCTGGCCCTCTGTATTATTTCCTACATGGCATGCAAATCTACAACTTTCTCAAAAATAAAAGGCTTAATTTAAAAAATAAACTAGGAGGTTTGAATTTGCAGGCGCAAATTCGCAGCCTCATGCTTTAACATATGTGAAGGCCTCTCTGGTGTGTGGAAGCTGGCCATTTCCATGCTAACATGTCTGTGTCACCAACCGTGCAGGTAAAATGTGTCCAGGATGCAATTCGGGCCAAGAAAAAAGCATTCAATTTCCTGGGAGAGATCATAGGCCTCATTCCCA
Source organism: Homo sapiens (assembly GCF_000001405.40). NCBI lineage: Eukaryota > Metazoa > Chordata > Mammalia > Primates > Hominidae > Homo > Homo sapiens. The sequence continues at coordinate 78,495,953 of NC_000017.11, read as the reverse complement.
CCGTCGGTATCTTCATCACCATGAACCCTGGGTACGCCGGACGCGCGGAGCTGCCTGAGAACCTAAAAGCCTTATTCAGGTACGTGGCCCAGGTGAAAGTGAGTGGCTGCAGTGAGCCAGGCCGGCCACAGCAACGTCCCAGTGCCAAGGAGTGGGCAGAGGGGAGGGGCAGAGGGCAAGCTGGGGAGGGAAGAAGTCATCAAAAGCTCCCAAGATGGCCGGGCACAGTAACTCACTTCTGTAATGTCAGCACTTTGGGCGGCTGAGGAGGGTGGATCACCTGAGGTCAGGAGTTCAAGACCAGCCCGGTCAAGATGGTGAAACCCCGTCCCTACTAAAAATACAAAAATTAGCTCGGTGTGGTGGTGCATGCCTGTAATCACAGCTACTCAGGAGGCTGAGGCAGGAGAATCGCTTGAACCTGGGAGGCGGAGGTTGCAGTGAGCCGGGATGGCACCATTGCACTCCAGCCTGGGCAACAAGAACAAAACTCTGTCTCAAAAAAAAAAAAAAAAACACTCCCAGGATGAGGCAGGCGAGGGCCTCCTTAGAAAGCACTCTGTCTTCCCCTGGGTGGGAGGACCGCACCTGGGACACAGTGATGGAAAGCAGGGTTGGGGGGTTGGGGTGGCTCTCAGAGGAGGGGCCCTGAAGGTGCACCCAGTGGATGATGTGGGAGGAGGAGGGAAGTAGGGAGCAGGCGGGCTGGGAGCCCGGCTCCAGGACCGAAGGTTCAACACTCTGCTGTGGTCTACCTGGCAGTCGAGGTGTGCTCTCCTAGGTGAAGAGGGACAGGCAGGGGTGTAGGTTGGGGAGGGAGTGGGCAGAAGCCCACAGGCACCGCTGACCTCCCCAGGCCCTGTGCCATGGTCGTCCCCGACTTCGAACTGATATGTGAGATCATGCTCATGGCCGAGGGCTTTCTGGAAGCCCGCCTTCTGGCCAGGAAGTTCATCACCCTGTACACCTTGTGCAAGGAGCTGCTCTCGAAGCAGGTGTGTGTGTCCTGGAGCTCACGGCGGGTGTGGGTGGGAGTTTGAGATGCGGGCAGCAGCCAGGGTTGGCTTCCAGACCTGCCTGCTGGCCACAGGAAGGTGAGCTCACGTCTGCCCACCTGTGCCCACTGCCCGCAGGATCATTACGACTGGGGCCTGAGAGCCATCAAGTCTGTGCTGGTGGTGGCCGGCTCCCTGAAGAGGGGCGACCCCAGCCGGGCAGAGGACCAGGTGCTCATGCGGGCGCTGAGAGACTTCAACATCCCCAAGATTGTGACAGACGACCTGCCCGTATTCATGGGACTGATCGGGGACCTCTTCCCGGCTCTGGACGTGCCTCGGAAACGGGACCTGAATTTTGAAAAGGTCGGGACTCCTGGGTCTCAGGTCTGTCCGGAGAAGCCTGCCTGGCTGGGGCTTCCTTCCCACTGATGTTGGACGGGTGGAGACCCGTGTCACACACGCACGTTTCCCGATGCTACAAAGAGACCTCTGAGCCACAGCTGCCTCCGTGGCCCTGGCCAGCCCCACCCTGTCAGTGCTGGGGGAGGTCACTCTCTCAACTGAGGCTGGGGGGGCTTCAGGCAAACCGACCCCCTGCATGAGGTCGCGGTGGAGCTATGTCAACTCTCGGCATTGACAGCAGAACTTGCAGACGCACGTGCATCGGAGGGCAAGGGCGCCTTTATCATCTCCCCCACGGGGCAGGAAGCCCCCCAGCCTCCCAGCGAGAAGAAAGAAAAGCTGCTTCAGTTCCTCACCCAGCCTCATCCATGTCTCCCCAGATCATCAAGCAGAGCATCGTGGAGCTCAAGCTGCAGGCGGAGGACAGCTTCGTGCTGAAGGTGGTGCAGCTGGAGGAGCTGCTGCAGGTCCGCCACTCCGTGTTCATCGTCGGGAATGCGGGCAGCGGCAAATCTCAGGTGTGTCACCCGCTCCAGGGACCTTGCAGGGATCCGGCATGGTGGGGGAGGGCTGGGGCGAAGGGTCGGCCCTCCATCACTCCCCGCCACCCCGGAGACCCCAACCCAGTACATCCTGGGAGCCCTCCGGCCTGAGTCATGGGCCAGGGAGGAAGCTGGGGGCCGAGGAGGAGGGGAGGAGCTGCCACAGCCCCTGATCCCTGATCCCTGGGTGAGGCCTCCCTCCCTGTTCCTCCTTGTCTTCCTGCTCTTCTCTCCTTGACGTCAGTCACTTGTCTCCCTGTCCCTGTGGCCGGCCCAACCCATCGCCCTCCTGTCACCTGCCATGGCCTAGGGAGTGGTGACATGTGGAGGGTGGTGGCGGATGTGACTGATGTCTGTGATGTGGAAAATTCCATGCCAGCCAAGTGTCCGGCCAGAGGCCCACAGGCTGGACCCTTCTGCTATTGTTTGAGATCACTCCCACCGCCAGTCACATGGGGAAGCTCACCAGAAGTGATGTTTTAAAAGGCAGAGGCCGCATGGACCCAGTTTCCTAAAAAGGAACTCGGACATACACATACAGGAAATGTCCTCAACCGTGTCTTTAAAGCTCCTTTTCCCTGAATGGAGGATTGTGGGGAGTTTTCCTAGATGGTTTTTCAGTGAGTGCGTATTACTTGTACCATGAGGAAGAAAGGAATGTGAATGTTTTCAGAGCCTCGCACAGTCTAGGGCAAGCAGCTCTCTGCGGGCTGCAGACACGCACAGTGAACAGTTAGCTTCCCATCACCCAGGCCTCCTTCGCCTCAGCCATGGTTGGGGGGTGTAAACTCACCTGTGTGTCTCCAGAGCAAACGTGATCCAGAGAAGGGTTCAGCCTGGTGGTTCATAAAAGGCATCCAGGGCCGGGCGCAGCGGCTCACTCCTGTAATCCCAGCACTTTGGGAGGCCAAGGCGGGCTGATCACCTGAGATCAGGAGTTTGAGACCAGCCTGACCAACATGGTGAAACCCTGTCTCTACTAAAAGTACAAAAATTAGCCGGGTGTGGTCATGGGCGCCTGTAATCCCAGCTACTTGGGAAGCTAAGGCAAGAGAATCACTTGAACCCTGAGGCAGAGGTTGCAGTGAGCTGAGATCACACCACTGCACTCCAGCCTCGGTGACAAGAGTGAAACTCCATCTCAAAAAAAAAAAAACCATCCAGGCCCACCCATGGTCCTGAGGCTAGTGGGGCAGGATGTGCCAGGAACATGGAGTCACACGTGAGTGACCCCCACCTTCGCCAGGTCCTCAAATCCCTCAACAAGACCTATCAGAACCTGAAGAGGAAGCCGGTCGCCGTGGACCTGGACCCCAAGGCCGTCACCTGCGACGAGCTCTTTGGCATCATCAACCCAGTGACCAGGGAATGGAAAGATGGTAACGAGGGTGGTCCCGGGACAGGCTGCAGGGGCACTCCTGGTCCAGTGCAGTGAGCGTGTGCTCAGCCGTTCCCACGTGGAAGGCCAGCCTCCCCAGGCTAGGGTGGGGCACACAGGCACGTGGCCTGCAATGGTGGCACCATGGTAACAAAGTTTATGGGGAGCAGTGGGCACGTAGCACCCGGGCTGGGGGATAAGGAATGGGGGCCACAGGAGCTGGGACGGTGAGGACTGCAGGCCTGCCCCGAGCAGGCCAAGGGGAGAGGGCAGAGCAAGGACAGGTGTGACCCGTGAGGAGTGCATGGGAGCCCAGACATGCAGGCTGGAGGCTGCCCGGGGAGCCCTGGCCTCAGTCGGTGGGCTCTGGGGAGAAGCTTCCCCCAGGAGGTGGCGTCACTGGGTTTGCACTTTATGAAAGGAACTCCGGACGTTGGAGAGTGGGCTGCAGAAAGGAGCTGCGAGAGCTGAGGAGGAGTCAGCGGGAGCAGGGTGGTCCTGACCAGGAGCCTAGGGGAGGGCTGTGCCTAGCCTGTCCCCCGCACCCTACCCATCAGAAGTGGCCCTACCCCTGACCCGCTTTCCCTGTCCCCCTTCGCTGGCTTCTGCATGTACAGCTCACTTCCCCTACTAGAAGTCAAGCTCTGTACCCCCAGCCCCCACCTTGCTCCATTCCATGCCTGACGCATGAAGCGTGCTCCGCAGACTTCTGCTGAGCGTGTGAGTGGACAGATGGACAGAGCTGGGTGCACAGGTGCTGCGCCCCGTGGGATGTTGAGCCTGGAAAAACTGAGCCAGCCAGGGCCACAAAGAGGGGCTGACAGGGAGGGTGCAGGGTCGGAGGAGGACAGGCAGGGCCTCAGGCATGGAGAGGGCACGTAGGAGGGAGGCCACAGAGAACGGAGGGCAGGGAGCCTGGGCACCTCATGCCCGAGGGCCTCTGCTGTTCCTCTGAAGTAGGGGACAGGCTCCCTCCCAGAGAGAGAGGCCAGGGTCAGGACTGGTGGGGACTGGAATGGGGCCGGAGTGAAGGGCCCGGGGTCATACCACGCGCCTCCCCCAGGCCTGTTCTCCACCATCATGCGAGACCTGGCCAACATCACCCATGACGGCCCCAAGTGGATCATCCTTGACGGAGACATAGACCCCATGTGGATCGAGTCTCTCAACACAGTCATGGATGACAACAAGGTTCGCGGGCCCTGGACTCTAAGCCCCAAGGCCACCCAAGGCAGGGACAACGGGGGCTCACAGGGAGGCGCCTACGGAGCACTCAGGCCCTGCATGCCAGGCTTGGCGCAGGTGGCGTGTCTGGATCTCCACAGGAAGCTATGAGTGAGGGGCACCTTGTCGTGAGACTTTGTCACATGCGTTGTGGTTTTGCATGCGCCTCACCTTACATTTTAGCAGGATGGGTTCAGAGTAAAGGCCTGGGAAGCAGAAATGGTTATGTAGAATTGTCTAGAAGCCATTTTCTAAAAATGCTCCTCAGTTGGATGCAGGAAGGAACACAATACTTTCCAGGATGGGGAGGGGTGATGGTTTGAGAAAGCAGCCCTGACTCCATGCTGCAGCCCTCACGGTGTGGGCGTCTAGAGGCTGCTGGATTCAGGGAAGGCAGAGAAGCCCTGGGCCAAGGGACTAGGGCTGTGGGCCAGGGGTGGCAGGGCTGGCCTGGGCCCCTCCTCCTTGCTCGGAGGTTTGCTCCGAGTAACCCCCACCCCAGAACACCATTGGGATGGCAGGTGTCGCCTTAGGACCCCACGGGCTGCTGTCCCCCTCCTAGGTCCTCACCCTGGCCAGCAACGAGCGGATCCCCCTGAACCGCACCATGAGGCTGGTGTTCGAAATCAGCCACCTGAGGACGGCCACCCCAGCCACCGTTTCCAGAGCCGGCATCCTCTACATCAACCCAGCCGACCTGGGATGGAACCCGTGAGTGGGGCTTTGGCTTTCCTGTTCCAAACCTCGGCAGGGAAAAACGAACTTGTTGGCCTGTTTCAGAGTTGCATATTCATTCATCATTCATGTCACAAACTGTGTATCAGGCCCTCACCAGGCACCAGTGTCACAGCAGTGAAGGGGTGAGAGACCTGGGAATAAATGGTGTAAATTCACAGTGACACGAGGCAGGGCAGCTGAGCAAACGGATGTTTGCACAAAGTGCCAGGGAACAAGGGCTGGTGTGGGAAGGGAGGTCTTGGCCTCTGTGGAGGTGGGAAGTCTTCCCAGGTGATTGAAGTTTGGGCTGCCATCCAAAGGGTCAGGCTGCCTCTAAGGGGTGAAAACAGAGAAGCACACCAGACAAGAACCCGCGTTCACAGGGCATGGTGGGGAGTGGGGCATTGCCGGATGGGCAGTGGTCGGGTTCTCCTGGCCAGAGCATAAAGGCGGAGGCTGCTCCTGACGGGAAGGCGCTGATGCTGGGCCAAGGTGCAAGTGTCCCTTTCCAATGTGACGAGGGAAAAGCAGCTGGTCATGCCAGCAAGATGGGGGCCTCTAGGGATCAGAGAGGAAGGGATGGGTTTAAGAAATATCTGAAATCTGGAGAAATGGAAGACTTGATATTGATTCCAGAGGCATATTTTCGGGCTTGGACACGTGGCTGGTGATTGACAGAGTAAGGGATTTCCTGGGGACATAGAAATGACAGCTTTGTGCAAATGTCCTGCGTGGACTTAGGCAGAAATCCCAGTGAGGTGTTCCTGAGGCAAGAGGCTCCAGAGGAGCGTCTTGGCTGGAGGTCACAGTTCATCCATCCATCCATCCATCCGCCCACCCACCCACTCACCCATCCATTCACCCTCCCGCCCACCCAGTACTTCGCACACCTGCCATGTGTGTCCAACCCCAGGATATTCCATGCTGGGGAGCTGGGCTCTCCAGGAAAGATGTAGAGAGTGATGAAAAAAGCTGGTTTTCTGAGAAAAACCAGCACCGTGGGGGAGGAAGAAGAATATGTGAGGGATTCACAGGTGGAACAAACCAAAGGCAGAAGGGAACCCAGGACGCGTCATCCCAGACACCCAGCAACAAAAGCTTCAGGAGGGAGCATTCACCTCAGTAGGATGGCACCCAGAGTCAAGCCAAGGACAGAAGAGTTCCCATTGCATTTGGGAGCTAGGCGCATCTCCATCACTCAGGGAGAACAGCTTCAGGGCGTGTTGAGGGCAGAGCCAGATGGCAATGAGGTATGGAGGAGGCAGCAGGAGGCGCCAGAAGTGAGGCGAGTCCTGCCTTGGAGTGCTGGAGGGTAGGGCTGGAACAAGAGGAATGAAGCTTTGTAGTATTTGTCGAGACAAGAATGATGTTTGGCCATGGGATGCAGGCATGGCTGTTTTCAGGTGCATGCAAGTCTATAGGCAGAGAAAATTAAGTTTCCGGAGTTCATGCTGGTGCACTTCTTTGCTCTCTGCGTGGGAAGTGAGACCCTCTGCTGGGAGGCAGGCAGCACAGTGTGGCCAGGGTTTGAGAGGGATACCAAGTGGAATGTTCCCTATGGGGACAGGGCCAGGAGCTGCTGAGCCTGGGTGCCTCTGTGCCGGCTTCTCCAGCAACACTTGCCTGCTTATACAGCATTCTCCAGCTGCTGAAACAATGACCACTAATGGGGCAGCTTCAAACAACAGACATTTATCCTCTCCCAGTGCTGGAGGCCAGAAGTCAAGGAGTAGGCAGTGCTGGTTCCCTCTGAGGCTCTGCGGGAGAACCTGTCCCAGGCCTCTCTCCCAGCTCCTGGGGGCTCTCGGCGGTCCTTGGCATCCCTTGGCTTATGGACACACCCCTCCCATCTCCGCCTCTGTCTCCACGTGGCCTTCTCTGTATGTCTGTGTCCAAATTTCCCATTTGCTTATAAGGACACAGTCATTGGATTCAGGGTCCACCCTAAATCCAGGATGATCTTGTCTCAAGATCCTTGATGACATCTGCTAATGCCCTTTCTCCAAATCAGGGCACATTCTGGGTTCTGGGTGGACATTCTTTTGTAGCACCACCATCCTACCCACTGTACCATGTGTGGGAGTTTTCAGGGTAGGCAAAGACAATGTCCGGGGAACTGAAATGAAGCCTGGGTAGGAGCTGCTGAGACACGGGGACAGGAAAAAGACAGGATCGTGGAGTCCTCAGGGGGACACCCTATGGGAGCAGAGAAGAGGGAGCCAGAAACGAAGGCAGCGTGGGCCAAGGCAGGAACTGGACACCTCCAAGGAGTGACCTGGAGGAAGCAGGAGGAGGAGACCTGAGTATTGGCAGAGGAGAGAATGGAAATGGGCGAGAAGCAGACACAGGGTCCCCAGACAGCAGGAGCAGCCCTCCTATAGGCAACTGCCAGGGGCAGGGATGCCGGATGCACCCAGGATGGCCTTGGGGACAGGGCAAGAAGCCGTATGGACCAGAGGTGAGAAAGTCGGCCTGTCTCGCAAGCATGTGTCTCTCCTGGGGCCTGTGCTACGCATATCAGAGACAGCACACACACCGACCCGCACTCAGTGACTCCTACCAAGGCAGCATCACAAATTTTTGACACAAACATCTTCAAAGTAGAAGGCAGAAAGCAGCAGCCTCTGCGTAGATTTGCAAATCAATCTCCCCTACTGAAGACCAACTGGACTTGGAATTCAGTTCTTAGTTGCGACAGGCATGGAGACACCCTGATTCGCTTAGGGACATAGAAAGGTTTACTCTATTACGCTGGATAATACAGGGTGCTATGCGGCAAAGACGTTCAGCTCTTAATTCTCTCTTGTGATAGAGGTTCAGGAAGAAGCGGAGCTCCCCCAGAGCACACTCACAGAAGAGTGTGTGTCTGGCCAAGCACAGTGCCTCATGTCTGTAATCGCAGCACTTTGGGAAGCTGAGGCGGGCAGATCATCTAAGGTCAGGAGTTCAAGACCAGCCTGGCCAACGTGGCGAAACCCTGTCTCTACTAAAAATATGAAAATTAGCCAGGTGTGATGGTGCACGCCTGTGATCCCAGCTACTTGGAAGGCCGAAACAGGAGAATTGCTTGAACCCAGGAGGCAGAAGTTGCAGTGAGCCGAGATCGCACCCCTGCACTACAGAGCAAGACTCCATCTCAGAAGAAGAAAAAAAATGAGTCTCTGTCTAAAGAGGCACGTCTGCCGGTCAGCGCAGGGCAGGCTGGCTGTGTGTGTTAACAGGAGCTTCCTGCTTAGGCCCTGGGCATCCTGGAAATGATGCACGTGCTGAGCTCACTGGCACTCGAGGGGGCCAGGCACTAGTGATGCTTTCAGCAGATGCTGATTTGGCAACACTTACCCTGGACCAGGCCCCCTTCTCTGAGCTTTAAAAATATCAGCCCATGTAGTCCTTGGAAATGAGGGTCATGGAAACATCACCCCTGTTTACAGATGAGAAACCAGGGACTCAGGCATGTGCAGTAACCTGCCTAAAGCAGCAGCTGGCCATGGTAGAGCTGACTCAAGCCTGGGCAGTCAGGCCCCAGAGTCCACACCCCTCACCGCCGTGGTGGGCCACCTCCACACGAGCCACCCAGAGATGTCTGTGGCCAACAGTCTGGCACGGCTCTTCAAGGATTGCTGGTTGTATTGATTTGTACTCTTACACTGAACATGGCAAATTCAACTCAAACTAACTGAAGCTTAAAAAAAAAAAAAAAAAAAAAGCACCAAGGGGTGCTTCAGGCATGGCTGGATTCAGGAGTCCAGATGATGTAATGAAATGTCCCTGCTCCTATCCTTGTCTCTCCTTTCTGCTCCCTTACTGTCCCCACCTTCGTGCCCCCCACATGACATCATGAGATCTTTCTCCTTTTCTGTTCTGCCCCATCCACCAGCCCTTGGTATGTGCTTCCCGTGTGGTAGCAAGAATGGCTTCCAACTGTTCTAGACCTACAGCACCCCCATAGCTAGCAACCCCAGAGAGGGCACAGCCCCCACGACCCTGGCATCCTCCTCCGACCCTTTCAGGGCCTGCAACTGGCCCCTCTGGCACCCTCGTTTGGACCCATTGCCATGCAGGCATGGTGACCCTGAGGGCAGCCCCAGCAGAATTGGGTGGAGGTAGGGAGGGGCGTTTACCAAGGCAGGGACACTGGCAGACCCAGAGCAGCGGCTGTGTCATCGGCGCCTCCTGTCACCCCCAGGGTGGTGAGCAGCTGGATCGAGAGGCGCAAGGTGCAGTCGGAGAAGGCCAACCTGATGATCCTCTTTGACAAGTACCTGCCCACGTGCCTGGACAAGTTGCGCTTTGGGTTCAAGAAGATCACGCCAGTGCCGGAGATCACGGTGATCCAAACGATTCTGTACCTGCTGGAGTGCCTGCTCACGGAGAAGACCGTGCCCCCCGACTCCCCCAGGGAGCTGTACGAGCTGTACTTCGTGTTCACCTGCTTCTGGGCCTTCGGTGGCGCCATGTTCCAGGACCAGGTGATGCACCTGGGGGGCCCGGCCACCCACACAGGGTCTCTCAGCATCCTGCTTAGCTGGGCCCTGATTTTTACTTCTGTGTCTCAACAGCTTGTGGATTATCGAGTGGAGTTCAGTAAATGGTGGATCAACGAATTCAAGACTATCAAGTTCCCCTCGCAGGGAACGATTTTTGACTACTACATTGATCCTGACACAAAAAAGTTCCTGCCCTGGACAGATAAAGTGCCCTCCTTTGAGCTGGATCCCGATGTCCCACTGCAGGTAACTGTCCCCAAAGCAGGGCCACCGACTGGTGATTTAGAGGCAGGAATCGGTGCAGTACCCTCCACACGCCTGCACGGAATGTCCAAACACAACCGATTTTCAACATTAGGACCTGTTCGGTAGAACATGGCCTGCACACCCACGAGAGGCAGAAGTGTCTGAGAATCACAGCTCCCTCCCCTTCCCTCCCCTGCCCCAGGCCTCTTTGGTCCACACCACGGAAACCATCCGCATCCGCTACTTCATGGACCTGCTCATGGAGAAGTCCTGGCCGGTGATGCTGGTGGGGAACGCGGGGACGGGCAAGTCGGTGCTGATGGGGGACAAGCTGGAAAGCCTGAACACGGACAACTACCTGGTGCAGGCTGTGCCCTTCAACTTCTACACGACCTCAGCCATGCTGCAGGGTGAGGCTGGTCCGGCCACGCCCTGCCTACCCGGCTGCCCCCCGCCAGTCCCCGTTCCCTCCTGTCCCCTCTCACTGCAGGCCCAGGCACTCACTAGCCACTTTGCACCTCCTCACTTCCCATGCCCCACCCGCTGGCCTTTCCTTCCTGAGTCGGAGACAGAGGAGGAGCAGCCGGGACCCCTCTTTCTGGTGCTCCCTTGTGGGCATGGTGATGGGGTTTTGATGGCCAGTCGAGGCAGCAGGTCCCCCGGGAGTGTCTCAGCCAATCTAAGGCGACCCAAAGGTGACGGAGAGCAAGGTTCCTGCCACCCTCGCCTCTGATCGCTCTGTTTATTCCTGGGGCTGTACCCGGTGCCCCCTCAAGGGCCACTCCCAGGGCAGGTACCTTTGGTAAACTTGGATCCCAGCCAGGTCCCACCTTCTGTCCTCCGGGGAAGCAGGTAGCGCCCCTCCCTACCTAACAGGCTCTGGCTCAGGAGGCGCAGGCGGGCAGCTGACCCTCTGCCCTCTCTAGGGGTGCTGGAGAAGCCGCTGGAGAAGAAATCGGGGAGGAACTACGGGCCGCCAGGCACTAAGAAGCTCGTCTACTTCATCGACGACATGAACATGCCCGAGGTGGACAAGTATGGGACGGTGGCCCCGCACACCCTCATCCGGCAGCACATGGACCACCGGCACTGGTTAGACGGGGCGGGGCCGGAGGGGAAGGCGTGGCCCCGGGGCGGTGAGGGCGGGGCCAGGGCGGGGCGCAGGAAGAGGCGGAGCCCCAGGGCAGTAGGGCAGGACTGGTGTGGGGCGGTGGGGGGGGTGCTGCAACGTGGGTAGGGAGACACGGGTCGTAGCTGGGCCCCCAAGTTTGTGGGGCCACAAGGCATTGAGGTAGGGCCAGGGTAGGGGAGAGGTTCTATCAGTTTCGTCCATCACCCATTTCACAAACATGCAGCAGTGGCCTAGAGCCCCCGCGGAGGGGGGGATCCTCCTTCCCCCCTTCCACCGAGGTGTCTGTCCCGCCGGGAGAGGAAGAAGCACATTACCCGGTAAAGGAAGAGCCCTGAGGAAAACCCCCAGTGCAGTCACAGAGGAGCCTCCCAGCTGGGAGCCCCAGCAGAGAGATGCCCCTGGGGAGATGGTGCACAGCTGGAAGCTGGCAGCAGTGTCCTGCTGGCTGTGGGACCTTAGAGGGAGAGCATTCTGGGTGGAGAGATTGCCACGTGTAAATGCCCTGCCACACGTGAAGAAGCCCAGGAAGGCCGGTGTGGCAAGGATGTGAGAGCCAGAGGCAGAGGGTGCCCAGGGCAGCTGCAGCCAGAATCCCAGGGCCTCGGGACAGAGTGCAGATTTTCTCCTAACGGCACCGAGAAACCAAAGGTGGCACGTTTAGGTTTGCAGTTTGGAAAGATGAGAACATTCAGTTCAGTTGTCTTTTTTTTTTTTTTTTTTTTTTTTTTTTTTGAGGAGAAATCTCGCTCTGTCTCTCAGGCTGGAGTGCAATGGCTCGATCTTGGCTTACTGCAACCTCCGCCTCCTGGGTTCAAGGAATTCTCCTTCCTCAGCCTCCTGAGTAGCTGGTAATACAGGTGCCCACCACCACGCCGGCTAATTTTTGTACTTTTAGTAGAGAAGGGGTTTCGCCATGTTGGCCAGGCTGTTCTCGAACTCCTGACCTCAGGTGATCCGCCCGCCTTGGCCTCACAAAGTGCTGGGATTAGAGGTGTGAGCCACCGTGCCCAGCCATAGTTGTCTCTTAAAATAAGCAAGTAGCTCAGGCCAAAAGAGCCTAGAAACTAGTCTGCTCGTTCATGAAGCCTGGCCTCATGCCGAGAAAGGCAGGCATGGGGGGTTAGGTAGTCTACTTGAGGTCATGGTCCTAATGAGTGGCGGAGCTGGGTTATTATTATTATTATTATTATTATTTCCAAGACAGAGTTTCGCTCTTGCTGCCCAGGCTGGAGTCCAATGGCGTGATCTTGGCTCACTGCAACCTCTGCCTCCTGGGTTCCAGCGATTCTCCTGCCTCAGTCTCCCAAGTAGCTGAAATTATAGGTGCCTGCCACCATGCCCACCTAATTTTTGTATTTTTAGTAGAAACGGGGCTTAACTATATTGGCCAGGCAGGTCTCTAACTCCTGACCTCAGGTGATCTGCCCGCCTCGGGCTCCCAAAGTGCTGGGACTACAGGCGTGAGCCACCACGCTCAGCCAGAACTGGATTTTGAGTTCAGATATGTCTGACTCCATCACTTGCCTTTTCCTCACTAAACGACACTCCCAGAGCTCACGACTATAGGAAGCCTACTCTGGGCTGCAGGCTGTGATGTGGGGACGGAGGCATCAGAGGTGGCTCCCTGGGGGAGGTGACAAAGCTGCCACTCTGAGGAGGGAGCCTGGAGAGAGTTTGACATCATTTGAGGAGAACCTAACGTGGTGTGGGGTGGGAGATTTGAGGGTACCCAGACAGGAGAGGAGGACAGGTGCATGCATGAGAGCCCACCCGTTCCTCTCTGCAGGCAGGTCTACTGTGAGGGCTGTGGCGGCTCAGCCTCGGTTTCCCTGCAACTCGCGAGGCCCCTTCCAAGGGTTGCACACGGTCATGTGCCCTTGTAAAATTTGTTTAAGATTTTTGCTTTCTTTTCCTCAAGGAGGAGCCTCCACATTCTTAAGCTTCAGCCCTAGGTCCACATCTGCCCTGGAGTTTACCCTGAAGGATCTTCAGGAGGGGTGGCAGAGTGAGATTTGAGTTTTCAAAAGATCCTTCTAGAATATCAGATTAACATGGCCCCACGACAACAGGGAAGGATGGACTGTTTAGTGGATGTGTCAGGAAAATGCTCACCTGTGGAAGAAAAAGGCAGACAAGGGTGGGGCCCGTGGGAAGGATGGGCCCGCAGGGAAAGGGTGAGCTGTGAGGTGGGCAGAAGCAAACAGGGACAACATCTGTGACCTGAGAAGTGTGCACAGGAGAGGACTGCGCAGGCAAAAGTTTCAGAGGCACACACAGAAGGGCAAAAAATTGATGGCTGTGATTTAAATGAAAGTTAAGGAATTTTGCTCAGTGAGAGACACCATGGACATATATAATGGAGAAATAAAAGAATGGAAGAAAACATTTGCAATGTATAAAATTGACAGTGGATTAATATCTGAAATATACAAGGAATTACTAGAAACTAACAGACGTCAACTTCCAACACACAAAGTGCATAATGGGGGAAAAAAACAAAAGTGCTGGGCGCAGTGGCTCAGGCCTGTAATCTCAACACTTTAGGAGGTGGAGGCAGGAGGATCACTTGAACCCAGGTCATATAGTGAGACCCTGTCTCTACAAAAACTTAGCCGGGCATGGTAGTGTGAGGCTGAGGTTGGGAGGACAGCTTGAGCCCAGGAGATAGAGGCTGCCGTGAGCTGTGTTCACCACTGCACTCCAGCCGGGGTGAGAGAGCAAGACCCTGTCTCGGGGGAAAAAAAAAAAAAAAAAAAAGTAACTAGTGTAGTGTGACATCAAGGAAATTATTCAGCTTATTTTATTTTATTTTTGAAATGAAATCTTGCTCTGTTGCCCAGGCTGGAGTGCAATAGCATGATCTTGGCTCACTGCAGCCTCCACCTCCCAGGTTCAAGCAATTCTCCTGCCTCAGCCTCCCAAGTAGCTGGGATTACAGGTGCCTGCCACCATGCCTGGCTAATTTTTGTATTTTTAGTAGAGATGGGGTTTCACTATGCTAGCCAGGCTGATCTTGATCTCCTGACCTCAAGTGATCTGCCCATCTCAGCCTCCCAAAGTGCTAGGATTACAGGCATGAGCCACTGTGCCTGGCCTATTCAGCTTATTTAATAATAGCAGCCATTAATAATTATCCTGATAACAGGGATGGTGAATATTTATTGCATACTTACTGTATGTCAGGTACTCTTCCCAGTGTTTTTTCATATGTTAGCTCATTTTATCCTCCTCATGACCCATTGCACAGGTGAGAATATTAAGGCACAGAGATGTTAACCAACTTCCCAGAGCCCCAGCACTGCTTAGGGGAAGAGCTGGAACATAAACCCCAGCCTGCTCTCTGAGCCACTCTTTTGCCTCTTGTTTCAAAATTTCTCTGGAGAGCATGAAGTCACAGCAGCTGCTTCACATATTATCAGTATCTGTGGAGGGTTTTTAAGACCACATGGAGTAATCCCAGCATTTGGGAGGCTGAGGCGGGCGGATCACAAGGTCAGGAGATCAAGACCATCCTGGCTAACACGGTGAAACCCAGTCTCTACTAAAAGTACAAAAAAATTAGCCAGGCATGGTGGCGGGCACCTGTAGTCTCAGCTACTCGGGAGGCTGAGGCAGGAGAATGGGGCGAACCCAGGAGGCGGAGGTTGCAGTGAGCCAAGATCATGCCACTGCACTCCGGCCTGAGTGACTGAGTGAGACTCCATCTCAAAAAAAAAAAAAGCCGGGGGATGGGGGGCGGGCGTGGTGGCTCACACTTGTAATCTCAGCACTTTGGGAGGCTGAGGCGGGCGCATCACGAGGTTAGGAGATCGAGACCATCCTGGCTAACACGGCGAAACCCCGTCTCAACTAAAAATGCAAAAAATTAGGCAAAGCTTGCAGTGAGCCGAGATTGTGCCACTGCACTCCAGCCTGGGCAACAGAGCGAGACTCTGTCTCAAAAAAATAATAATAAGGAGGGCATTCTTGGGAGCACAGTGGGGGCAGGGGATGGTTCCTCCAGGCCAGGGGCACAACATGAATGCTGGTTTCCCCCCTCAGGTATGACAGACATAAGCTGACGTTAAAAGATATCCATAATTGTCAGTACGTGGCCTGCATGAACCCCACTTCCGGATCCTTCACCATCGACTCCAGGCTTCAGGTAAGCAGAAACCATACTCATCCCCGTCACCTGCCATGAGTCTGAGGCTTGCTTCTGGCAAATGAGAGGAAAAGCTTTGGTTTAGGGTGTTAGGGCTGCAGGCCGACATTTTCTGGAGAACTCCTTAACTTTGCAGAATGTGTCAGAAAATTCCAGGGCATGGAGAGGATGAGCAGCTAGCCAGCCTTCCCTGTGACCCGGTCAACTGGCAGAGTTAGCAAATAAAATTGCAGTTAAATCCAAACTCCAGATAAATAAATATGTTTTTAGTCTAAGTATGTTACATACAATATTTGGGACATACCGTTCTTTTTTTGTTGTTTTGTTTTTGTTTTGAGGCTGAGTCTCACTCTGTCACCCAGGCTGGAGTGCAATGGTGTGATCTGAGCTCACTGCAACCTCCGCTTCCCGGGTTTAAGCAATTCTCCTGCCTCAGCCTCCCAAGCAGCTGAGGCTACAGGTGTGCGCCACCACACCTGGCTAATTTTTGTATTTTTAGTAGGGACGGGGTTTCACCATATTGGCCAGGCTGGTCTCGAACTTCTGACCTCAAGTGATCTGCCCTCCTCGGCCTCCCAAAGTGCTGGGATTACAGGTGGGAGTCACCGTGCCCGGCCTGGGACATACTTTTTTTAAAAAAAAAAAAAAAAAAAAAAAAAAAAAAAAAAAAGTACTTGTTGTTTATCTGAAATTCAGATTTAGCAGGGCATCCTGTATTTTATCTGTAGCCCTTACCCAGACAGACTTTGCCTCTAAGTTATCTAAACACACAGAGATCTGGATTTAAACCCAGGCCTGTACTCTGAGCCCATCTCTTGCCTTTGCCAAAATTCTTCTTGAGAGCATGAAGTAAATTTGTCTGTTTCATGTGTAATGATACTTAATGCAGTTTTACCACATGCAAGGCACAAGGAGGGTAACTGCCCATTCTGACAATGCCCAAAAGACCTTAGAACATGAGGACAGGGGCCACTCTCCCGCGAAGGTGGCCCTGGCCCCAGGCAGGTCCCCAAGAGCTGGCTGACTGGAGTGTTTGGTTGTTTTGGGGTAGCGCCATTTCTGCGTGTTTGCTGTGAGCTTCCCCGGCCAGGAGGCCCTCACCACCATCTACAACACAATCCTGACGCAGCACCTGGCCTTCCGCTCGGTCTCCATGGCTATCCAGAGGATAAGCAGCCAGCTGGTGGCCGCGGCCCTGGGTAAGCTGGCTGGCCTCATCCCCTCTCCCATCGGTAAAACCTATGGCTCTGTGGGCTGATGGTTCTTCACATTTTCCCTTGATAAATATTTTATTTATAATTCTAAATCAATATCTTAAAAACGATGCTATGTTTCGACAGGAGAAATTGTGAAATACAATTGCTTCATGGGGAGGTAGGGGCTAGGAAATTCTATACACAAATGATTTAAGGAGAACAGCAAATTCCCTCCCACTTCAAAGAGCTGTGCAGATTTCTTACTCCAGTTGTCACCATTTCGTAGTCCATTGGCTTTAGAAACTTGAGGCTTGCACTTCCTGGGGCCATCAAGAGTACATGAGAATTGACACGTCCTTTTCCTCTAACAGCTTTGCATCAGAAAATCACGGCAACATTTCTTCCCACGGCCATTAAGTTTCATTATGTCTTCAACCTCAGGGACCTCTCCAATATTTTCCAGGTACTGCTCTTGTAGCTTTATGTCATGCCTGCCTTACGGTCCAGTGCCTGATCCACAGGTGCTTTCCTCATCACAGCTCTCAGGGAGGTGTGGACTGATGATGGTGGTGATGGTGGTAATGATAATGATGATAATAATGGTGGTGATGGTAATGGTGGTGGTGACAGTGGTAGTGATGGTGGTAATGGTGATGGTCGTGATGATGGTGATGTGATGATGGTGGTAGTGATGGTTATGATGATAGTGATGGTGATGTGATGATGATAGTGATGGTGGTGATGGTGATGATGGTGGTGATGATGGCAATAGTGGTGGTGATGGTAATGATGGTAATAATTGTGATGATGGTGGTAGTGATGGTAGTGATGGTGGTGATGGTAATGGTGATAATGATTATAATAATGGGGGTGATGACGGTGGTGGTGACAGTGGTAGTGATGGTGGTAATGGTGATGGTCATGATGATGGTGATTGTCATGATGGTGGTGATGATAGTGATGGTGGTGGTGAGGGTGATGGTGGTGATAATGATGGTGATAGTGATGGTGGTGATGATGGCAATAGTGATGGTGATGGTAATGTTGGTAATGATGGTGGTGATGATGGTGATAGTGGTAGTGATGGTGGTGCTGATGATAATAGTGGTGGCAGTGATGGTGGTGGTGATGGTGATGTGGGTGATGTGATGGTGATAATGGTGGTGGTGGTGATGTGATTGTGGTGATGGTGGTGGAGATGATAATGGTGATGGTGGTGGAGATGATAATGGTGATGGTGGTGATGATGGTGGTGATGGTGATGTGGTGATGATGGTGGTGGTGGTGATATGATGGTGATAATGGTGATGATGGTGATGTTATGGTGGTAATGGTGATGATGGTGATGTGATGATGCCACGTGGTGGTGATGGTGGAGATGATGATGATGGTGGTGGTGATGGTGATGATGGTGGTGGTGATGGTGGAGATGATAATGGTAATGATGGTGGTGTGATGGTGGTGGTGATGGTGATGATGGTGATGATGGTGGTGGTGATGGTGGTGATGATGATGGTGGTGGTGATGGTGGAGATGATAATGGTGATGGTGGTGATGATGGTGGTGATGGTGATGTGGTAATGATGATGGTGGTGATGATAGCGATGGTGGTGGTGATGGTAATAATATTTCCTCTCATTTACTGACTGCTTACTCTGAGTCAGAGATTGGGTTTGGCCCCTTACATTCCCATTTTCTCCTTCTCCAACAACACATAAGTTTGGTGCTTATATCCCCATTTTACTGAGCAGGAGTTTGTGGCTGAGGGAGGCTAAGTTATGCCCACCTCCTCCCACGTAAAGTATCAGCCCAGCCGGGTGCAGTGGTTCATGCCTGTAATCCCAGCACTTTGGGAGGCCAAGGCGGGCAGATCACGAGGTCAGGAGTTCGAGACCAGCCTGGCCAACATGGTGAAACCCTGTGTCTACTAAAAATACAAAAATTAGCTGGGCATGGTGGAGTGTGCCTCTGTAGTCCCAGCTACTCGGGAGGCTGATGTGAGAATCACTTGAACCCAGGAGGCAGAGGTTGCAGTAAGCTGAGATCGTGCCACTGCACTCCAGCCTGGGCAACAGAGTGAGACTACATATCAAAAAGTATCAATAAAAAAAAAAATAAAGTATCAGCCCAAATGCCATGCTCTCACAGAGGCCACTCCTCAGCCCTCACACTCTGTCTTACTGCCCTGGGTTTGTCATTCAGAGCATACACCATAGTGTGCAATTACCTTATTTCTTTGTGTACCTGGCCACCTCCCCCGCTAGCATGTCAACTCCACAGCGTCAGGTTCTGTTGCATCATCGCTGTGCCTGGGAAATTCCAGGCCCTCAATAAGCTCTTGTCGAGCTTGCCTAGAGTCACTTGCTTAGTAAATGGCCAAGCCAGGACTGGACCAGATAGGCTTGCTGTGGTACCCAAGCTTGTGACCTGCCCTATGGCATCGGTCACCTGCTTTCCTTTGCAATTAGCCTCCCTTGTCCCTCCTCCACCATTCACTCTTCTGGAGGATGAGGCCCCAACCCTGTCCTATGAGGAAAACTCCACATCTCTCAGGACACACACACACACTGGCATCCGGGATTTTTGGGACCTCCGTGATGAGTGGCTTCCCTGGCCCCAAGTGAATGCTGTGCCAACAGCTGAACAGGTCCCCTCGCCCCGGGGGAGGGGGCTGCTCCTCAGGGTCATCTGTGTCCAGCTCTGGGCTCGCCTTCGTAACAGCTGACGGTGCTGATCATCCTGTGTTTGGGGCAGGGACTCTTATTTTCCACAGCAGAAGTTCTGAAAACCCCACTGGACCTCGTCCGCCTTTGGCTACATGAGACTGAACGAGTGTATGGTGACAAAATGGTTGACGAAAAAGACCAGGAAACATTGCATAGAGTCACCATGGCCTCCACCAAGAAGTTCTTTGATGTAAGTCAAGCTGCCCAGTCCCTCTGCCGAGCCCAGAATGGCTCCAGGAGGGTGGAGTGTCGGCGGCCAATGAGAACTGCAGCCCTCTCAGAAGGGCCCTTTGTTGGGGGTGGGAAGATCCGTGTTAGGTTCCACGCGATCATTCCAGCAAGTGGCTGTGGATCCGAGGGTTCCACGCGATAACTCCGGCACGTGGCTGTGGGTCCGAGGGTTCCACGCGATAACTCCGGCACGTGGCTGTGGGTCCGAGGGTTCCACGTGATAATTCCGGCACTTGGCTGTGGGTCCGAGGGTTCCACGCGATAACTCTGGCACGTGGCTGTGGGTCCGAGGGTTCCACGCGATAACTCCGGCACGTGGCTGTGGGTCTGAGTGAGGAGGAATTGAGTGCTCAGTAGATCAGGGTGTGATCACCTCCCTCTGTCCACTTGGGGTGGAGAAAGGCCCTGCTTGGCTCTGTGTGCCTCGCTGGTGTGTCCCGTGTGTTCTTGGTGGAATCATTTCTTTGGACTATGAATTCATTTCTGATACAGTGGGGATCAGACCCTCCCACTCTAGGAAATTTTGCCCCAGTGGTTTGCTGGGCCCACGGCAGCAGGTTTGGGCCCCTGGAGACTTGGCCTGGGACCCCGTGGTGACCTCCTAGGCCACCTTGGCAAAGTACTGAATTGCTGTTAACTATCTGTGTGGTCATGGTGGCAAAAACCGGAAGTATCGTCTTTTTTTTTCTTTTTCTAGGATCTTGGTGATGAACTCTTATTTGCCAAGCCAAATATCTTCTGCCACTTTGCTCAAGGGATTGGCGATCCCAAATATGTTCCTGTAACCGACATGGCTCCTCTGAACAAGCTCCTCGTGGACGTCCTGGACAGCTACAATGAAGTTAATGCAGTCATGAATTTGGTGAGCAGGCTGGAGCTGATAGCAAGGGCACGGGACCTGGACCGGGTCACCCTCTCCGGTTGCATTATCGACATCCGAGTGGCATTGTGTGGGGCTGCGTGGCACACAGTGCACACCTCAGCATGTGCAGAGTCCGTGCTGGTGACAGAGGTGATTCCAGGTGCTACAAGATGTTGTGGGATCTCTCCGGTTTCTGCAGGTG
Source organism: Homo sapiens (assembly GCF_000001405.40). Classification (NCBI taxonomy): domain Eukaryota; kingdom Metazoa; phylum Chordata; class Mammalia; order Primates; family Hominidae; genus Homo; species Homo sapiens. The sequence continues at coordinate 78,475,466 of NC_000017.11, read as the reverse complement.
CTGTTTGAGGACGCCGTGGCTCACATCTGCAGGATTAATCGCATCCTGGAGTCTCCCCGGGGGAATGCCCTGCTGGTGGGGGTGGGCGGCAGTGGCAAACAGAGCCTCTCCCGCCTGGCAGCGTACATCAGCGGGCTTGACGTGTTTCAGATCACCCTCAAGAAGGGCTACGGGATCCCCGACCTCAAGGTGAGAGCTTACTGTTCAATAGGCTGCCTTTCAGGGTAGGGTCAGGGAGTAAAGAAAAACTTCACTCCCTTTTCCAAAATGAAGCCAGCGAGTACAGGGAATCCGAGCATCACCAATAGTCCTTATCCAAAGGGTCTTTATCTTAGAAAGCAGAGGCCAGAAAACCTTCCAGCCAGCGTGCGTGCCCGTGTGACTGAGGTGAAGAGTGTGAAACCTTCCAGCCCGTGTGACTGAGGTGAAGGGTCTGAAACCTTCCAGCCAGTGTGCATGTCCATGTGACTGAGGTGAAGCGTGTGAAACCTTCCAGCCCATGTGACTGAGGTGAAGGGTCTGAAACCTTTCGGCCCGTGTGACTGAGGTGAAGCGTGTGAAACCTCCCGGCCCATGTGACTGAGGTGAAGGGTGTGAAATCTTCCGGCCCGCATGACTGAGGTGAAGAGAGTGAAACCTTCCGGCCAGTGTGTGTGCCCGGGTGACTGAGGTGAAGAGTGTGAAACCCTCCAGCCCGCGTGACTGAGGTAAAGGGTGTGAAATCTGGCCAGTGTGACTGAGGTGAAGGGTGTGAAACCTTCCAGCCAGTGTGCGTGTCCGTGTGACTGAGGTGAAGAGTGTGTCTGTCAACTACTCGATGGACACAAGTCCACAGAATCAACCCAGATCACAGAGGCAGAGAGGTTGGATCCCTGCCCTTGGTCACTGAGTGTTCCAAATTGTTACCTATTCTCTCCAGACTACAGAATTCAGAGCCATGACTGGGTGTCTAACTGCATGCCTGAGATGCTGAATGGCTGCTTTTGGAATGAATGAAATAAACATTAGACTAAACATAAGGTCTCCCATGCCCAACACACACTGCTGAGGGTTTTTATTGATTTCTTGTTCCTGAAAATCTGCTCTCCCAGGCAACTGCGTGCCATTAGTTCAGAAGGAATCATCGTGCTTGAGATTAGACCTGAAATCGATTGGGCCGTCCTACACGGCCATGCCTTCTCTGTGTGCTGGGGCCGCTGTTGTGGGGCCAGGACGATGCCAGACCCAAGGGGGAACCTAAGGGGACCCTCCCGCAGTACGTGGCCCTCAGACAGTCGCTGGGCTGGTGGCTTTAGCAGGCAGACCTGGAGCCAGTGATGCTGGGAGCAGTGGGAGGTGTCTGCAGGCAGAGACCCTGGAGGGGCAGTGCAGGCTGTGCCAGGGACGGCCAACCTCTGGGAGAGCCTCCAGTTTCTGGCTGGCTGTTCTCTGCCTTCCCAGCAGATTCTACTCCATGTATAAAGGGGCCGGCCTGCTCTTTTTTGAACTCCTCAGATGGGCACTCCTGAACACAGCCCTGTCCTCTGGACCCATGAGCGGTAGTGTGTCATGGGTTCTCAGCGCATCTGATGGAGTTAGTTCACATTGGTATCTGCGGCCACTCAAGTGTCATTTGAACCTGGAGCCGTATGGTTTTACTGAGCTTTCTCCATTGAAGTCTCTAGTCTATTAACTAAATCACGTTGGTTTACGTTCATGACGGCATCGTTTCCTTGCTCTGCGTCCCTGCGGGGATTTTCTCCCTGATCCTTCCTGTTGGGGCTGATTGTGGGTGCTCAGCCTCAGCCTCAGCCTCAGCGGTACTATTTTATTCATCAGCTGCTGTGGCTCTGTGATCTGGGCTGTGGAATTTCACTGTCCCTGCACCCATCACAAATCAGCTTTGCTATCACTGTCATTTCTTTTTTTTTTTTTTTTTTTTTTGAGACAGAGTCTCACTCTGTCGCCCAGGCTGGAGTGCAGTGGCGCGATCTCAGCTCACTGCAAGCTCCGCTTCCCGGGTTCACACCATTCTCCTGCCTCAGCCTCCTGAGTAGCTGGGACTACACGCGCCCGCCACCACGCCCGTCTAATTTTTTGTATTTTTAGTAGAGACGGGGTTTCACCGTGTTAGCCTGGATGGTCTCAATCTCCTGACCTCGTGATCTGCCCGCCTCAGCCTCCCAGAGTGCTGGGATTACAGGCGTGAGCCACTGCGCCCGGCCATCACTGTCATTTCTTAAGCCGCTTCTGTGGATTCAGAACTAAGGGCAGAGGTAAACAGGGCTATAAGTTCCTGAATTGTATTGGGGGAGCTAGACTCCTGAGCCATTCGACATGATTATCGTTCTAATGGTGCTGCCATAGTAATAGGCTCACCCCTATGGGGGTAACATATATGTTTGTGATTATGTAATATTATAAAGTAGGTCCCGGAAGCTGTGGCACCTGCTGGAGGCTAGGGGTGCACAGGAAAGGGGTGGAGGGTGGACCCTGGAGGACAGTGTGCCGTGTGAAAAGCCCTGGGCTTGGTCCCAAGAAAACGAGACTACATCAAGATGTCTGATCAGGGGATAGAGCGGGCAGGATGTGGTAGTGTTCTAGGACACAGGAAGGATAGTTTGAAAGCACAGAAACTGCTGAAGGGTGACCTGGGTGGAGCTGGGGCACAAGCTCTGTGACCCCACAAAGGCTGAAAGTGGGCAGGTGCGACGAGAAGGGAGAACGGAGGGGGAGGGGAAACCAGGGCCAGCGAGGGCTGTGCCTGCCGAGACAGCGTGCGTGACCTCGGGGACTCGGCTGGGGTCCAGGATCCGAAACCTTCAGGTGCTACCCCAGCTCCCCTCCCCACACCCCACACACAGCCCCCGGGGCCAGGCGGTGGGGAGTTTTTATTTCTGTGAAACCTTCACCCCAGCCTGAGTCAGCAGCCAGAGCTGGGCTGCCCCATGAAGAAAGCCTGTCAGCAGAATGAGGGGCCGTGGTCTCAGCGGCTCAGGTCCCCGCCTCCCCGCCAGCTTCCTGCAAATGAGAGGGAAGGGGTGAGAAGCAGCCATCGGGTGGGGTGGGGGCTTGGCCTCATGTTATTCTCAGGGAGGAGGCCTTGCTGCGTGTCTCGCACCCGCCACTCCCAAATCCTAACCCTAATCCTCGCACCCCCATTCCCTAACCCTAACCCTCGCACCCCCACTCCCTAACCCTAACCCTCGCACCCCTACTCCCTAACCCTAACCCTCGCACCCCTACTCCATAACCCTAATGTCTCACACACCCCCACTCCCAAATCTCGGCTCCGTGTCCTGCCTGTCTACTGCCAGTGGCATTGGCTATGGCAAGGAAAGGCACTGCTGCTGATGTTTTGGCCAAAGAAAGGGAAGCCTGTGCCCCTTATTAATGGCTGGTCCCTAGACGGGCCTAGATACAGGTGACGATTGCCGTCCTTGGCTGACAGTGATGATAGGGACGCAGGCAGATCCAGCTTCAGTAGCACCATGGGGCTCTCAACCAAGATAGGAGGGAGGGTGGGGGAGAACTGCCCTGGGGCCAGGCCCGGAGGAGATGAGATACCTGGGGATGAGGCGGCCATCGCACAGCGGGACACATGGGGCTGGGAAGTGCAGGGATAGGATGCGGGTAGAGATGTGGGGGCCAGCCTCAGCAGCATAAGAGGACGGGAGTGGAGGGGACTGTGCCAGAGAGTGAGCGGGGAAGGTGAGGTGGGGACAGCCCAGCGGTCACAGTGGGCAGGGTAAGGGCCACTCCATATGGGACAGTGTGGCTGTGAAAGCCAGACGGGCCGGGAGCGGTGGCTCAAGCCTGTAATCCTAGCACTTTGAGAGGCCAAGGCAAGGAGGATCCCTTGAGCCCAGGAGGTCGAGGCTGCAATAAGCTATGATCATGCCACTGCTCTCCAGCCTGGGCGACAGAGTGAGGCCCTATCTCTAAAAAAGTAAAGTCAGAAAAAGGAACAAAAAAGGAAAAGATTTCTGGTATGGTCAGTCTCCACCCAATGTCCTTGCTACACTGTGAAATGAGAAGAGTGATTCGTCTTTGACTCAAGGTCATTGCTGGCTCTCACACTACGCTCCTTACCTCGAGGCAGGGTCCAAGGACATAGCCTTGGCTCAAGTCCCACCTGCGGCCCACCTGCTGCCCACCTGCTTTTCCAGGCTCAGAGCTTCCCCTTGCTTTTTCTTAGCTTGTCAAGAGATAGGAGATTTGAGGCTGGCTTCTGACCCCAGTCAGCTCCCAAAGAGGAGGCCTGGTGAGGTTTCTCTGAACAGAGAGATTTCAGGGAGTCGGACTTGCTTCCGAAGGATGGAGCAGCCACTGGGGTGCCTATATGGACACTTTTAAAGCCTCTTCAATAAGTACAGAAGCCCATAGGTCTTGTTTTTTAAATTAAATATTATAGATAAGCAAATCGCCAAAACGCTGGAAATACACATCACTACTTGGATGAAACTGGCAGGCATTTCTGAACATATATATACATGGAAATGGCATATTCAAAAATAACGAGCTATTCCTACTGCTCTGTAAAATGCTTTAAAAAAAACTTTTCATTTATTCTTGCAAAATTCCTATGAAACCATCTTCTCGCCCTGTCCTTAAATCCTGCTGTGGATGACTCTGAAAGGGGGTTGCCTGTTAAGGCTCCCAGTCCAAGCCTGCAGTATATTTATTCAGGGCCTCTTTTAGGGTCTCCATTTAAGATTTTTTTCTTTCCTTTTGCATATGTGGTAAAATATACATAGTATAAAATTGACCATTTTCACTGTTACTTATTTCTTTTCTTTGAGACGGAGTCTCACTCTGTTGCCCAGACTGGAGTGCAATGGCACAATATCGGCTCACTGCAACCTCCACCTCCTGGGTTCAAGCAATTCTCCTGCCTCAGCTTCCCAAGTACCTGGGATTACAGGTGCGTGCCACCACGCCTGGCTAATTGTTGTATTTTTTGTAGAGATGGGGTTTCACCATGTTGGCCAGGTGGTCTCCAACTCCTAACCTCAGGTGATCCACCCTCCTCGGCCTCCCAAAGTGCTGGGATTACAGGTGTGAGCCACCGTGCCCGGCCTGTTTTTTAATTTTTTTTTCTAAGACAAATAGACATTTTCGGCTGGGCACGGTGGCTCATGCCTGTTATCCCAGCACTTTGGGAGGCCGAGGTGGGCAGATCACTTGAGGTCCGGAGTTCAAGACCAGCCTGGCCAACATGGTAAAACCCTGTCTCTACCAAAAATACAAAAATTAGCTGAGCATGGTGGCACATGCCTGTAATCTCTCAGGAGGCTGAGGCAGGAGAACTCCTTGAACCCGGGAGGCGGAGGTTGAAGTGAGCCAAGATCGCGACACTGCACTCCAGCCTGGGCAACAGAGTGAGAGACTGTCTCAAAAAAAAAAAAAAAAAAAAAAGAGTAAGACATTTTCACCACTTTTAACATCTAGTTCGGTGGCATGAAGCACATTCACACTGTTGTGTGACCATCACCACTGTCCCTCTCCAGGACCCTTTCATCTTCCCAAACAGAAGCTCTGTCTCCATTAAACAACTCCCCATTCCCCCAGCCCCGCCCCTGGCAACCTCCATTCTTCTTTCTGTCCCTGACTTTGACTACTTTAGGGACCTCATGTAAGTGGAATCACACGGTATTTGTCCTTTCGTGTCTGGCTTATTTTACTCAGCGTCATGTCCTGAAGGTCTGTCCGTGCTATAGCACGTGTCAGAATTTCCTCCCCTTTTTAAGACCAAATCATATTCCATTGCACAGATGGACCACGTTTTATGTACCTGTTCATGCATGGATGGACACTTGGGTTGTCCTGATGGCTGCTGTGAACCTGGCTGTGCTCTGTTCAAGGTTTTGGGTCTCCTGCACCCTTCTTTTATTCTTTTCCTTAGAGACAAGGTCTTGCTATGTTGCTCAGGCTGGTCTTGAGCTCCTGGCCTCAATTGATCCTCCCACCTTGGCCTCCCAAAGCCCTAGAATTATAAGCATGAGCCACCGCACCTGGCCTGTGTTTCTTAGAAAGTTGTCCCTGTGGGCCGGGCACAGTGGCTCACACCTGTAATCCCAGCACTTTGGGAGGCCGAGGCGGGTGGATCACAAGGTCAAGAGATCGAGGCCCTCCTGGCTAACATAGTGAAACCCTGTCTCTACTTAAAATACAAAAAATTAGCCAGGCGTGGTGGCGGGTGCCTGTAGTCCCAGCTACTCGGGAGGCTGAGGCAGGAGAATGGCGTGAACCTGGGAGGTGGAGCTTGCAGTGAGCCGAGATTGCATCACTGCACTCCAGCCTGGGTGACAGAGCGAGACTCAGTCTCAAAAAAAAAGAAAAAGACAGAAAAAAGAAAGTTGGCCCCATGGCGGCGTGTGCCTGTAATCCCAGTTACTTGGGAGGCTGAGGCAAGAGAATTGCTTGAACCCAGGAGACGGAGGTTGCAGTGAGCCGAGATTGTGCCATTGCACTCCAGCCTGGGCGACAGAGCGAGACTCCGTCTCAAAGAAAAAATGGCCCTGTGCTCTGGTTGGTTGTGGAGGATGTCTCTAATTGAGCATCTTTTTACCAAGGCCCCTAAGCGTGTCCTCACTCCGTCCAGATTGACCTCGCTGCTCAGTACATAAAGGCTGCCGTGAAGAACGTTCCCTCGGTGTTCCTGATGACAGACTCCCAGGTGGCCGAGGAGCAGTTTCTGGTGCTGATCAATGACCTGCTGGCCTCAGGAGAGATCCCTGGGCTGTTTATGGAGGACGAGGTGGAGAACATCATCTCCTCCATGCGACCCCAAGTCAAGTCCCTTGGCATGAATGACACTCGGGAAACATGTTGGAAGTTCTTCATCGAAAAAGTGCGCAGACAGCTCAAGGTGGGGCTCCCGTCTTCGGCAGGGCCTCAAGAGCCCAGCTTGGTGCCCGTGGCCTACAGGGTATGGGTTTTTGCTCTGCATAGAGCAGGAGGACTGATCCTTCATGGGATGTGAAATCCTGTTAGGAGAGTGTGAGGGGTGGGGCTGTCTGATGAACCGGAGCCTGGAGACTTTTTCACGTGGGTCGTTAGAGGTATCTTGGGGCCAAAAGAAATGTTTTACAGTCGTCCTTTGGTATCTGAGGAGGTTGGATTCCAGGACCGCCATGGATACCAGAATCCACGGAGGGATGGATGCTCAAGGGCCCGATATAAAACAGTGTCGTATTTTTGAAGATGCTCCCCTCTACTTTAAATCATCTCTAGATTACTTATAATACCTAATATAATGTAGAATGCTATGTAAATAGTTGTTATACTATATTTTTATTTGTATTATTTTTTATTATTTTTTTTTAACAATTTTCAGTCCATGGTTGGTTAAATCCACAGATGTGGACAGACAACCGACTCTATGTGGACCCCCTCCCCACACACAGCTAGTTTAAGTAGATAAATGCACCTTGATACTCTCTCTCTCTCTCTTTTTTTTTTTTTTTTTGAGATGGAGTTTCACTTGTCGCCCAGGCTGGAGTGCAATGGCGTGATCTTAGCTCACTGCAACCTCTGCCTCCTGGGTTAAAATGATTCTCCAGCCTCAGCTTCCTGAGTAGCTGGGATTACAGGTGCCCACCACCACACCTGGCTAAATTTTTTATTTTTAGTAGAGACAGCATTTCACCATGGTGGCCAGGCTGGTCTTGAACTCCTGACCTCAGGTGATACACCTGCCTCGGCCTCCCAAAGTGCTGCCTGGCCACACCTTGATTTTCGACATCACCTCTAGGGTAAGCAGGCTAAACTCCCCTAGTAGGACAGAGAACCCCTTGGACCTATTGGCCCCGTCCTCTCCAGAGTTCAGTGGTGCTGCCCTTTGCGGGGTGCCAATCCCATAGCTCTCCTGGACACCTGCCGGCCATCGTTTTCCCCTGCTTGACTCAAACAGAGCAGGGTCCTCCCTCCCCTCTGCGGGCTGCATAGCCCAATTAGTGAATGTTATCTGTGAGCCAAAGGCATCCCCTGATAGGTGCTGCCTGCTCCTGGATCCTCTTTGGTGCCCTGCCAGTGCCGGCTCTGTCCTGCACCCTCACGTCATCACGCAGTGAGGGGTGCAAAGTCAGCTAAGCAGTGAGCCACCCCATTCAATGGCAGCGTCCGTGCAACACCTATGCCACGAAAGGGGACTAGAGAGCAAGAGCAGCTGGGAGGCTGAGACCCATTACAAGGGAGGTCCTTATCTAGCCAGAGAGCCCCCCAGGCCTGTCTCCACAGCACCTTCTCCAGCTGGGATCCCAGGGACTCCCTGCCCTTTCTGGGAATTAGCCACTATCCCTCAGGGCCCAGCGGGGACCCTTCCTGCTGAACCGAAGGGCTTGGGAGCCCGGCCCGTTCTGGGGCCTCATCTGCCCAATGTGGATGCCCACTCCCCATTCCTTCCTTTGCCCGGCCTTTTTTAGAGAGGCAAGGGCCCCTTCCAGAGGGATTGGGACTGCTAGCGAGAGGCATGAAGCCAGATGAGCATTTATCCACGGCAATGCAGCGGCCGCCCTTCAAACCCAGAACCAGGACTGTGCTGCCCAGGCCCTGGGCGGCTGAGCCCGGCAGGGCGCGTTGCTTTCTGGCAGAGCTTTCTGCAGAGTGATGGATTAGGCCCCAGCACTGCAGTCCCAGTAGGCAGCGCATCTGTGTCTCCCACACCCAGGTGATCCTGTGTTTCTCCCCTGTGGGCTCCGTGCTGCGGGTACGAGCCAGAAAGTTCCCAGCTGTGGTCAACTGCACGGCCATCGACTGGTTCCACGAGTGGCCGGAAGATGCGCTGGTGTCCGTCAGCGCCCGCTTCCTGGAGGAGACTGAGGGGATTCCGGTGAGTCACTGAGGCCACCTCTGCCTGAGTGTAGAGCCCAGAGGACAAGGACAGGCCCAAGGGCTGGCTCCCTGGGAGAAAAGGGCGCTGGGATTAGGGTGAGCCAAGTGAGGCGTCCGCCTTGGGCTCAACGTTTAAGAGGCTGCCAGAAACTCAGGCATCAAGATAAGTGAGGTTTTATTTTTTATTTTTTATTTTTTTTTAATTTATTTATTTTTTATTGATAATTCTTGGGTGTTTCTCACAGAGGGGGACTTGGCAGGGTCATAGGACAATAGTGGAGGGAAGGTCAGCAGATAAACAAGTGAACAAAGGTCTCTGGTTTTCCTAGGCAGAGGACCCTGAGGCCTTCCGGCCTTCGGCAGTGTTTGTGTCCCTGGGTACTTGAGATTAGGGAGTGGTGATGACTCTTAACGAGCATGCTGCCTTCAAGCATCTGTTTAACAAAGCACATCTTGCACCGCCCTTAATCCATTCAACCCTGAGTGGACACAGCACATGTTTCAGAGAGCACAGGGCTGGGGGTAAGGTCACAGATCAACAGGATCCCAAGGCAGAAGAAGTTTTCTTAGTACAGAACAAAATGAAAAGTCTCCCATGTCTACTTCTTTCTACACAGACACGGCAACCATCCGATTTCTCAATCCCTTCCCCACCCCTCCCGCCTCTCCATTCCACAAAGCCGCCACTGTCATCCTGGCCCGCTCTCAATGAGCTGCTGGGCACACCTCCCAGACGGGGTGGTGGCCGGGCAGAGGGGCTCCTCACTTCCCAGTAGGGGCGGCTGGGCAGAGGCGCCCCTCACCTCCCGGACGGGGCGGCTGGCCGGGCGGGGGGCTGACCCCCCACCTCCCTCCTGGACGGGGCGGCTGGCCTGGCGGGGGCTGACCGCCCCCACCTCCCTCCCGGACGGGGTGGCTGCCGGGCGGAGAGGCTCCTCACTTCTCAGACGGGGCGGTTGCCGGGCAGAGGGTCTCCTCACTTCTCAGACGGGGCGGCCAGGCAGAGACGCTCCTCACCTCCCAGACGGGGTCTCGGCCGGGCAGAGGCGCTCCTCACATCCCAGATGGGGCGGCGGGGCAGAGGCGCTCCCCACATCTCAGACGATGGGCGGCCGGGCAGAGACGCTCCTCACTTCCTAGATGTGATGGCGGCCGGGAAGAGGTGTTCCTCACTTCCTAGGTGGGATGGCAGCCGGGCGGAGACGCTCCTCACTTTCCAGACTGGGCAGCCAGGCAGAGGGGCTCCTCACATCCCAGATGATGGGCGGCCAGGCAGAGACGCTCCTCACTTCCCAGACGGGGTGGCGGCCGGGCAGAGGCTGCAATCTCGGCACCTTGGGAGGCCAAGGCAGGCAGCTGGGAGGTGGAGGTTGTAGCGAGCCGAGATCACGCCACTGCACTCCAGCCTGGGCACCATTGAGCACTGAGTGAATGAGACTCCGTCTGCAATCCCGGCACCTCGGGAGGCCGAGGCTGGCGGATCACTTGCGGTTAGGGGCTGGAGACTGGCCTGGGCAACACAGCGAAACCCCGTCTCCACCAAAACCAGTCAGGCGTGGCGGCGCGAGCCTGCAATCGCAGGCACTGGGCAGGCTGAGTCAGGAGAATCAGGCAGGGAGGCTGCAGCGAGCCGAGATGGCAGCAGCACAGTCCAGCCTCGGCTCAGCATGAGAGGGAGACCGTGGGGAGAGGGAGAGGGAGAGCGATAAGTGAGGTTTTAATGTAATATTTTTGAAAATCAAATTAGCGCTAAAAAATTCATGATGAACAAATCATCAGAATTGTAAACCAAGGTGGGCTGTTGGGTTTTTTTGTTTCATTGTCCTGCAATCCTGTGCCAGGGAGGGGTGGTTTCCAATCAGCCCCGGCGCAGCCAAGGCTCCAGGGCCAGTTCAGGAAGGCTGAGGACATGCAGCGTGCGGACAGATCGGGCGACTCAGGCTTTCTGCCTTGCCTCGAGCACTTGGCTGGAAAGCCTGTATTTGCTGGAATAAGTATACACAAGGGCACACACCATTGCCTTGTGCACCTCAGAGGAAAGACGGGTCCGACATTCTCTTGCAGTCTCTTTTCATTGAAAGATGGTGCCGAGGGCTGGGGGCAGTGGCTCACGCCTATAATCCCAGCACTTTGGGGGGCCAAAGCGGGCAGATCACTTGAGGTCAGGAGTTCGAGATCAGCCTGGCCAACATGGTGAAACCCCATCTCTACCAAAAATATAAAAAATTAGCCGGGTGTGGTGGTGCATGCCTGTAATCCTAGCTACTCCAGAGGCTAAGGCAGGAGAATCACTTGAACCCGGGAGGCGGAAGTTTCAGTAAGCCAAGATTGTGCCACTGCACTCTAGCCTGGGCAATAGAGCAAGACTCCATCTCAAAAAAACAAAAAACAGTGAAAGATGGCGCCCATGTTCACTGTTTGAGCTCAATGCTTGCCTGGAAATTACCCATAAACCCTGGCTCACTTTTGACCAACTCAGTAGGGGGGATGAGCAGCCCTTGGAATAAACCTCCCTTTATTACCATCTCTTGTTTCTTTTGAACACATATCCAGTTATTAAGTAGGACAGAATAAACCTGAAACTAGCTTCTCTTTTTCCTAGTTTTTAAAGATGGGAAAAAGAGCCTACTTGCCATTAGAGCATTCATTTATGAGACTGGCCACTCCCAGGAACTCTGCAGTTCAAAGGTGTCCCTTGGAGCATAGATTTGGGTTTCTAGTTCCCAAGGCAGAGACTTCCTAGAAACAGGCATTGGCCCCACCACCAGCACTATATATATATACCCTGAAATGTCTGTGTTGGATGAATTCATTACTTTTCAAAATGTCCTGAATTAAAATTAACATTGCTGAGACAATTTCTGGGGCAAAGCTCCCAGTGCCTGCGTTCAGGTAGGTGGGCAGGCCCAGAGGGCTGGGGAAAGAAGTTCTAAATCCCAGGACCCAGCCTTGGTAATGAACAATAAATATTTGCAGAATTACCTGGGATATGAAAACACATTCTCAGCCTTGTACTTTTTCAGGTATGCAGGTATGTGAATGCACATGCACGTGCATATAGGCAGGTATGTGAATGTGTGTGCATGTGTATATGTGCAGGTATGTGAATGCATGTGCACGTGTACATATGCAGGTATGTGAATGCATATGCACGTGTATATATACAGGTATGTGAATGCGTATGCACGTGTATATATACAGGTATGTGAATGCGTATGCACGTGTATATATGCAGGTATGTGAATGCGTGTGCACGCGTATATATGCAGGTATGTGAATGTGCACATATACGTGTGTGTGTATGCATGTGTGTGCATGTATGCGTCTGTGTGTCAGAGATAATGATAATAAGCTCTGCTGTGTCCTGTGCGCTGAGCTAAACCCTTCCATGGTGCAGTGCTCACAAGGGCCCCAGGATCTGTTGCTCTCAGGAGCCCCTTTGGGCAGTTGAAGACACTGAGGTTGAGAGCGGTCTCAGGGCACCTTGTCCAGGGCCCCTGGTGAGTCTGGGGAGCCCCACTTTGCTGATTTGCAGGATGGGGTCCCAGGGATGACTGGCTGTCTCATCTTTGTAGTGGGAAGTCAAGGCCTCCATCAGCTTCTTCATGTCCTACGTGCACACCACCGTCAACGAGATGTCCAGGGTATACCTGGCTACTGAGAGGCGCTACAACTACACCACACCCAAAACCTTTCTGGAGCAGATCAAACTGTACCAGAACCTGCTGGCCAAGAAGAGAACGGAACTTGTTGCCAAAATCGAGAGGCTGGAGAACGGCCTGATGAAGCTGCAGAGCACGGCTTCCCAGGTAGGAGAGGGGGGCTGGCTGCCAGCTCCTGTGCCGTTCCCTGGAGGCCTCGCAGGAGCTGCTACTGTCACAGGCATCCACGGGCTGGTCACACTGGGGCTCAGCACTGCCTAAAGTAAGATGAGCACGCTTCCTGCCTTTGAGAAGCATTTACTCCTAGGCCAGAGTTAGTATACTTGTCGTAACAAAAAACAGACTCAAAATGCTTTCACAATGTTGATTGTATGGAGGGCGCATTACACAGGGGATGGCACCTGCCCCATGTCGGGTGAGATTTGATCATCATGCCCAATGCAGTCAATACAAATGCATTTGTTCATTCGTAAATACCATTCATACCATGGGGCCTGGCTCAAAAACCTCCCTGGATCCTTTCCTCCACACCGTATGGATCTTGAAGGGTTCTGCCTGCTTCAGACCTCCTCCATCGTGCAGTCCCGGCTCCTTCATCTTTATTGCCCACCATTGACACCCTGTGAGGGGGCCTGAAAATAGCTGCCACCTCCCTGCTGGAGTTGTGAACAGACTGGGACCTCCCACTTGCTTCCAGGGGAGCTTTCGCACCCCTGCCCCCACCCCCCCACCCCCCTACCAAACTCTCGCTGTCACTCTCCCACCAGCCTGGAGGGGCCCTGGCCAGCCCTGCTCGGCACTGCAACTCACTTGGCATTTGAGACAGAGTCTCGCTCTGTCATCCAAGCTGGGATGCAGTGGTGCGATCGTGGCTCACTGCAGCCTGGACTTCCTGGGCTCAAGTGATCCTCCCACCTCAGCCTCCCAGGTAGCTGGGACCATGGGCACAGGCCACCATGCCTTGCTAATTTTTTTTATTATTTATACAGACAGGGTCTCACTCGGTTGCCCAGGCTGCAGTTGATATGTTTCTATTCAGTCACCTTGCCAACTCCTTTGAGCACCAGGAATGTCTCATACTTGTGACCCTGTGTACGCAGTCAGGGTTTATAACTTACTTTTAAGATATTGAAAAGACTCTCCAAAACGAGTCACTGGGAGTCGTAAGACACGGCCCTGCCGTTCTGCCCCTCTGTGGCTCCCAGCCCTCGTCTGCCCAGTGCAGGGCGGCGTGTGTCGGCTGCGGCCCACACTTGCTGTTTCTCGGTTTCTCCTTCCCCAGGTGGATGATTTGAAAGCCAAGTTGGCGATTCAGGAGGCTGAGCTCAAGCAGAAGAATGAGAGCGCAGACCAACTGATCCAGGTGGTCGGCATCGAGGCCGAGAAGGTCAGCAAAGAGAAGGCCATTGCTGACCAGGAAGAAGTCAAGGTCGAGGTCATCAATAAGGTAGGTGAAGGCAGCCCAGCGTGCCTTCAGGAAGGCTGCTGCACTGGCCAGGCCTCCTGGGCTTCCACGTGTGGTCAGGTGCCACCGACAGGCGTGGGAAAGGCTGAGACTTACATAGAAGGACAAGGTTCCTAAACCAGTGGGACCCCCGAAGGAGTCTCTCCCAGGGGAGGGCCCCCGCTCAGAAGCAGGCTTTCCTTAGAAAACTCCCATCCCGTGGCCGAGCTCCTCCATGTTCAGCCCCCAGCCTACAGCGGCAGCCTCACCAGAAGCTTGTGAGAAATGCAGGCTCTCGGGCTCCAGCTCAGCTCTGCTCAATGGGGCCTGCATGGTAACGAAATGCCCGCGATCCGTGAGCATGGGAGGGGTTGAGAAGACCTCACTGGAGCCTGGTCCTCAGACGTGCGGCTCCGGGCCCCCCCCGAGAGGGTAGGACGTTACTGGCCTGGGGGTGGGCTCCTTGCTGGTTGGGGGTGGCTGAGGTTGAGAACCACGGCTTAGCGGGAGCGTCTTCATCATCTTTGGAGCCTGAAGGTTACAGCATCATTGGAGCAGCTTCTCATGACCCCTCCCTGGGTGCTTTTTTTGTCATCAGTCCTACATCTGTGTAATTATTGAAGAGCGTTCCAGTCATGGCCCACTGTCTCCTGAGTGAATGAATGAGTATGTACATGAATGAAGGAGGTGCTACTTTCTTAGAGGGGTGTGAGCTATACACTCTGAGACGTTCCATTTTGGATGGATTATGAAACAGCCCCAGAAACAATAAGACTGCAAAGTCAAGGCGGTCTCAGTGGCCCCCGGATTTCCCCTCCAGTCTTGGAAGCTCAAGCCGATAGAAGGAACAGTTCCCATTCCAGAATCCCACCCAACTGTCGAGGCATTGCTCATTCTGACCTGAGCGTTGTGGGGCAGAGTAGAGGCGTCAGGGAGGAAGGTGGGCTCCAGACAGGGGCCAAGCACACACACAGGGATGTCGGCAAAGGAGCACATTCAGCAAATACAGCAAATGAGTGGTGGCCGGAGGGGCAGCCTCTCTTATGGAGCTCAGACCTGCTGGGGCCTGGGCCGCCCCTCACCACTGCTGCCTACACATGCACATATGCACATGGATGCACATACACATACATGCACACACATACACTCATGCACATATATGCACACATACACTCATGCACGTGCATACATGCACACACATGCACACACATGCACACACATGCACGTACACGCCCCCACAGGCACATGGACAGGCCTGCAGTAACCTCTCCTGTCCATCTTCCTTCCAGAACGTCACTGAGAAGCAAAAGGCCTGTGAAACAGACCTGGCCAAAGCAGAACCGGCCCTGCTGGCAGCCCAGGAGGCTCTGGACACTCTGAATAAGGTAAAGGGGGAGGGAAAGAAAGGGGACCCCTGGCCTGGTTGGAGAGGAAGCTGCCTTCGCTGTTGGCGTGGGTGGTGACACACTCATGGCGGCTTCTTCGGGGCATCACCGAGGACCCGGTCCAAACTCCCATCGGACCCATCCCGTCTGTCATTTGCAGAACAACCTGACAGAGCTGAAGTCCTTTGGGTCCCCGCCGGATGCTGTGGTCAACGTCACCGCCGCCGTCATGATTCTGACCGCACCTGGGGGCAAGATCCCCAAGGACAAGAGCTGGAAGGCGGCCAAGATCATGATGGGCAAGGTGGACACCTTCCTAGACTCCCTGAAGAAGTTCGACAAGGAGCACATCCCTGAGGCCTGCCTGAAGGCCTTCAAGTGAGTCGGGGCTGGGCCTCGTAGCCGGGGCTTCCCTCCGATTCTCCATCAGGCCAAGGCACGATGCTGAGGTGAAGCATGGCCTCAGGCTCTTGGGGCCTGTGGCTCAAAATCTAGGCAGCCCCTTCCCCATACAGCACCCCAAGAACACAGCTGACAAGCTCAGCAGCGGGAACCTTCAGGCTACAGGTCTGAGAGAGAGGCCAGCCAGGCCCCACAGAGGTCAGCAGCACCTGTGAGAGCAGCTGACCACACGAGCACATGCATTGCACACACGAATACCGTCCCCAAAATGTAACACCTGCCACGTCATCTCGTCTGCATCTCATCCCTCTAACCTTATAGTTTCAGTCTCCTGGTGCCCGACTTGGAAAACTGGGCAATGCCACTGTGGGGTAATGGGAGTGGGAGAGCAGAGCCGGTGGGGGGTGGCCTCTAGGGCCAGCCTGACTGTGTGAATCCCAGCGCTGCCCCTCCAGAGCTGTGCCACCCTGGGCAAGACACTCAGCTTCTCTGGGCCCGTTTTGCCAGAGCAGGACAGGGTGACGACTCCGGCCCTCTGGTTCCCTCGCTAGGCCCTACCAAGGCAACCCGACGTTCGACCCCGAGTTCATCCGCTCCAAGTCCACGGCCGCCGCCGGCCTGTGCTCCTGGTGCATCAACATCGTCCGCTTCTACGAGGTCTACTGCGACGTGGCGCCCAAGAGGCAGGCACTGGAGGAGGCTAATGCAGAGCTGGCAGAGGCACAAGAGAAGCTGTCCCGGATCAAAAACAAGATTGCCGTAAGTGCCGGCTCGCTCCCGTCCCTGCGAAACACCAGAGCCGCTTGCTCGCGCTGCCAGTCAATACCTCTGTTGAAAATGGGTTGGCACGGCCCGCCGTCATGAATTATTCAGCAGTGCAAGAGGATGCAGGCAGAGGCAGGGGCCAGATGGTGCCGGGAGCCGCTTGGTGTCCTTAGCCTCCATGCTCCAGAGGGCTCTCAGCCTTTGTGGGAGCCTCTTCCACGCTCAGCGCTCACAGGGCCCAGCCCTGCTGCCGCTGCAGGGGGCTAGAGATGCCTCGTGGGGTTTTCCAGCAGCTTTCCAACTTGGTTTTGCAGGAACTTAACGCCAACCTGAGCAACCTAACCTCAGCGTTTGAAAAAGCAACAGCTGAGAAAATCAAGTGTCAGCAAGAGGCCGATGCCACGAACAGGGTGATCTTACTGGCGAACAGGTATCAGCTCCTCCCCGAGACCACCCTCCTGCTCTCAGACCCCCTGAAAGGGACAAGCCCACACAACTGCCTTGGGAGGAAGAGGAGGGAGCCCAGGTGGAAGCAGCCAGGTTGCCACTTTCACTTCTTGAGCTCAAAGTAATTAGGATAAAACTTGGCCTCTTGCATAGTCAGTGGCCTCCACAAAATATGCCCTGTCGCGTGGTTCCAAGTAACCCACACTGGCCTGGGACACTGGGTCCCACGGGGCTTGATCCGGGGCATTACTCGGTCATAACCCACTTTCAGCCACCACGTGGCTTCCAGGATCCTTTCGCAGCCAGTGGACAGTCATTTCACGGATTACATCATGGTTTGGGGCTCCAGAGTAGCGTCGTCCACTAGGGATATAATGCCAGGTGCCAGATGTGGATGTGTCACCTTAACTTTTCCAGCAGCCACATTTAAAAAGTACAGAGGCTGGCTGGGCACAGTGGCTCACGCCTGTAATCCCAGCAGTTTGGGAGGCCGAGGCAGGCGGATCACTGGAGGTCAGGAGTTCGAGACCAGCCTGGCCAATATGACGAAACCCCATCTTACTAAAAATACAAAAATTAGCCAGACTAGCTGGGCGCAGTGGCTCACGCCTGTAATCCCAGCACTTTGGGAGGCCAAGGTGGGTGGATCACCTGAGAACAGGGGTTCGAGAGCAGCCTGGCCAACATGGTAAAACCCTGTCTCTACTAAAAATACAAAAATTAGCTGGGTGTGGTGGCAGTCGCCTGTTATCCCAGCTATTTGGGAGGCTGAGGGAGGAGAATCACCTGAACCCAGGAGGCGGAGGTTGCAGTGAGCCGAGATCGCGCCATTGTACTCCAGCCTGGGTGACAAGAGTAAAACTGTCTAAAAAAAAAAAAAAAAAAAAAAAGCCAGGCACGGCTGTGCGCACCTGTAGTCCCAGCACTTGGAGGGCTGAGGTGGGAGTTTGAAACCAGCCTGAGCAACATAGTGACACCCCATCTCTACAAAAAAATTTTTTAAGTACAAAGAAACAGTTATAATTTTATTTAACCCCAAATATCCAAAATATTATTTCAACACGTAACTAATATAAAAATTATCAATGAGGTATTTCCTGTGCTTGTTTTCATCCTGAGCCCTGACACCCTGCATGTCTTTTTTTGTTTTTTTGTTTTGTTTTGTTTTGTTTTGGAGACAGGGGAGTCTCACTCCGTCACCCAGGCTGCAGTACAGTGGCACGATCTTGGCTCACTGCAACCTCCATCTCCCGGGTTCAAGTAGTTCTTCTGCCTCAGTCTCCCAAGTAGATGGGACCACAGATGCGTGCCACCACACCCGGCTAATTTTTGTATTTTTAGTAGAGACAGGGTTTCACCATGTTGGCCGGGGTGGTCTCGAACTCCTGACCTCAGGTGATCCACCTGCCTCGGCCTCCCAAAGTGCTGGGATTACAGGCGTGAGCCACCACGCCCGGCCCCTTCATGCCTTTTAACACAGAGCACATCTCAGAGCAGACCTGCCGTGGTCCCAGTGTTTGGGAGCCCCAGGGCTGGCAGCTGCCTGCTGAACAACAGGGGAGTGTGCCTTTCCTGTTCTCACAGGGGAGCACCCGGAGCCTCAGCAGAGCCTGGGGCTGAGTCTGTTCCAGGCCTGCAAGCTGTGTTTTCTCCTCCCAAGTGGGTGGCTGCCACTGATGGGCCAGTTGTCAGCTGTGAGTGCCCCAGGCTGCATGAGGCTGGTCTTCAGGGTGGTGCCCCGGGTATGAGGGATTTAACCTCACCTGCCAAATCGAAATGGTCTCTAGGTCACTGGGAAGTAAGGGCTGCTCAGATGGTGCCACAGACAGACCCTCAGTGGCTCTAACAGGCAACCTGGACTTGCAACAAACATGCCAACACTTTCAGACCCGTGGTGTGCCTCTGAGGGTTAGGGACCAGTCCTCAAGATGGTGGCCCGAGAAGCACGAGGCGCATCGTGGAGTCCCCATTCCATGCAGGGCCAGGTGCCTTCTGGATGCCACATTGTTCTGTGGCCACCGTGGTCCTCACCCGGGCTCTGTCACCAGCTGGTCGAGACAGTGCTCTGTGGTATCTGGCAGCATCTTCAGCACAGGAGAGAGGCAATCAAATGGCATCAGCCATAGCCGGGTGTCAATGTGGGCAACTTGGGTGTCAATGCGGGTGACTTGGGAAGAGGAAACACAGCATTCCTAAGGGCTGCCAAGGAGTTTTTTGTTTGTTTTATTTTTTGTTTTTGTTTTTGTTTTGAGATGAAGTCTTGCTCTGTTACCCAGGCTGGAATGCAGTGGCCCAATCTCGGCTCCCTGCAACCTCCGCCTCCCGGGTTCAAGCAATTCTCCCGCCTCGGCTTCTTGAATAGCTGGGATTACAGGCATGGGCCACCACGCCTGGCTAATTTTTGTATTTTTAGTAGAGACGGGGTTTCACCATATTGGCCAGGCTGGTATCGACCCCCTGACCTCAAGTGATCCACCCGCCTCAGCCTCCCAAAGTGCTGGGATTGCAGGCATGACCACCACGCCCGGCCACAAAGCATGATTCGGGCTTCTCTAAAGCATTTCCTCCCAAAAGCATTTTCATCATTGAGCCACTGAGCCAGGTGCAGACGGGAAACTCTGAAGATTCACAGAGGTGCAGAGGTGGAGGCTTGTCTGGTCCAGTCCCCTCACTTGTGCAAATATGTTTTATTCTCTCTCATCCCACTTTAGGCTGGTCGGGGGATTAGCATCGGAAAACATCCGCTGGGCTGAGTCTGTGGAGAACTTCAGGAGCCAGGGGGTCACGCTGTGTGGGGACGTCCTGCTCATCTCTGCCTTCGTGTCCTACGTGGGCTACTTCACCAAGAAATACCGGAATGAGCTGATGGAGAAATTCTGGATCCCTTACATACATAACTTAAAGGTAAGGAGTGGAGTCCTGGCCAGGCGCGGTGGCTCACGCCTGTAATGCCAGCACTTTGGGAGGCCGAGGCGGGCGGATTACTTGAGGCCAGGAGTTCATGAGCAGCCTGGCCAACATGGTGAAACCCCATCTCTATTAAATTTAAAAAAAAATTAGCCAGGCTTGGTGGGGGGCGCCTTAATCCCAGCTACTGGGGAGGCTGAGGCAGGAGAATCACTTGAACCTTGGAGGCGGAGGTTGCAGTGAGCAGAGATCACACTACTGCATTCCAACCTGGACGACACAGCGAGACCCCATCTTAAAAAAAAAAAAATGGAGTCCTACTCATCACTCGGGAAATGTGGGGAGGTCCCAGCAGGGCAGAACCAGCCACATGGCACCTTGACTTCCGTGATGAGGCTCAGGCCCCTTTGGGGATGAGAATGTGGCCCAGTGGCATTGCATGGTGGCTCACGCCTGTAATCCCAGCACTTTGGGAGGCTGAGGCAGGCAGATCACCTGAGGTCAGGAGTTCAAAACCAACCTGGCCAACATGGTGAAACCTCGTCTCTACTAAAACTACGAAAATTAGCTGGGCATGGTGGCGGGCACCTGTAATCCCAACTACCCAGAAGGCCAAGGCAGGAGAATCTCTTGAACTCGAGAGACAGAGGTTACGGTGGGCCAAGATCACACCACTGCACTCCAGCCTGGGTGACAGAGTGAGACTCTGTCAGGGGAAAAAAAAAACGTGGCCCGGTGTTGCTGTGCTGACATCGTTTCTGGCCGAGTTACAAAGCTGCTCTGTCCAGAGTGATGGAAATGGCTGGCTTCTCCCAGGTCGTCCTGCTGGTCCACCCCTAACCGCAGCACCAGACAGAGCATTATTTGGAGAGCTATTTTCTAGTAAGTAATAAGGTCGCATTACCCCCTCTAAGAAA
Organism: Homo sapiens; assembly: GCF_000001405.40. Classification (NCBI taxonomy): domain Eukaryota; kingdom Metazoa; phylum Chordata; class Mammalia; order Primates; family Hominidae; genus Homo; species Homo sapiens. Next base: position 78,454,723 of record NC_000017.11, on the reverse strand, counting down.
GTGTGCCTCCCTGGGCAGGTCCCCATCCCGATCACGAATGGCCTGGATCCCTTGAGCCTGCTGACAGATGACGCGGACGTGGCCACCTGGAACAACCAGGGCCTCCCCAGCGACCGCATGTCCACCGAGAATGCCACCATCCTGGGCAACACCGAGCGGTGGCCGCTGATCGTGGACGCCCAGCTCCAAGGAATCAAGTGGATCAAAAACAAATACAGGAGTGAACTGAAAGCCATCCGCCTGGGACAGAAGAGGTGTGTGCGGGCGCAGGACCTGGGCCGAAGCCCGGCTCTGCTTGGAAGCACGCCTTAGGCATTCCATATTGGTTCAATGGATGGGTGGGTCTTTCAATACAAGTACTAGCCCACAGGTTTTAAATCTGGCCTGGGGAACAGCAGCAGTAGTAAAGAATGAAATGAGGAGCTCTTTTCCCTTCCCCTGTCCCCATCACCTGCTGCTCCTGCAGGGAAAGGAGAGTGAGACGGAGGCTCAGGCCTGGGGTTGCCTCCCGCTTGGCCATTTGCTGGCTGGGAGGTTTGAGGCTGGTCATGTTCCTGGGTCTCGTGGTCTGTATTCTCATCACAGTTGAGAAACAATGGCTATAACGACACAGGTACAGTGATGCCCTGCTTCCTAGCGGTGCTGGAAAATCCAATGGCGGGTGGATATGAAAACATTTGTCTCTGTGGCCATAAAGCTACTCAAAGCTGCTTCCAGCCCGGGTGTGGTGGCTCGTACCTGTAATCTCAGCACTCTGGGAGGCTGAGGAAGGAGGATCGCTTGAGCTCAGGAGTTTGAGCCCAGCCTGTGCAACATAGTGAGACCTTGTCTCTCCAACAAAAAACAAAAAACAAACAAACAAAAAAAACCTAGTTGGGTGTGGTGGCATGAGCCTGTAGTCCCAGCTACTCAGGAGGCTGCGATGGGAGGATCACTTGAGCCTGGGAGGTCAAGGTTGCAGTGAACCCTGCTCATGCCACTGCACTCCAGCCTGGGCCAGAGAATGAGACCCTGTCTCAAAAAGCAAAACTGTTTCCATTTTCATCTCCACTCCCATAAGAGCACGGGGGCAGTTTACAAAGAAGCCCCTCGGCTCCTTTCAGGAAAGGGCGAGCTGTTGGGAACAAGTTGTGGGCTCCTAGGTCACCCCTCGCTTGGCGCTGTCTCGCTCAGAGGGCAGGGGCTGCTGGTCGGAGCGTGCGCACCGTTCCATCACGAGGCCCTCTGCCATGAACCAGCTTCCGTGTTGTGCCCGCAGCTACCTGGATGTCATCGAGCAGGCCATCTCGGAAGGGGACACCTTGCTCATTGAGAACATCGGCGAAACCGTGGACCCCGTGCTGGACCCTCTACTGGGCAGGAACACGATTAAAAAGGGAAAGTGAGTTGTTTCCGCCTCCGTGGCTTGAGCCAGGTAAACATCTTCAGGCCCGAGGCCTGGGCGTGTGCATGTAGAGAAAACGCCCGGAATTTCCTTTGCTTCCCTGGTAAGCAGCAAGGGCTTTGACAAAGTGCCTGCTGGTGGGAAGGAACCCCCAGCTCCTGAGGAAAGACTGGAAAGAGGGGCCACTTCCCAATTAGGAATATCTCCGCCAACATTTTATCAGTGATGGCCTCCAGATGGGGAGGCTTGAAGGTGATGTCTGTCTTCATTCTGTTCTTAGGCATTTTGCAAATCTTGGGACTGCATTACCTTTAAAAATTCACATAACGTAAAATTAACCACATTAAAATACACAATTGAGCATTTGGTACACTCACGATGTTGTACAAACACATCTGTCCAGTTGCACATTTTCACCACCCCGAAAGGAAGCCCTGTACCCACTCTTCTTCATTCCCCTCCCTCCTGAGCCCTAACATCCACTACTCTGCTCTCTGTGTCTGTGGATTTGCCTATTCTGGACATTTCCTCTGAAGAGAATCAAGCAACATGTGTCTTTTTGTGTCTGGCTCTTTTTACTCAGCATTTTTTGTTTGTTTTTTGAGATGGAGTCTCGCTCTGTCGTCCAGGCTGGAGTCCAGTGGTACGATCTCTGCTCACTGCAGCCTCTGCCTCCTGGGTTCAAGTGATTCTCCTGCCTCAGCCTCCCAAGTAGCTGGGATTACAGGAACACACCAACGTGCCCAGCTAATTTTTGTATTTTTAGTAGAGACGGGGTTTCCCCATGTTGGCCAGGATGATCTCGAACTCCTGACCTCAGGTGATCCACCTGCCTCGGCCTCCCCAAGTGCTGGGATTACAGGCGGGAGCCACCGCGCCCGGCCTTTACTTAGCATGTTTTTTGGGGTCATGCACGTGGTCGCATGTGTCAGTCCTTCATTCCTCTTGATGGCAGAATCATTTTCCACGTGTGGCCGGGCGCATTGTGTTTGTCCACTCATCAGCTGATGCGTGGAGCTTGCATTATTCATTTTACAATTTTAAAAAATTAAATCTACTTTAAAAATGTAAATGTCAGAGCTGACAGGAGCCACCTTTAAATGCAGAGATGCATGCAGAAACCCAGAACCCAGGAGGTGGCAAATCAATATGCAGAGGTCCTAGACTCTGGGAGGGGCCTGGTGTGAGTGCTGAGGGGTGAAGCTAGCCAGAGGCCCCTCAAAGTGAGCCCAGCTACAAAGAGGGGACAGCAGGGTGTAGAGCCGGAGAGAAGCGCCCCCCACAGTGGATGAGCAGACCCAGGGTTGCAGTCCTGGGAGCTTCCAGAATGGACGAATGTTGTAAATGAGTCTGGGTGGAGGCCAAGCAGAAGGTTTCGGTCAGGGCTCCCAGGGGAGGACAGAGTATCGCCAGAGGGGTGTAAACCCTGCTGCAAAGATGAGCCTGATCACCCAAGGAAAGAGCAGGTGCATCTCCCAGAAGGGCCCACGTCACAGGCCAGGGAGGAGGAACAGACAAGGAGAGGTGCAGTGCTCTTCCAGGGACCAGAAGGGAGGGTTCAAGGTGGCGGCCTGGCCTGGGGCTGGGGTGAAAGGTGGTCTGTACTTGTGTTCCTCTCCCCTGGTCACTGGGAGGCCCACTAACCCTTTCCTCCACCAACCGCCAGGTACATTAAGATCGGTGACAAGGAGGTGGAGTACCACCCCAAGTTCCGCCTGATCCTACACACCAAGTACTTCAACCCACACTACAAGCCAGAGATGCAGGCTCAGTGCACCCTCATCAACTTCCTGGTCACCAGGGATGGACTCGAGGACCAACTCTTGGCCGCTGTGGTGGCCAAAGAGCGCCCAGATCTGGAACAGCTGAAGGTAATGGCCTGAAGTTTGGTCACACGGGAGGAGGTGCCGTCCCACACAGAGGGGGCCAGGTCACTGTGAGGGTCCCCGACCAGGGCTGCCAGTCCAGTGTGTGTCGTTGCTTCTCTCTGAAGGTGCCTCAGTGTGTCCCACGGCATCACAGCTTCTCATACGACAGGATGGCTCATTTCCTTCCCCAGCTGTCCCCTCTTCCTGCTCCCAAATTTAATTCTAAGTCACATGACCTCTTTGCTTAAAGAACATGAGTCACAGCGGTCCTCGGGGGCTCTAAGCTCCAAAGCGCTGCCCTGCAAGAATGGCCTGGCTGCCAGCCCTTGCACCTGCCACATTTCTGGCTGTTATAGCCACTTGCATGGGCTCAGGAGGCCCAGGCCCGCCTGTCCCCGTTCTGCCCCCTACAGTCTCCGTGACAGGAAGCCTCAAGGCTGGGAGCAGGGCCAGGGCCTCTCTGAGGTTCCAGGGGCTCTGCTTCTGCAGCCCCTTCCAGGACCTGAGCTCGTTCCTCCCGCTCAAAGCCTGGGCCTTGGCTCAGCTACATGGCCACCTGAGGGAGGCCCGGGTGCCCGGTGGACAGAGCCAGGCAATGCAGTGACTCCTGCACCTCCCCTTGCAGGCAAACCTCACCAAGTCTCAAAACGAATTTAAGATTGTTCTGAAAGAGCTGGAAGATTCGCTCCTGGCCCGTCTGTCGGCTGCGTCGGGGAACTTTCTGGGAGACACGGCCTTGGTGGAGAATCTGGAGACCACCAAGCACACAGCCAGCGAGATCGAGGAGAAGGTCAGAGCTGCCTCGGTGACGTGCCCTGGCAGCCAGGGCTTGGGAGGCTGGGCCACGGGCGATCGGCGCCTCCCTACCATGAGAAAGGAGAAAAGCAGCTTCGGTCATACGTGCCCGAGTGGGCCCAGGGCAGGAGAAGGGGTCTGGGCTCCCATCCTGCACCCAGCTGCTGCTGAGAGCCCTTGGGTGGCTTCCCAGGGAGCGAGGCTGGTGGCTGGGAATGAGCCCACCTGCTCATGGCACTGCCCATCTGCTGTGTCATTCACACCCCTTTTGTTTGTGTCGAGGTGGTGGAGGCAAAAATCACAGAAGTTAAAATCAACGAAGCGAGAGAGAACTACCGCCCGGCTGCGGAGAGGGCATCTCTGCTCTACTTCATACTGAACGATCTCAACAAAATCAACCCCGTCTACCAGTTCTCCCTCAAGGTGCGCCCTGCAGCTGGGGCTGGGTGCCTCCCTCAAGGTGGGGCTGCATCTGGGCTCCACAGCCAGGCCTGTTGCCCACACAGCCATCGGGCAGTGCCAGGGCCACCCTCAGAGGGCAGACCTGGTCCAGCCTGCAGATGGAGCTGGAAGAGGGGGAGCCAGGGGCCCCCATCAGTCCTACACCCATTCTCCCCAGGAGAGGGTATGAGCTGCTCCCTCCTCCCTGCTCTTCCCCTGGTGCCTCCAGGCACTCACAACCCAATCAAAACAAACTGGATGGCCTGGCATGGTGGCTCATGCCTGTCATCTCAGCACTATGGGGGGCCGAGGCGGGTGGATCACCTGAGGTCAGGAGTTCAAGACCAGCCTGACCAACATGGTGAAACCCTGTCTGTACTAAAAATAAAAAAAAATTAGCCAGGTGTGGTGGTGTGCGCCTTGGGAGGCTGAGGCAGGAGAATCGCTTGAACACTGCAACCTCCCTCACTGCAGAGGGTGCAGTGAGCCAAGATCACGCCACTGCACTCCAGCCTGGGCGACAGAGCAAGACTCTGTCTCAAAGAAACAAAACAAACTGGAGGCCACCACAGGTGGCAGGGAGTGGTGGCGGGGAGTGGTGAAGGGCTCCATCTCTGCACGCCTCCATGGCTCTCGGTGGCGGATCCCCAGGCCTTCAACGTGGTGTTTGAGAAAGCCATCCAGAGGACCACCCCTGCCAACGAGGTGAAGCAGCGGGTGATCAACCTGACGGACGAGATCACCTACTCCGTCTACATGTACACGGCCCGGGGACTCTTCGAGAGGGACAAACTCATTTTCCTGGCACAAGTTACGTTTCAGGTAATGTCTAGCCTCACTGTTCCTAGTGTGGTCCGTGGACCAGCGGTGTCACTGACCCCTGGGAGCTTTGTGGAAAGGCAGATTGTTGGGCCCCCACCCAAACCTGGTGATTTCAAACCCGCATTTTAGCAATATACCCAGGTGATTATAAAGTCTGAGATGCCTGACGTGGAACAGGCCTGGGGCTCTCCTAGTTGATATTTGGGAAGCTGGCACAGTATTCCAATGGGAGCTAGTGAAGGGGTGGTGTTTTAAGGAGAATTTCACAAGGAAATTCATTTTACATGTAAGTTGTGCTGAGTAAATAGTCCTGCATTAGTGCTTAGCCCACTGTGGGGTGACTGATGTTTCTTAAGAAATAAGTGTATGAATAAACAAATATTCCTCCTGTTTATACAGCCCTGCTAAAATATTTAAAGATCTGCATTCTCTGAAATTGATTAAACAGCCTGTCTTAATTTGTTTTGTGCGGCTATAACAGAATACCCAAGGCTGAGTAATCTATAAACAATAGAAATTTATTTCTCATGGTCCTGGGGTCTGGGAAGTTCCATATGAAAGTGCTGGCATCTGGCAAGGGCCTTCTTGCTGTGTCATCCCATGGTGGAAGGCTAGAGGGCGAGAGAGAGCACAAAACGGGCCAAACTCCTTGTGTAACAAACCCACTCCCTTGATCATGACATTAAGCCATTCACTCTGCTGTCACGGCCCAACTGCCTCTCAGACCCCACCTCCCAACACTGTTGCACTGAGGATTCAGTTTCCAACATATGCTTTTTGGGGAACACATTCAAACCATAGTACAGCCCCTCTGCAATTTCCTTTACACTGTGCCATAAGTATGGTTGGAAACACTAGTTTTTGTTGTTGTTGCTACTGCTGCTATTTTGAGACAATCTCACTCTGTCACCCAGGCTAGAGTGCAGTGGTGCAATCATAGTTCACTGTAGCCTTGAATTCCTGGACTCAAGCAATCCTCCCACTTCAGCCGCCTCAGTAGCTGGGACTACAGGCATGTGCCACCATGCTAGGCTAATTCTTCAGTTTTTTAATTTTTTATTTATTTATTTATTTTTTAGTAGAGACAAAGTCTCGCTCTGTTGCCCAGGCCGGTCTTGAACTCCTGGGCTCAAGTGATCCTTCTGCCTCAACCTCCCTGTAGCTGGGAATACAAGTGTACACTGCTGTGCCTAGCTAATTTTTTTTTTTTTCTGTTCTGGTTTTTTTGTTTGTTTGTTTTTTAGACGGAGTTTTCCTCTTGTTGCCCGGGCTGGGGTGCAATGGTGCAATCTCAGCCCACCACAACCTCCACCTCCCGGGTTCAAGCAGTTCCCCTACCTCAGTCTTCCGAGTAGCTGGGATTACAGGCATGCACCACCATGCCTGGCTAATTTTTGTATTTTTAGTTGAGACGGGGTTTCTCCATGTTGGTCAGGCTGGTCTCGAACTCCCGATCTTAGGTGATCCACTAGCCTCGGCCTCCCAAAGTGCTGGGATTACAGGCATGAGCCACCGCACCCGGCCCTAATTTTTTAAAATGTTTTTAAAGAAACAGGGTCTTGCTACATTGCCCAGGCTGGGCAACACTAATTGTATAAACAGGTTGGGCATCAGTGTAAGCCTGGCTTTCAATTCAAACTCAAACTTTGAACCAATGGGGTCCATATTATGAAGGTTCCTTTTACATGTGAATCTCTGAATCATAGGTTCACTATGAGATTTTCTCCTGGCTGAGAGGTCATCAGGATAAGAGTTCCTCAGTGCTCCCCCTAATTTTCCAGGGTAGAAAGCATTCTCTTTGGTCCCAAAGAACGTTTTGTTTGACCAAAAGAAAGAGTCCAGCTCAGGAAGAAACTCTCTATGGGATCTGAAAAACAGACCGTTTGGGCACTTGACTGAGGAGATGGCAGTGGCCATTGCCCCTGCTCCCAGCCACCTGCTGCCCATCTGAGACAGAGGGTGCCAGGTTAGCTGCCCAATACACCACTTCAAAATGACCCAGACCCTGCCCACAGGAGGTCCAGAGGGCCGGCATGCACAAGCGACAAGATGGCATGGAATATGACCCAGGCTTCCACTTCTGGGCACACACCCACAAGACCTGTAAACAGGTGTCCAGCATCTGTCCACATTCCTGTACATCAGCATTCACAACAGCATTAATCGCAGCAGCCAAAAGCCAGATGAGGCCGGGCACTGAGGCTCATGCCTAGTATCCCAACACTTTGGGAGGTCAAAGCAAGAGGATCACTTGAGGCGGTTTGAGACTAGCCCAGTCAATATAGCAAGACCCCATCTCCACAAAAAAATAGCTAGGTGAGGTGATGTACACCTGTAGTCCCAGTTACTTGGGAGGCTGAGATAGGCGGGTCACTTGAGCCCAAGAGTTCAAGGCTGCAGTGAGCCATGATCACAGCACTACACTCCAGCCGGGGCAACAGAGCAACACCCTGTCTCTCAAAGACAACAAGGCCGGGCACAGTGGCTCTCACCTGTAATCCTGGTACGTTGGGAGGCCAAGGTGGGCAGATCACTTGAGGCCAGTAGTTCAAGACCAGCCTGGCCAACACGGTGAAACCCTGTCTCTACAAAAAATGCAAAAATTAGCCGGGCATGGTGGCACACACCTGTAATTCCAGCTACTTGGGAGGCTGAGGCAGGAGGATTGCTTGAACCCAGGAGGTGGAAGTTGCAGTGAGCCGAGATTGCGCTACTGCGCTCCAGCCTGGGTGACAGAGTGAGACTCTGTCTCAAAAAAATAAATAATAATAAATAATAAAATAAATTTAAAAAATCAGCAAAGCTAATCAATTCACAACAGCCAAAACGACCCGCTGTCCATCAGCAGGTGAATGGAGAATGCCAGCGTGGTTATATTCAAGAATGGAGTATTACTCGGCCTTACAGAGGAAGGAGGTTCTGACACATCTACAATATGGATGAACCTCAGAAGCATCACGCTAAGTGAAAGATGCCAGATGCAAACGGGGCATGTCGTGTGCTTCCATTTATACAAAGCATCCACAACAGGGGCATCCCTAGGCAGAAGGCAGATGAGCAGCTCTCAGAGGCAAGGGGCGATGGGGAGTGGCTGCTTCAGGGGCGAGGGGGTAACAAAAAAGTCCTGGAACTAGAGAGTGCTGATGGTTGCACGATGCTGCGAATCATGTGAAATGCCACTGAATTGCACACTAAAATATGGTTACAATTGTCAATTTTTTTTTTTTTTTTTTTTTTTTTGAGACAGAGTCTCACTCTGTTGCCCAGGCTAGAGCGCAGTGGCGTAATCTCGGCTTACTGTAACCTCTGCCTCCCAGGTTCAAGTGATTCTCCTGCCTCAGCATCCCGAGTAGCTAGGACTACAGGCATGCACCACCACGCCCGGCTAATTTTTTTGTATTTTTAGTAGAAACAGGGTTTCACCATGTTGGCCAGGCTGGTCTCGAACTCCTGAGCTCAAGTGATCCACCCCCTCCTCGGCCTCCCAAAGTGCTGGGATTACAGGCGTGAGTCACTGTGCCCGGCCAAAATGGTCAATTTTATGGTATGTGTATTTCACAACTTAAAAAGCGAGACGAGGTGAAGACAAAACTTTACCCCAAACCAAAGGGGCAGGACAGGGCGCCCCCTGCAGGCCGGGAGTGTGAACTCCTCTTCGAGTCCAGCGCGCATCTTCAGGGCTGCTGACGTTTTACTGGCTGCGTTAAGTGTGTACACCTCGATGTTCCCCCAGGTCCTGTCCATGAAGAAGGAGCTGAACCCAGTGGAGCTGGATTTCCTCCTGCGGTTCCCTTTTAAGGCCGGAGTGGTCTCACCAGTGGACTTCCTCCAGCATCAAGGCTGGGGCGGGATCAAGGTTCGTCTTTAGACGTTGAACACGTTGTGCTTTCTCCCCGCCGTGGAGCCCCCTCCAGCTGATGCTGCGGATGTTTCCAAGGCCAGAATACCAGGCTCTGTGGCCCATAAATTCAGTAAAGCAAGGAGGCCCCGCACATAGGGATGGAGACCAAGATGGGCTGGCTGCCAGCTCACAGATAGCTCTGCGTTCCTATAGGGAATGTGACATGTGTTAGGTCCCTGAGACCTGCACACAGCAAGCAGAGAGTGATATCCTCTGGGGGCCAGAAGAGGCCTCAGGGCCTCTTACCATCCCTCCCTCAACCTCTCCTCCTCCCCCCAGCCTCCCCTCCTCCCCCCAGCCTCCCCTCCTCCCAGCGTAAGGGAAGTGGCAAGTGAAAAGTTTGTTCTTCAGATTCCTGGACACAGTCAGGGACCCTCGAGTCTCAAGGTCTGTTCAAAAAGACCTGAAGAAGGTCGTCCCCTGAGCTAGAATGGCCCCATTTGCAGAGACCCCTAGAGAAGCAGCCCCTAGCCCATCCCAGGCCTCATGTCCGCAGGTTAGACCCTGCCGAGGAGGCTCCCGGCGCTGTCCTGGGATGCCTGAGCTGGGCATGGACAGCTCCTGCTTTGGTGGCCAGCCTCTCGGGCTTCCTTATCCCAGAGCCCCGGTTTCCTCGGAGGGTAATGGCCTCTCCTCCTTGAATGAACTGTACAGGAAGGCTCTCGGGACCCGGGTAAGTGGGAAGAGTCACAGGGCCCGCTGCCTCTGCCCCTAGGCCCTCTCGGAGATGGATGAGTTCAAAAATCTGGACAGTGACATCGAAGGATCTGCCAAGCGCTGGAAAAAGCTGGTGGAGTCGGAAGCCCCCGAGAAGGAGATCTTCCCCAAGGAGTGGAAGAACAAGACGGCCCTGCAGAAGCTGTGCATGGTGCGCTGCCTGCGGCCAGATCGCATGACCTACGCTATCAAGTGAGTGTCCCGCCGCGCCGGGGGCCCCGCCCCCGAGGCCCAGGCCTGATGGAAGCTTGACCGAGCGGCTGTGCTAGACTCTCTGTGGACTTGAGTTGATCCCCTGAACTTTTTTCTTCTCCCCATTTTACACAGAAACGAAACAGGGCTTAGAGGGGTAAATCATTTCACACAAAGTTCTTCGAGGACAGAGGCAGGATTCCACCCCAGGCTGCGGACTCCAGTCCTGAGTTCTTGTTAATCCTTAATGTCTCAGAGTATCATTAGGGGAACCCCTTGTCCCCCGCTAACCTGACTGAGGAGGGGTGCCCTGCGATACATGATAGGAAGAAAAGACTCCCCACATGAGCCTCCTACATTGAAAGTAAGATGTCAAGTGTGGACGTGAATAAGCACTGAGGCCATACAAATGGGGTCCTTTTAAGATGTTTTGAGGGAGAAAACAATGGCAAACCCATCAGCATTCGAGGACTTTGAGTACCTCTGTGGCAAAACGTAAAGTCAATCGAGGTATATTAGTATGGCTAGTTTGCAAGAGAACTGTTCTGATTTCACCAACAATTTCTCCAGACCTGAAACCCTTCCCTGTTGGAAGGATGGGCTGTTGAAGGAAGGAGGTGACGTTTAGCACAGAAACGAGCCTGGGGTCTGTCCTCAGAGCACCTGTGGCCTGTCTGGCTTCTCCCCTTTTCATTTCTCCAAGTAGCCTGAAAGCAGCCAGGTTTCCCAAAGGACACTCATGTCCCTAATAGAATTACCCTCTGATGGCCAGGTGCAGTGGCTCACACCTGTAATCCCAGTACTTTGGGGAGGATCACTTGAGCCCAGGAGTTTGAGACCAGCCTGGGAAACATAGTGAGACCCCATCTCTACAAAAAGTCTAAAAATTAGCAGGGCGCGGTGGCGGGCTCCTATAGTCCCAGTTACTCAGAAGGCTGAGGTGGGAGAATTGGTTGAGCCCGGGAGGTGGAGGCTGCAGTGGGCCGAGATTGTGCCACTGCGCTCCAGCCTGGGTGACAGAGCGAGACCCTGCCTCAAAATAAAAATAAAAATAAAAAGAATTCCCTTCTGACAAAGCAGAGGCCTAACTCCCAGGACTGAGTTTAGTTTTGCCTTGTTTTCCTCCGATAGGAGAGGACAGGGACCGGGAGTGGTGGGGAGGAGGGGGTGGAATGAAGCCAGAAGTCACTGTGATGCAGGAGAGCAGCGAGGTCCAGGGAGAATGCCAGCTGTGTCCCAGGGTCAGAGCTGGAGGAAGCGGGGGTCAGGGTTTGGGAAAGGCCAAGGTAAAGGTCCCTCGGCCATCGCAGCGGGATCACCCTCTCCTGTGGGAGTGTGCAGCATGTTTGGGTCACAAGACCCAGTGTGCATCCGATTCCTCGTCTAGAGGATGAGGTGAGGTGACCTTCCCCATCTCCTGAGAGCTTCTGAGAATCGCCTAAGTTAGCCTGTGTGACTGCACTCTGGCCACCTAAAAGAAGGAAACAGCCACCCACTGCGGAAGCATTTGCGTGCTCTGCGGTGGCCTTGGACCATCCCAAACACCCATGAGCGCAGATCATCCCTCAGCATTGACGTGTTTCACATTTCTATGACGTGGAGCAAAGCAGATTTACTGCCCTGATTGTATAGGGAGGGGGTCGCTTAAAAGCAAGGAGATTGAAACAGACGTGACTAATAACAAAGCCAGCACTGGCCAAGGGTGTCTCGTGTCAGGCACTGTTGCAAGCACTGACAGCCGCGGGAGCACTTCCACACTCAGGTCACAGGCACTGGGAGGGCAGGCCAGGCCACCCCCACGTGCGCAACACAAACCCTGACGCACAGCATGTGCCAATTTCCATGGCGTAAGTGCTTCCTCTGTGGCCGGTTGCACTAGTTGCCGGGGTCTGCTGAAAGCTGTCACCAGCCGGCTCCAGCACTCCTTTGTCAAAGCCACCATGTCAGAGGTGGTGAGGTCTGACGAACCCAGCCTGCATGCTTCTGCATCATTAATTCATCCACAGCCGATGACCATTTGGCCTGGCCAAGTAATTAGCAAAGGTGATCTAGAGTCATTCCTGCCTAGGGGCAGGACTTCATATGTTCTGGAAGTTCCTTCCTAGACAAGGATCACAGCATCTAGGGTCTGAGGCCATTCCAGAGTTCCAAAAAGAATTGGGGGCCTTCAGGAGGAGCAACTCCTCCCCACCCTTGCCTGAGGCTGGCCCCAGTTCAGGACACCAGAGACAAGCCAGCAAAGGCCAGTGCAGGGAAAGGAATAGCAGATCCAGGTGTCCCCAGAAAGTCCCAAGGGCATGGACAGGCAATAGCCGGCTGATTGCTGGTTGAACCAGAGGAGGTGAGGTGTGCTGGGTGGCATGAGTGTGAGCAGAGCCTTCTGAAAGTCGACCCAGACTCTCAGAGCACTCGGGCGTTCACCTGCCCAGGGACGAGCAGTTCTCACCCTTCGGGATGCGGCCATTTGTCCTCCTTTCAGAGACCAGCTGGCCACTAAAATCTTACTAATTTTTTTTTTTCTGAGATGGAGTCTCGCTCTCTTGCCCAGGCTGGAGTGCAATGGCGCCATCTCACCTCACTGCAACCTCTGCCTCCTGGGTTCCAGAGATTCTCCTGCCTCAGCCTCCTAAGTGGCTGGAATTACAGGCCTGTGCCACCACACCTGGCTACTTTTTGTATTTTTAGTAGAGAGGGTTTTGTCATGTTGGTCAGGCTGGTCTCAAACTCCTAACCTCAAGTGATCTGCCCTCCTTGGCCTCCCAAAGTGCTGAGATTACAGGCATGAGCCACCACACTGGCAAGTTTACTAATCTTAGCTCAGGTGATTCATTCTTTATACATTACAGTAAGCTCAGCCCTCTGTGATCACAGAAGAAAGGCCAACACCTGATCCAAAGACCGCCAGAACATCACTCGGTCCTCCATGGGAGGATTAGCCGAGACCCCGACTGACCCCAGACTTATTGGGGTCATGTTAGAAAGAGTTGGGGGCTTTTGTAGAGAGAGGTGTTTATATCATCTGAAGTTGCTTTTTTCTTTGACTTTTTTAGGCTCACCAAAGCTTTGCTCTAATCTGAACTTCCTTCCTTCTCAGCGCCCCCACCCCCCGCAGTTGACCCTGGGTGCCTTCCAAGGCTGGCCTCTCCCTGCACCTGCTTAGGCTGCTCCAAGGAGGAGCACAGTGCGGGGCCCCTCGGGAAAGAAAGGGTGCCCGAGGCAAACAAGGCCAATCCCTCGCAGAAAGGAAAGCCCGGTAAAGACTCTGCTCTCCTGCCACAGGCCTTGTCCCGCTGAAGAAAGTCCACCAAAAAATGGCCCCCCTGCCTGGGCCACAGCCCACCCCGAGCGCCCCGCCCTGGCCCAGAGCCTCAGGTTCCGCTGCCTCTGATGCACTCCACCCCTAGGAACTTCGTGGAGGAAAAGATGGGCAGCAAGTTCGTGGAAGGCCGGAGTGTTGAGTTTTCTAAGTCCTACGAGGAGAGCAGCCCCTCCACGTCAATCTTCTTCATCCTCTCCCCGGGGGTTGACCCCTTGAAAGACGTGGAAGCCCTGGGTAAGTGTAGCAGGCAAGTGATGTTCTCAAAGACGGAGTATTGTCAGCATCACCAGGCACCAGGAAAATGCACACCAAAAGCACATGAGACACCACTTCACACCCAAGACGCGGCTTCACGCCGGTAGGATGGCAATGATCAAGAACAGGAAAATAACACGAGTTGTGAGGCCTGAGAACTGCGACCCTTGTAGGTTGCTGAGCGGATGTAAAATGGGGCCGCTGCTGTGGAAAACAGTCTGGTGGTTTCTCAGTAAGTTACATATAGAATTGGCACAAGAGCCAGCAATTCCACGCCTGAGTATACACCCAAAAGAACTGGAAATTTAAATCTGTGTTCAAGCAAGTACTCTACACAGACGTTCATTCATAATAGCCAAAAGGCAGAAACAACCCAAATGTCCATTAACTGACAAATGGATAAGTGGATAAACAGAATATGGTGGCTCTATATGGTGGAATAGTATCCCTCGATTAAAAAAGAGTGAAGCAGGCCGGGGGCGGTAGCTCACACCTGTATCCCAGCACTTTGGGAGGCCAGGGTGGGCGGATCGCTTGATCACAGGAGTTCAAGACCAGCCTTGGCAACATGGCAAAACCCCGTCTCTACAAAACATACAAGAAAACGTAGCCAGGTATGGTGGTGTACGCCTGTAGTCCCAGTTACCTGTGAGGCTGAGGTGGGAGGATCACTTGAGCCCAAAAGGTTGAAGCTGTAGTGAGCCGTGATCAAGCCACTTCACTCCAGCCTGGGCGACCGAGTAAGACCCTGTCTCAAAAAAAAAAAAAAAAAAAAAAAAAAAAAAGCATGAAGTCGGCCAGGTGCAGTGGCTCACAGCTGTAGTCCCAGAACTTTGGGAGTCTGAGACAGGAGGAGCACCTGAGCCCTGGAGTTCAAGATCAGCCTGGTCAACACAGGGAGAGCTTGTCTCTACAGATAATTTTATAAATTAGCTGGGCATAGTGGTGCATGCCTGTGGTCCCAGCTACTCTGGAGGCCAAGGCAGAAGGATCACTTGAGCTTGGGGAGTGGAGTTCAGGCTAGGTGACAGAGTTGAGACCCTGTCTCAAAAAAAAGTGAGGCCAGCCACAGTGGCTCACACCCATAATCCCAGCACTTTGGGAGGCCAAGGCAGGTGGATCGCCTGAGGTCAGGAGTTTGAGACCAGCCTAGCCAACATGATGAAACCCCATCTCTACTAAAAATACAAACATTAGCCAGGTGTGGTGGCGGGCGCCTGTAGTCCCAGCTACTCAGGAGGCTGAGGCAGGAGAATCACTTGAACCCGGGAGGTGGAGGTTGCAGTGAGCAGAGATGGCACCACTGCACTCCAGCCTGGGCGACAGAGTGAGACTCCATCTCAAAAAAAAAAAAAAAAAAAAAAGTGAAGTACTGATACATGCTACAACGTGGATGGACCTCAAAAACACTATGCTCAGTGACAGAAGCCAGACACAAAGGCCCCATATTGTGCAGTTCCCTTGATATGAAATATCCAGAATGGATAAATCCATGGAGACACAAAGGAGACTGTAGACGAGTGGCTCCTGGAGGAGATTGGGAGCGACTGCCTAATGGGTATGGGGACCACCTCTTGGGCCATGACAATGTTCTAGAACCAAACGGATGATTGCACAGCATTGTGAATATACTGAATGTCGGTGCACTGTACGCTTTAAGATGGGTTTTAAAACAGCAAGTTTTATGTCATGTGTATTTCACCACCGAAACTAAATGAGGGAGGCATGTGGAATTCCTGGCTGTAGATCACAGAGCCTGAACCTGTGTCATTTAATTACGTGGTGTTTTTTTCCTGTTTTTCTTTTCTTTAGGAAAAAAACTAGGGTTTACCATAGACAATGGAAAACTCCATAATGTGTCCCTGGGGCAGGGACAAGAGGTGGTGGCTGAGAACGCCCTGGACGTGGCTGCAGAGAAAGGACACTGGGTCATTCTGCAGGTACGAGGGGGCCAGCACTGCAGGGTAAGGGCTCCCCGCACTGAGGTGGCCAATGGGGATGGGCCAGAAGGCCCGGAAGGAAGCAGGATGTGGAGTTTGCATTCAGAAATGTGGGTGGAAATCCTAACACCACTGAAGGAGGAGGCATCCCCAGTGTCGGCTCTGCTGGGGTCAGCTGGGTGGTGTGGCACGCCATGACTGCCCAGAGGAAAGCGTGGATTCTTCAACGGTGAGAGGGAAGCTGGGCTTTATACGAGAGTACCCCAAACAGAGATTATTTAAACAACAGATGGTTGGGCACGGTGGCTCACACCTGTAGGCCCAGCACTTTGGGAGGCCAAGGCAGGCGGATCACCTGAGGTCAGGAGTTCGAGACCAGCCTGACCAACATGGCGAAACCCTGTCTCTACTAAAAATACAAAAATTAGCCAAGTGTGCTGGCACATGCCTGTAACCTCAACTACTTGGGAGGCTGAGGCAGGAAAATCGCTTGAACCCGGGGAGGCAGAGGTTGCAGTGAGCCAAGAGTGCACCACTGCACTCCAGCCCGGGCGACAGAGTGAGACTCCATCTCAAAAAAATAAAAAAAAAAGATGACAAGTGCTGGGTTGACAAAAGCATCTCCTCCTCCTCCTCCCTCCTCCCTCCTCCTCCTCCTCCTCCTTCTCCTCACTTGGGGCAGGCAGCAAAGCCCAGAGCGCCCAGGAGATGCTCTCTGCACATTTGGTTCAACGCTAGCACGACCACCCCTCCTCAGCCCTGGAGCCCATCCAAGACCCCTTCTCACTACCGCTTGTCCTCGAGCGCCTCTGGGCCTGTCCCAGCTTCCACGGGTCTTACAGTGTGTGTCGACCTCAATCCACAGGGCTAAGCCTGGCCCCGGTGGGAAGCCCTCAGCTTCAAGAGGAGGGGTGGGGACCACAGAATCTCAGCCTTATGCCAGGGAGGACACAAAGGACTCACCGTAAGGCTGGAGGTTTGCAATTCATTGAACACAAAAATAGATTCTGGGGCCTCAGTTGCTTCGCCGAAGACATCCTGGCATGCCCAGCACCTGGT